>NC_000007.14:45391757-45694787 GCF_000001405.40 Homo sapiens | reverse complement strand
AAAGGGTTTTGCCTCAGGAGCGGACAAAATTAGTCTGAGAATTAATGCTCCTCTGGTTCTTCCTAACAAAGGTGAAAAGCAAGACCCAAAGGATCTGTATCCTTCCCTGTAAGTTGTCAATTTTATTGAGATAAAATTGATTATAATACTTCCTTGTTATTTTATTCCTTAAACATTTATAGAAACTGGTCTCTATTATTTAATTTCTTCTGATTACTTTTGGTTTAATTTCCTCTTTTCTGGCTTCTTAAGGTGATTTGAGAGAGACCTTTCTTCTTTTCTAATACAGGTGCTTTGTATTATACATTTTCCTCCAAGTACTGCTTTAGCTGAACCCCACAAATGTTGATCTCATATGTAGTTTCATTTGGTTCATATTACTTTCTAATTTCCTGTTTGATTTCTTTGAACCAAAAGTTACTAAGAAGTATATTCTTTAGCTGAGGATTTCTCAGAGATCTTTCTGTTATGGACTTCTAATTTAATTATATTGTAGTTAAGGAACATACTTTGTATGATTTGAATCCTTTTGAATTTCTTGAGACTTGCTGTACTGTTCATACTTATGTGCTCTTGAATAGAATGCGTATTCTGTTGCTGTTGGATAGTGTGTTTTATAAATGTCAATTAAGTCAAGTTGGTTGACAGTGTTTTTTTTTTTTTTTTTTTTTTATTATACTCTAAGTTTTAGGGTACATGTGCACATTGTGCAGCTTAGTTACATATGTATACATGTGCCATGCTGGTGCGCTGCACCCACTAATGTGTCATCTAGCATTAGGTATGTCTCCCAATGCTATCCCTCCCCCCTCCCCCGACCCCACCACAGTCCCCAGAGTGTGATATTCCCCTTCCTGTGTCCATGTGATCTCATTGTTCAATTCCCACCTATGAGTGAGAATATGCGGTGTTTGGTTTTTTGTTCTTGCGATAGTTTACTGAGAATGATGGTTTCCAATTTCATCCATGTCCCTACAAAGGATATGAACTCATCATTTTTTATGGCTGCATAGTATTCCATGGTGTATATGTGCCACATTTTCTTAATCCAGTCTATCATTGTTGGACATTTGGGTTGGTTCCAAGTCTTTGCTATTGTGAATAGTGCCGCAATAAACATACGTGTGCATGTTAAACTACCATCAGAGAATACTACAAACACCTCTACACAAATAAACTAGAAAATCTAGAAGAAATGGATACATTCCTTGACACATACACTCTCCCAAGACTAAACCAGGAAGAAGTTGAATCTCTGAATAGACCAATAACAGGCTCTGAAATTGTGGCAATAATCAATAGTTTACCAACCAAAAAGAGTCCAGGACCAGATGGATTCACAGCCGAATTCTACCAGAGGTACAAGGAGGAGCTGGTACCATTCCTTCTGAAAGTATTCCAATCAATAGAAAAAGAGGGAATCCTCCCTAACTCATTTTATGAGGCCAGCATCATTCTGATACCAAAGCCGGGCAGAGACACAACCAAAAAAGAGAATTTTAGACCAATATCCTTGATGAACATTGATGCAAAAATCCTCAATAAAATACTGGCAAACCGAATCCAGCAGCACATCAAAAAGCTTATCCACCATGATCAAGTGGGCTTCATCCCTGGGATGCAAGACAGGGTTCTTAAGTGTTGTAATCTGTCACTGATTTTCTGTCCAGCGATTCTATCGCTTTTCGAAAGGAATGTTGGAAACTCCAACTATAATTATAGATAGAAGAATTTCTTGCAGTTCTATCAATTTTTACTTTATGTATTTTGATGATCTGTTTTAGGTACATAAATGTTTAGGACTATGTCCTCTTGATAAACTGACCCCTTTATTACCCGCTAACATTACTGAAAGACCCTTTTTTTCCTTTGACCAACATTTAATTTCTTGCTCTTGAGATCCAGATTTGGTAAGTCTTTGTGAGCTTAGTATTTTTTTTTATTTTGAAATATTTAATTGACAAACAAAAACTGTATATATCTAAGATGTGCAATGTGATGGTTTCCTATATGTATACATTGCATAACTACTACGATCAAATTACTTAACAAATCTATCACCATCTGCAGTTACCATTTGTGTGTGTCTGGGATGGGGGCGGTGAGGACACTTAAAATCTGCTATCTTACCAAATTTCAAGTACACAATACAGTATTATGAACTGATTTTTTAAAATAACAATAAAAACAAGCATCTCACGAGACAGACATACTTACCCCACCTAGCACTCTGCCCTTTCCTTGGCTAATTCCTACTCATCCTTTAAGCCTCAGGGGTGAGGTATTACATTTAAATGATATCACATCCAACCTACCTGGGTCAGGGTCCTGTCTACATTTTACATGGCACGCCCTTCACTGTACTGAAATTTTCTGTGGCTTGTGTTTGATTCCTTTAACAGCCTGTGAGCACCCAAGGGCAGGGGTTACACCTCAACCATGTGAGCGTCCCCAGCACAGGATTAGGTATACTTTGGTGCCCAATAAGCACCTGTTGGATGGAGGCAGGTGGTAACACTTTGTGTGTAGGTACAGAGTGGATGCCTGCCAGAGGCTGTGTGTGCACTCTCAGATGGGCAAAGGGTGTATTTCCAGTGGGCATGGGGCCTGATGGATGTGGGGTCCTGAGGTTACGCACCAAGGTTTGGCTCCTCGGAGGTTTCCATAGAAGTGTGCTGCAGGATGCAGCTAGGATACATCTGGAACCATCTGTCCCTCCATAAAAGCTGTTTGTGAGGATGTACTCACCCAAAGGCCAGATGTGAAACCTATGGCCAGTAACAGAGGACAAGATGACGACTAACAAGCGTACAACATTTCAGGGTCCAAGAAGCATGATGACCACGGCTTTATATGACATAAACTCCTCCACAACCCCCTGAGAGACAAGTGTCACTGTCACATGTGTGGAGAAGACAAGTGACCAGAGTAAGAGGTGGAACCAGGTCTCTAACTTAGCTTCTGCCACCAGAAATTCCATGTCTATGCCATGACCACATCTTAGGAAACCTTCCCTCTAAATGTTAATAATGGCAACTGCAAAATGGGAATTACCATCGAATTAAGCGTTTATTGGTAGAGAAATAAGTTGTTTTAACTTCATTCTATACTAAATAGCATAAACATTGAAATTATAATTGCCATGATGATTATCTACTGAATGCAAAGAAAGAAATGACACTGGAACAAAAGCATACAAGAGTTTACAGGCGAAGAGGCTGAAGATGCCTCCCAAGGGAAAAGCCTATCTGTTTGTGCAGGTTTGGACAATCAATCCAGTCTCTGTAAATAATTAACCTACCTAGTGTTTGGCCTGGCAATTTTGCAATAGTTTGAGGCACTCTAATGTTTGTACTACATACCTAAATGTCCAAGGGCAAACAGGCAAAGTCTACAAAGTTCTGTGTTTTGCTAGGGTTACGGGAAAGCAGGTGGCATTTGTTGTTACCTATCTGTGGACAAACATGGCAGTATACTCCATGTGGGCAACCCTTTCTTGTGACACGCATGCACAAGGATCCGCAGACTTGCCCGGGCTGCCCCAAGGCCCAGGAATGCATATTCTAGCCCTAAAATTACTGGTATGCTCATTGGGCATTGCTAGGGGGTGTCACTGGATGGAGAACGACATGGCAGGGTCAAATACTGCATTTAATAACATTTCAAAGAACAACAAAGCCAAGAAAAAGCCATGTCAACCCAGATGAGAGGAAATGTCTCTCCCAGAAGTGTCCCTCAACTGGAAGAGTCATAGCCAAGGCCCAAATCTGCTGTCTGAGAATGAGGAACCAACCAGGCACCCTAGTAAATAACCTGGAAACCCCAGATCTCATGGGCCTGGGCTGTTCCAGTTTTTCTAGCTCATCCCAAGTCCATTCTTCTCAAGCTCTGAGTAGGTTTTTGCAACAAAAAGATCTGAACCCAGAGAGGCCAGCTGATGGCTGGGTCAACATATCCTCCCAGACCAGCCAGCTGGATCACCCTGGATAGCCAGCCAGAGCCAAACTAAGACCAAGTTCAGCAACACAGCCCATCATAAAGAGGCTCTTTTCCTATTACCTGGTGTGGCTTTAGCAAACTGCAGCTGGCCAGATCTCCCTTCCAGGGCAGGTATGTGCTGTATCTGGCCAGATCTCCCTTCCAGGGCAGGTATGTGCTGTATCTGCAGTCCATTCCCCACCGGTTCTGTACCAGGGAGGCCAGTCCAAGGACTCTACCAACAGGGTCCTGGGCCTCCTACTTCCGGCCAGGTTTGGCCAATGGGGAGCGGGAGCAGGGGCCAGTAGCGAGGGAGGAGAGCATTCCCAGTTCCTCTTTGCATGGTTGCTGCGGACTGGCTGCGTCTCCCGGCTGAAGGTGGTGAATCCTATCAGGCAGCCCTCTCTGTTCCCTGGTTCTAGGGCCCATTCCCACTGTGGCTGCCCCAAGTGCCACACCAGCCTGGAGATGCCCTGTGCCTGCCCCTGTCTTTCAAATAGTCCAAGCATCATAAGGGCTCCTGAACTCACCCCCTTAGAGTGTGCCCTCCGCTCTCAGCCCAGGCTGTGATACATGCACAGCCCCCTGGAGACCCACTCTACCTCCACTACTGCACCCTCACTTGATGGCCAACAGTGGCCAGACTCCACACGACCACTTCCGAGGTGCCCTCCTGCCAGCCCCTGACCATGCAACTTGCTTTCCTCAGGGCCCCTGTGGATCACAGGGCTCCCACCTGCCTCCTGGGCTGTGTGTCACACTCCATTGTCAGACCACCTTTGGAGACAGGGATCGGGTCCTATCGCCCTCCCTTTGCAGCTCCACTGCCCACAGGGGGCCTGGAGGGAGCACTGGCCCCTGTGATTGGACTCTGACTCCTCTCACAGTTTTTGCTGAAGAATTCCCTCTTTCTGCCATGTTCCTCGTCCCTTTCCCCTCAACCCCATCCCTCATCCTTCCATAACCGAATCTGAAGCATCGCACAAGGCCCAGAGAAACACAGTATGCCTGGCTTTGCTTCCTCTCAAACCCACTGTGGCCGCAGTCAGGCCTTCTGGCGTGAGGACTCACTTCCTGCCACAGCCTGCATTCCTCTGGTGATAAGTCAGACTCAGATGTTGATATGGTTTGGGTATCTGTCCCTGCCAAATCTCATGCTGAAATGTAATCCTAGTGTTGGAGATGGGGTCTGGTGGAAGGTGTGTGGGTCAAGCAGGTGGATACCTCATGGCTTGGTGCTATCCTTTCTCGCGATAGTCAGAGTTCTCGCAAGATCCAGTTGTTTTAAAGTGTGTGGCACCTTCCCCCCACCCCCTTGCTCCTGCTCTCGCCATGTGACATGTATGTTCATGTTTTGCCTTCTGCTATGAGTAAAAGCTCCCTGAGCCCTTCCCAGAAGCCAAGCAGATGCTGGTGCCTGTTGGTACAGCCTGTAGAACTGTGAGCCAATTAAACCTCTTTTCTTTATAAATAACCCAGTCTCTGATATTCCTTTATAGCAGTGCAAGAACAGCTTAATGCAGATGTATTTATGCCCCCACCAGGGTCCCCTCCCACTCCCCAGCAGGAATTAGGGCCTGTTCTGCCCAGACAGCCCTGCTGACAGTGAGCGCACCACACAGCAGCACTTCCCCGGGAGAGGCCAAAGGGCGAGGGTTCTCAGCAACCCCTGCCCACTCCAGAACCTGGAATTCAGGTATGCAGTGAAGACAGCGCCAGATCATGAGTCCCTCAGGAATCTGGATCTTCCCCACCTACAAGGCTAGCTCAGAGCTCCATCTAGTAGGACACAGGAATGTCTTCTGCCCAGAACAGGCACTAACTTAATACACAGGCTGAAAAATAAATGAAATGGGAAAATCTACAGACAGCGGGTAGACTGGTAGTTGCCTAGGGTTTGGGGGTTGAGGAGAAATGGGGAGTGTTAACTGATGGGGATGGGTTTCTCTTGAGGGAGATAAAAATATTCTAATATTGATTATAGTAATCGTTACAGGACTGTGAGTATACTGAAAACCACTGTTCACTAAACAAGTGAATTGTGTTATGTGAAATATATCTCAATAAAGCTATTATACAGTGAAGGAAAAAATAAGCCATGTTTTTCACCAAGCATTTGTGAGCACATGTATATAGATACACATATAGACAGTGTGTGTGTGTGATGTATGTATATGTTCTTTCTTTTGCTTACTCAAATCAACAACATAATTTCCATCACTTTAAATATGCATCCTGCCCTGTCATGCTGACATAAACCCACTGAGCTGCTTCTGTCTTTTCCAGATGAATAAAACTAGAGGAAACAATTGTGTTCATTTTTTTCATGAGTGATAACTTGCCTCCAGATGCTCCTCACACCTACCCTTCACCCTACTCTAACCCTCCCTCCCAGAAAGAGATCCCCCCAAAAATGGCTCATCACAGAGTAACAGGCTGCCAGACAAAGGGCTGCTCAGCCTTACCGAGCACCTACTTTGCACAAGGCCCGTGGCCAACGACATCAGGAATAGAATTTCAGTTATTTCTTGCACACCTGGATTAGGGTTCTCACCCCATTTTACTGCTGAAGCAGAAAGACAGATTGACCTATCACTGGTTGAAGTCATGCAGACCCTACATGGAGTTGCTGGAATTCAGGACGAGGACCACCTGATGCCAGGCCCAACCTTTGTTACCCCTGCTACTGCTGACCAGGGTTTCGGTCACTTAACTGCATGGCTTGATGCCCAGTCAGCCTCAGGAACAAAGACAAAAAATTGACAGGCTTCCCAACTCCAGCAGCAAGCCTGGTCCTGCTTCCACAGTGAGCTCTCAGCTGGTCCTGGCCACGCTTCCTCCTGGGCACCCTCTGGGCTGTGCCTGTCTGGTGTCTGTGCCCCAACTCTGGGCTGCACCTGCCTTCAGTCCTGACTGCAGAGTAGGACTAGGGTGAAAATGCTCTTGTCCTGCCTGGCCCCAGACACAGCTCTCTCCACAGGTTCAGAGCCTACCCAAAGATCACACAGATGGCAGCTGGATCCCAGCTCAGCCACCTTCTGGCTGCCCGACTCTGGCATGTTACTTTAGTGGCCCCTGTGTTCTTGTCTGTAATCCCAGCTCCTAGGCAGTGCTGTTCTGAAGACTGAATGAGATCAAATAGCTCCAACAGCGAAGAGCTATTCTTAAGGTGTCAAAATAAGAAGACTATCTCTTGCTAAAGCTAATATTCATCAGCCTTCATTCCCGGTTTTCAGGGGAGGAAACCTAGGAGGAGCAATTTTCCCAGGGTGAAACAGTTTGCAAATTCCACAAATGGGATTTGAACCCAGGTAGCCTGGTCCTAAATGTTTGATTGCCTCACCTCCCGGAGGGCTGTGGAGTATGGAGTTGGTGTGAAGATGCTCACACCAGCACCCACACGCTGCCTTGGCCCCTGGCCATGGGGTGGACACAGGTACACCCCTGCTGTGGCTCCGCAGCAGGAACTCAAGGTGAATATCTGGCAGTCATTGCCAGGATCACATCCAAACAGAAAGCCACCTACAGACTTCAGGAAAGCATGTCTCCTCTCCAGCCTGGTACCCAGATGTTTGGGGCCTGAAGCCAGTTCACATGTTTGCTACTCCATGGAGTCTCCCAAAGAGTGGTGCTTATGCCTCTTGTGTCAGAATTTCCCAGGGTACATGTAAAAATATAGACGTCCAGCCCCCACCTGCTGACCTACTCAATTTGGAGTAGGTGGTGAGAGTTTTGGCATTTTCTTGTATTTCCCAATGACCCCGATGAGACCTGCTGCCACTGCCCAGCCCTGCAGAGGCTGAGCCCCTCTGCACCACCACTGCACATGCTGTTCAGTGAAGGGGGACTCACTGCCTCGTGAAAGAGCCACGCTCTGACCATCAGGCAGGTCTCCACAACATGCACCCCACAACCTTCTGAACTGTCCTCTCACGAGGCATGGCTCCCACTCCCTGCACCCCCAGCATAGGTCTCCTCCATCCCCGGACAGTGCCTGGCTTGCATGCTGCTGAGGAGGGCCCTCCGAGGGCCATACGGCGTGTGGGTGTCTGTGGCAGCCCCCGTCAGATGCTTGCTGAAGACTTCTTCCTCCTCTAAATCCCCCACCCCCAGAAAGCAGAAAGGGCTCGTCTTGCCTGTGCGGCCCAGAGGTAGTCCAGCCTCAGCCTGATGTCCACCTGCCTGGCATGCAGGGCCAGCGCACAGGAGAAGAGCAGGATGGCCACAATCGGCTCGTAGCTGCGCCCGGAGACGGCACCACCCCTGGGGGAAGATGAGGAAGAAAAGCCAAGTCAGTGCCGAGCTTCCAGGGCAAGACTCTGCCACCAAACCCAAGAACTGTTCAGAGTGACCCTCAGGTGGTGACACCCAAAAACAGCTTGCTGGGATTGACCTTGGCCAAGAATCACTTATCATAGGGAAATCTGAGTCCTTGCTAGAACTTGGGTTGAAGAGAAGCAGCCACCAAACTAAAAATTGTGTATACAATTCAACTTGACTAGTTCTGGACTCAGAAGCCTGTAGTGCATATCTGTATACACAGATTCAGTAGCACCGCTGCTTAGGCCTTTTTCTTGAGGAGCCACACACTTACCCAGTCCTGGTGTATCCGCTGAGCTCCAGAACGAGGATGTAGGACGTGGTGAGCCCGGAGAGCAGGATCATTTTTGGCAAGGAGGACACCCGGAAAAATATGGCTAGCGGGAGGGTGCCCACCAGGCAGCAGAGCAGGGCATGGTGTGTAGACTCGCAGGGCAGGGTGGGCAGGGCTGTGCGCTGGCCCCCAGACGAAAGGACCACCAGGGAACTGTTGGGCTTGGAGCTCCAGGCCCAAGGCAGGCAGCCCACCTGGGAAGGGAGGGGTCACAGGGGCTTAGCAAAGGGCAGGTGAAGACCTGCAGCCCCTAAGCATGCTCAGGTGTCCCTCTTCAAGCAGGTCTCCCAAGGTTTTGCTCTGACCCACCCCCAGTGCTATCACACCAAGCCACAGACCTCATGGCAACTCACAGCACTTCAAGGCTCCCCACTGGCTGCCAGAGCAGGCAAGAGGCTCCAGGGAGGACCAGGTGGGATCAGCCCTGCCTGCTCCCCAGCCCAGCGGCTCCAACCTGTTACTCCTGCCCCCAGCTCCAACCTGTTACTCCTGCCCCAGCTCCATCCTGTTCCTCCTGCCCCCGGCTCTGTCCTGTTAATCATGCACCCAGCTCTGTCCTGTTCCTCCTGCCCCCAGCTCTGTCCTGTTAATCATGCCCCTAGCTCCGTCCTGTTCCTCCTGCCCCCAGCTCTGTCCTTCCTGTTTCTCCTGCCTCCAGCTCCATCTTGTTACTCCTGCCCCACTTCTATCCTGTTACTCCCACTACAAACTCCATCCTGTTACTCCCACCCACTTCCATCCTTTCACTCCAAGCCCCAGCTCCATCCTGTTCCTCCTGGCCCAGCTTCATCCTGTTACTGCTGCCCAGCTCCATCCTGTTCCTCCTGCCCTGTCTGTCCTGTTTTTCCACCCCTGCTTCTGTCCTCTGCACCGTATGAAGAAGCCAGGCTCCTTTCACCAGGGAGAATTTGCATTTTCCTCTGCTAAGTAAAGTCTCTTGTTCCCTGGCTCCTTGGGGCCCCATGCCTGTTACTGACGTCTCTGATGACCTCCCTGTCTCTGCAGCCCTGGGTCCTGGCTTCTGGGCTGGTCCTCCATGCCATGCCCTCTCCCGCCCCAGCGCATGCCACAAGCTGGAGATGCTCACCACACAACCTTGGGCTACTGAGTAGATTAAGACCACTATGAAAATACACAGGACAGTGCGAATCTGAATCGTCAGGCACCCTGGAAAACACTGAATAAGAAATGTTAATTTAGAAAATACCCTCTGATTACCAAGGTGATTCACGTGCACAGTTAATACTTCCTATAGTGGAATGTGCAGATGACCTGCAAGCTGCTAGGTCCACATCCGTTTTTCACCCTCCTCACATGTCTCTTGGCTTTTTTCATTTGTTTATTCTCCCAGGTGAAAAGCTTGCCAAAGTTAAAAAAAGAAACCTGAAGTCTTTAAATTACAAAGAATAATACTTCCCTTCCTTCCACTTGCATTGTAACTTTGATTGGCACTGAAGTTAACTGGATAGATTAACTTGGTATTTTCATTATATTGAATTCTTCCATTTCAGAAATGGTACAAATTTCCATTCATTTGTGTCTTCTTTGATATGCTCTAAATAAATTTTATTATTTTGTTCACGTAGGTTTTATAGAGTTATTAGAAATTTTATTTTAAATCTATGTATTATACAGACATTTTGAAATCTTCAAAAAGTGATTTCACGGATAAAAGAAGTCCTTTTTACACTTAACACTTCTGAAAGTATAAATATAAACTAAAATTAATACGCAGGGACCTTACAGAAAACAACTCACCCTGCTAGAGTCCCCGACTAGTCGGGGTGCCCTTCGCCGGCTACACGGTTATTCCTTTAACCCCCACATGAGGTCAGATCATTACTAACTCCGCTCTACAGTTGAGAAAAAGGTGGCACAAATCCACCCAGTCCAGCATCACTTCTTCTATGGACAAGGACAAGGCAGTGTGTCCCAGCTTACCCAGCTGGTGGGTTATGGATCTAGGATCCAGTTCTAGGTTTCCCAAGTCCCAAGATACCATTGGGTATTTCACCAACCCAGTGGTCTCTGCTGATCTCAGAAGAACCGCTGCTCTGCAGCGGTGTGAGGCTCAAACACTTTACTGACCGTGAATCACTGCACTTCCCTCCCAGTCCCAACCTGGCCTCTGGGCAAGACGCAGGTGCAAGTCCTTGATCCCCACTGCAGCCTCCCATCATCTGCTTCCCCCGCTTCCACCTGGCGTGAGCTCGGTGTGCTAAGGGAGGCCACCAGAGCCACTGGCAGGCCCCCATGCGGGAGCCATACCACAGGCCTGGGAACAGGATTTTAGAGCAAGATCCTGCCATCTTTTGCAGGTAACTATTCTCCTTTTGAGAAAGCCTCTTGGCCTGCCGCTGGGCCTGAGTAGAGCCTGAACCCCTACCTGTGGGCCAAGTTACCGCATGACCTGAGCTGCCCATCATGAACTGGGCGTTACCTGACCCACCAAGCCATAAAGCTGGGTGTGAACAGCAGCCCTCCATCATCAAATGAAAGTGCTAATATATATGATCAGCTCCGAGCAGACCCTTAAGGCACAAGTAAGTGACACGACAAAATGGCCCCAATGACCATAGTCCCCAGTCCTGCTACCCTGCCTTCTCTCTCCCAGCCTGTACCTATGGCCTCATGGGGAGCTCCCTCTGATTAGGTGACAGAGTAAGAGAAGCTCAGGCCTTGTGGGCAGCTGCAGCACTTCAGCCCAAATGACACAGCCCTGAGGGACAATGGTGAAGGGAAATCCTCCCATTGGGCAGAACTTTGGGCAGTTCCCCTGGGTGGGTACTTTGTTTCCAAGGAGAAATGGTGAGATGTAGTCATATACTGATTCATAAGCTGTGGACAACGGTTTGGCTGGATGTTCAGGGAGTTGGGAAAGACATGGTTGGAAAATTAATGACAAGGGGGTCTGGGGGAAAAGTATGTAGATAAACCTCTCCAAGTGGGTGAAAAATGTTAAGATACTGTGTCCCATATGAATGTTCACTAAAGGGTGACCTAAGCAGCGGAGAATTCAAATCCAGTGGATAGGACAACCCCTACTGTGGACACCAGTCATTCTATTTCCTCGGCCACTCCTGTCATCCCAATGGGCTCATGAACAAAGTGGCCATTGTGGCACTTCGGGAGATGATGTCAACTGAGGATGAGAGGGAGAAAAAGCAGGCACCATTTCCTGACCGTCTGCACTCACAGGGGCTAGAATGAAGCCCTCGGGCTGTCTCTGATGGTGCTACACTCCCCTCTGTGCGGTGAGGCTCCCTTCCCCCTACCTTAAGGATCTCTGCCAAGGTTTTCTCTTTTCTTCAAAGCCACCTAGTTTAACTCGAGTATCATAACTGGTGAAAATCTTCCTTCCACCACCTACCACCTTCCACACCTTGGCTTGGGGACCTATGATGGGATGCGGCCTCTACCCTAGCCAGCCTGGGTGGGCCCAACACCCTCCTGAGCCTGTCCCATCTGCCTCTCTTAGAGCCCTAGGACGGCGAGAAGGAGGATGGGGAAAACAGGGCTGAAATGCAGGTCTGTGAGCACCAGGCCAGGGTGGGAGAAGCAGAAGCAGCTTATCCGAGGCACACCCAGCCACCTTGTGGACCACATTGTGCCCACATCCCCAGGGTCCAGCCAAGGGCCTCTGAATGTGCCTGACGCCTTGACCTCGGCCTGCCCCACCTGCAGCACCCCGGGGTCCAGCCAGTGCACACCTCCTGGGCTTCCTCCTCTCCTCTGCCCGCTCCTGATGTTCTCCAGGCCTAGCCATGCAAACCTCAGCCTGCAACCCTGACAGAAAAAGTCCACATCCTGCCCCAGACATTCCTTTTCAACCCTCAGCAGGACCCTCGGGTCAGCTCTGCCGCCCTCTGCAGATGGTCAAGATGGACAGGATTAGGCACCTCCCCACCCTGATTCCCGGGATGAGCTACACCCACTGCCCCACCCCCATGCAGCTTCTCTGTCTCATCTGACTTCAGAACACTCCAACTGAGCGTGTGCTGTGCCAGGCTCTGCTCCACAGACTTTGTGCAAATGAGCTCACTGAATCCTCATGTCAAGCCAGTGAGGTGGGGGCCATCATCACCGCCATTTCACAGAGGGCAACCCTGAGGCCCAGACAACTGGAGCCCAAGCCTGGAGTTGACATACCCCCGAGGGATGGGGATGGGGAAACCAGATAGGGGTGAAGGTCCCAAGGGGCCATGGAACTGCCACACTGCCCTGGGCACCCTGGCTCTGGACACTGTCAATGTCGGGGAGGGAAACATTTCTACCCGGCCTTCTCAAGGATGTGTTCTGGAACTAACTCCGTCTGCATGACCCACCGCGTCCACTCAGGCCACAATGGCCTTCTGCTGGGTGGCCCTGACCTATCCCCTGCTGGCTTCCTGCAAACCTCCCTCACCTCCATTCCCACAGCCATTTGCACAGGCCTCTTCCCTGGCCCAGGGTCAGCAGGGATGCTCAGAGCCCGGTGCAGAGCCTGCGAACAGGAGCCTAAATACTTGTGATTCAATCAAACCCTGACCCAGTACACACTGGCTGTGAGCTGAATCCCCTCTCCTGTCCTAGCTGAGAAGTCTGGGCACTTAGTCTCCACTCTGCTTCTTCCACAACAGCCGCAAGCACCACTGATGGCACTCCCAGGAAAGCTGGACCCCCACTGCTTTTCGAACCTAGCACCTCCAAACCACACACTTAGGAAAAAACGCTCTATGCTTGCTCACAGAAGAGGGTGAGAAGGGAGAGTGAATATTCAGAAGGAAAGGAGCTAGTGGCATCCAGGGCAGAGTCCACCAAGAGAACAAAACACTGGAATACAGAAGAAGCTTCATGGGATAACTGCAGGCTAGCCTCCTTTAATGTCAGCACCTGGAATTATTCTGGCCAAAGTTCCCAGCCATGAGGGCAGCTCCCTTATTAACAAAAGGGGGGTAATTCTGGGCAGATGACTTAGCGCCCCAATCCCACAGATCATGTGTTTTTTAGAACCGAGAGTTTTCTTAATTTGAATATTATTTTTATGGACAGATTGGGTGCAGATTTTGCTTCCTGGTTTCATGAGCACATCCCTTAGCCTGCCTGAGCCCACTTTCCTCACATGTGGGAAAGGGGCTGACCCGTCTCACCACCTGGCTTGGGAGGCTCTCGTGGAGTCACAGAAAGCAGTGTACATCCACTCGCAAGAATCAGTATTCCTGGGCCAGGACCTTTGGGCAGAGCTTTCCAGGCTGGCGCATTCCTTGGCTTCTGCTTTGTCATCGCTCTTCTTGCCCAATGGCTTTTCACACTTTCTGCATGTCTAATGCTATTTGTACACCATTGGGTGGGCACACTGGTTCCCACCACTGAGGACTAAGGAATAGGCTTTAAAAACTATCATCCTTCTGTCCTGCTTTCACTTGAAATTATATGAAAAACAGCAGTTTTACTTGAAGTGGTAAATTTTAAAATTTGTCAAACCAAATGTCACTCAATCTATACAAGTCAAAGAAATAGGAATGAAGTTTTAATAGTTAGCATTTTTTTAATTTAAAAACTCAAGATATTACCTATGAATAATGACAAAGTTAAATGAATGAAACTAGATTTAATCTTTTCAAAAAGTTGCTGTTTTCAGTAATTATGCAAATATAACACTGGGTCTGCCAGAAGTGACATCCTGGGGTCGGCTGAGGGAAACGAGTCGTTTAGAAATGAAGGTGGAGAATGTGATGAAGGAATGCAGGACTAGGAACTATACAGTCCTCCAAGTGAGCCACAGATAGTACAAGGCCGCAAAGCTCACGTCTTTCCTGCAAAAGCCCACAGAGCAAAGCAGATGAGGCATCAGGGCCCAGATAGCACAATGTACCTGGAAAATGTCACCCCTCTCCAAAGTCTGTGACATAAACACAGAATAAACATCCCTCTTCTGTCCTGCTGCTAGACTCTCCATTCCAAGAGAACAGGATCAGTATCTTGTGCTCATTTGTTTAATCAATATCAATCGCCAGTCTATTGTGCCCACCAGGTACACTCCCAAAGGAGTGCATGTGCCCAGTGCAGAACTGGGTCTTCATGAGCACCTGCTATATGAGCAGACTCTTTCTTCCTGTCTAGGCAGGGGAGGGAACAGAACTGCCTCCCCTATCCCACCCCATCCCACCCAGAGGGCAGGCAGAGGCCACCCTCATACCTGGACCAGGTGATATGCAGGTACAGGACACAGGCCACCCACATACCTGAACAAGGTGATATGCAGGTATAGGACACAGGCCACCCTCATACCTGGACCAGGTGATATGCAGGTGCAGGATACAGGCCACTCACATACATGAACCAGGTGATATGCAGGTACAGGACACAGGCCACCCACATACCTGGACCCGGGTGATGTGCAGGTACAGGACACAGGCCACCAGGAAGCAGATGCAGAATACTAGCAGGAGCAGGACGACCACACTCCTGGGGGACAGAAAACATGAGAGTCACTGATAGGTGGGGATTAGGAGAGGCGGACCCAAGAGATGGCTGAGAATTGGCCCCTCCCTCCACATCCCCTGTGCTCTCAGGAGGAAGCAGCATCGTTAACCTGGATGCCTGCCACTCAGGTCTCTGGGAACTGACATGGCTGGTTCTATTTTTTAGGGCAGGGCATCTGGGGTTCCTGAGTAAGAAGGGGGCCCCTCCTGAGTCTACCTCCCACTTCTCCTACCCCCACCGCAGAGATCTAGCTTAGGCTGAGAATCACAGAACTTTTCTGGAAGCCGTTTTCCTCATGATGGAAAGACAAGAGTTTCCCAGACTTTGCTGAGCTATTCTCTAGCTGGGCTTTGTCTGGGAAGGGCATTTTTAGAAAACGCTTAAATCCCAAATAGGCCCATGAGGCAGGCTGCTGTGTTCAGTGTCTGTGGGCTGGGCAGGATGCAGAGCACCCAGGGCTGAACTCCCTCCTCCTCCGCAGGTGTGGGGTGGCCTCCATGTGCTTTCAAACTCAGAGGAGGTAGTATTCCCGTAGGTAGGTTTTATTAAGAAATGAGTACACTTGAAAGTAAAGTGGCAAGTGCAGACTCAGTGGTGTCTTTCTTGCAAAAAAAATAAAATAAAATAAAAGCTGCCAAACTCACATTTACTTATATGATGTTTAAATGTTATTTAAACTACTGTTTTTCTTCCTTTTAAGAGGGATTTTAAGTTTTTGAAAATGACATGGATTTAGAAGCCAATGAGCTCATTAAGTGCAGTTTCTTCTCAAAAGTTATTGTTATTATTATTATTATTATTTTTAGAGACAAAGTCTCACTATGTCATCCAGGCTGGAGTGTAGTGGTGAGATCATAGCTCACTGCAGCTTAGACTCCTGAGCTCAAGGGATCCTCCTGCCTCAGCTTCCTGAGTAGCTGGGACTACTACAAGCAAGTGCTGCCATGCCTGGCTAATTTTTTTTTTTTTTTTTTTTGTAGATAGAGTGTTGCTATATTGCTCAGGCTGGTCTTGAACTACTGGCCTCAAATAATCCTCCTGCTTCAGCCTCCCAAAGTGCTGGGGTTACAGGTATGAGCCACTACACCCAGCCAAAAGCTATTATTACAGCAATGGTGCATGTTGCATGGATGAAAAAGCATGAAAATATATTGTGTCTTAGAATTAAGTAAATTCAAAATTTAAAATGGAAAGTGACCAGTCCCATGCCATATACCATCAAGGCTTGTTACACTACTGACTTGAGAAAATGAGGAAATGATGGCTGGCTAATGTCAGCCATGTTGGGCACATTGGGACAATAACTGTGGGAGACGAAGCTTGAGCATACAACAGAAACACAACCACGAACCCCAGAAACACAACCACGAACCCCAGAAACCGGGACTTCTTGGTGAGTTCCTCACCTCGTTGATAGAAATACTCACTGTGGGAATATTAGAAGGTAGACAAGGCCAAATAAGGCAGCCAGGATGAGGGTGAGGACAACGGCGCTGGTGAAATACTCGTCCTGAAGCTGGTGGTACTGTGTAAGAGAGAAGTCAATCCATCAGGGCTGAGGGCTTCCTCCAGCCAGGCAGCGCCTTCGCAAGCAGCACCAGGGAAGCCGAAAACCAGAGTTGCTTACCTTTTGCTCCCGTTCGACATGTTTGTACTTCAGGGTAAAGAAGTTCAGGTCTGCCATCTCCAGCTCTGTCTGGCGGGCTTCTAAGAGGCGGCTGATGTACCTGTTGACGCGAGTGCCCGGGGTGGTGTAGACAACGTTGGTAGAAAAAGATGAGCGGTTTCTGAGTTTTTCCGAGGCTGTTCTTAATGCCCTCCGCTGGAGCCATCATGGAAATAAAGGAGTATCATCAAATTCTCCACTTATTGAAGAAAAGCACCTGTACTCTCCCTCCAGCCAGATCCGCTGCAGGGTGGGGTCGGGTTTGGGAATCTGACATTTAATAATCATGACTCTGCCCTGCTGGTGGTGAGATGGCAGGTGAGTCATCTCAGCAGCCAGTGTTGGGGTTCCCACACCTGTAATGGCGGTTTTATGGCCCCTGAGTGATGGCATGGCAGCAAGGATTAGGTGATTAAACACGTTTGCAGTGGGGAGAACAGCATCCCAGTAAGAGCAGGTTCCTAAACTCATAAAACCCCAACACATGCAGAAAGAGATTCCCCAGAGTTACAAGAGCAGGAGTCCAACCCCCTCCTTCTAAGAGAGAGAAACGGTGGCAAACGGAGTGGCTTCACCAGTCTCTCACTCTGGCCAGGGCTGATGGGAACAGAGAGTGAGCCTCTCCTCCACAGCTTCCATATGTCACATGAGGGATACGAGAAAGCACCCATTTGCCAAAAGGAAAATAGAGTCTAATTTAAAACCACTTGCCATGAACTCACTATCAGTGCTTCATAAACAGAACCTCTGGTACTTAATATACTTGAGAAGAAAATAAGAATATTAAAAGAGGCTAGCCATGCGGTTCCAGAAAAGATGAAATGAACACACTTGTTTTTATTCCTACTGAGTGGTAAAAGCACTGACAATACATGTAAAATAAGCACACAGACTGTGAAAGGTGGAAAGAAGAGGGTGATCGCAGGGACCTTGCAACTCAAAGGAAAACAGTGTCGGGTGGATGGTGTCCCTTGAGGTTTCTTTCTGCCTTATTTATCCCAGACTAGAAACAAGAGAAACCAGCAGCCAAAAAATGCCACTGGATACAGATCAACTTTTTTAAAGCCCCTACAAAAAAGCCTGTTGTTTCTAGCCAAAGAAAAAAAAAGGGGCAACCTAGCAAAACAAAACTTTTAGACAATAACCACCCTATTGTAGCCAAAGACCATAAAAAAAAAAAAAAAAAATCTGTGGCCCCAGCTCCACCCAGGCCAGCAAAGACCATGTGGGGAGCCTCGACTTTGATCTTTATTAGGCTGTGAGGAGGCACACCCAAGGCCCCACTGACATAGTGTCAGAAAAACCTGAACAGGGAGTGGAGATGCTCATCTCCACTGAGTGGTAATGAGCTCCCACTTGCATTGTCAGTGGATGCTGAACAAGGATGCAGAATGTCCATATTCTACTCAACAGTAACAAGGTGCCAGGCATCACCTTGGTGCCAAATGCCAGGCTGTCATGGAGGATAAGTGGGAAACCCGGAATTCCACCCACACTGCCCCAATGCTGTAAAGTCTGAAGAGACTTGCTAAAACAAAAAATTTCAGTAGGATCCAGAGTATCACAACATAATACCCAAATGTCTAGGACATAAAAAAAAAGAAACCACTCATAATATCAAGCCTTAAAAAATGTCAACTTGAGAAAGATAATCAACAGATACTAACTTCAAGATGATAGAGTTGTTAAAATTATCTGACAAGAATTTTAAAGCAGTCATTATAAAAATGCTTCAATAAGTAATTATGAACACACCTGAAACAAATTATAGCAAGTCTCAGAAAAAAGGAAAGTATAAGAAAGAACAGATAAAAATTACAGACCTGAAAAATACAATAATCAAAATTTAAAACCTAATGGATGAGCTGAACTGCAGACTGAAGTGCACACAGTAAAGAATTCCTGACCTAGAAGACAGAGTCACAGAAATTATCCAATCTGAACAATGAAAAGAAAACAGACTTAAAAAAAAAAAACAAAACAGAGCCTTTGGAACTGTGGAACTAAAATGGAAAATTTAACATTCATTCATGTCATCAGAGTCCCGAAAGGAAGAAAAAGGGTGTAAGACTGGACAAATATTAGAAGAAATAATAGCAGAAAATGTCCCAAGTTTGGCAAAAGATATAAACGTACAGATTGAAGTAAGTTAGCAAATCTCAAACAGGGCAAACTCAAAGAAACAGATGCCAACACACATCACAATCAAACTTCCAAGAACAAAAGACAAAGGAAAATTCTTGAAAGCAGCATGAGAAAACTAATATCTGATTTTTTGGGGGAGGAAAAAAAGTAACTAGAATGATAGCATCATTTCTTCAGAAACCATGGAAGCCAGAAAAAAGTGGGAAAACATTCATCAAGTGCTTAAGAACTGTCAACCCAGAATTCAACATCTAGCAAAATTATACTTCAGAAATGAAAAAAAAATTATAATATTTTTAGATAAAGGAAAGTTGAGAGTTTATAATCAACCTAAAGAAGAGCAAAAAGAAATTCTTGAAACAAAAAAGAAAATAGTAAAAGAAGGAATGTTGGAACATCACAAAGACAAATAACAGAAAGGATAAAAATTGTGGCTAAATGCAATATACTTTCCTCCTTCTCTTGAATTTTCTACATGTTTTCTGGTTGAACCAAAGATTATAAATTTGTCTGATATATATAGAGGAAATATTTATGACATTTATGTTATAAATGGGGAAGGATAAAGGGACTGAAAAAGAGGTAAAGTTTCTACACTAAACTTGTTAAAATGTTGACATCAGTAGGCTGTAATGTTATGTAAAAATAATACATATCTAGATAAACTACAAAAAATTGTATGCAACAAGATATACTATATATAAATCAAAATGGAATTCTAAAAATTGCTCACATAAACCACAGCAACATAGGAAAAAAAACAGACAAAAAGAGAAGGAACAAACAGAAAAACAAAAAATAAGTTAAATAGCAGACTTATCAATAACATATCAATAATTGCATTAAGTGTAGATATTCTAAATATACCAATTAAAAGAGGCTGTAATAAATGATTTAACAAATATCATCCAAATATATGCTGTTTAAAGAAACTTACTTCAAAATATAGCAATATATGTAAGTTGAAATTAATAGAATAGAAATTATACACCATGCAAACTTTAATCTAAAGAAAGTAGGAGTGGCTGTAGTGATAACAGAAAAAGTAGATATCAGAGCAAAAAAATTTACCAGGGATAGAGAGAGACATTACAAAATGATTAAAGAGTCAATGTAAAAGGAAGACATAGAAATCCTAAATGTGTATGCATAAAACAATAGAAATTTCAATCACACAAAGCCAAAACTGATAGAATTTAAGGAGAAACAGTGGGGCGCTGTGGCTCACGCCTGTAATCCCAGCACTTTGGGAGGCCAAGTGGGGTGGATCACGAAGTCAGGAGTTCAAGACCAGCCTGGCCAAAATGCTGAAACCCCGTCTCCACTAAAAATACAAAAATTAGCAGGGCGTGGTGGCGGGTGCCTGTAATCCCAGCTACTCGAGAGGGTGAGGCAGAGAATTGCTCGAACCCAGGAGGCAGAGGTTGCAGTGAGCTGAGATCATACCACTGCACTCCATCCTGGGTGATAGAGATTCCGTCTCAAAAAAAAGAAAAGAGAATTTAAGGAGAAATAAACAAATTCTCAATTATAGTTGGAGATGTCAACATCTCCCTTGAACAATCAGACATAAAATAAGCTAAGACATCATCAAACAAGATCTAATTGACATTTATAAAATACTCCATGCAACAATGGCAGAATACATTCTTTTCAGGTACCCAAGAGTATGTATTAAGAGACCTTGGCCATAAAACAAAACTCAACAAATTTAAAATAACTGAAATCATACACATTATGTACTCTCAAACCAAAACAGAATCAAACTAAAACTAGTAACAGTTAGATAACAGGAAAATTTCCAAGCATTTCTAAATTAGCCACAGGTCAAAGAGGAAGTCTCAAGGAAAAAAAAAAAAAACAACAAAAACATATATATATATATATATATATATATATATATATATATATATATGCTCATCTGAATGAACATATGCCAAAATCTACGGGATGCAGCTAAAGCAGTGCTGAAAGGTAGTTAATAGTACTAAATACTTACATAAGAAAAAAGAAAAAGTCTCAAATCAATAATCTAATTGCCATGTTAACAAACTAGAAAAAGAAATGCAAAATAGACTCAAAGCTAACAGTAGAAAGGAAATAATAAAGAGAAGAATTCAATAAAAAGAAAACAAAAAAAATAGAGAAAATCAATGAAACCAAAAGTTGGTTCTTTGAAAATTATCAATCAAGTTGGCAAATCACTGCAAGCCTGAAAAATAAGAGTGAAAAGACACTAACAAATTCAGAAATAAAATGAAATTTTACTACATACTCTGCAGGCATCAAAAGGTTAATGAAGGAATATTATAAACAACTCTACACACATAAATTTGACAACTTAGATCAAATGAACTATTCTTTGAAACACAACTACCACAACTCATCCAACATAAAGGGTAAATTGAAAAATCCTATAATTTCTAAAGAAATTGACTTTATAATTTAAAAATTCCTGAAAAAGTAAACTCCATGCCCAGATGGTTTCACTGACAAATTCTAGCAAATGTTTAAAGAATTAACACCAGTTTTAACCAATCTCTTCCAGAAAATAGAAGAGGAAGCAACACTTCCCAAGTCACTTTACAAAGTCAGTATTACCCTGATACCAACACCAGACGAAGATAGTACAAAACAGAAAACTACAGGCCAATATCCCTCATGGATGTAGATATAAAAAAAATCTAACAAAATATTAGCAAATAAAATTCAGTAATATATAATTAGAATTATATAGAATAAACAATTCTAGGGATGAAAGGCTGGTCAAATATTTGAACATCAATGTAACCCACCAGATGAACTGGTTAAAGAGGAAAGTCAATTGATACAGAAAAACCATTTGACAAAATTCAATACCCATTCATGATAAAAATTATCAGAAAACTAGGAATTGAGGGGGAACTTCTCCAACTTGATTAAGAACATCTACAAAATGCCTATAGCTAACATCACACTTAATCGTGAAAGACTGAACACGTTCCTTCTATGCTCTGGATAAAATACAAGATGTTGGCTCTCACCACTTCCATGCAGCATAGTGCTAAAAACCCCAGCCAGTGCAATAAGGCAAGAAAAGGAAGTAAAAGGCATACAGATGGGAAAGAAAGAAAATTGTCTCTAGTTTCAGACGACATGATGATCTACATGGAAAATCTCAAGGAATATATATATATTAAAAAAATCCTAGAACAAATTAGTGAGTTCCACAAGGTGACAGTATAAAAGATAAACGTAAAAAATAATGGTATTTCTTTATATTAGTGATGAAAAAAGGAAGACCAATATTAAAATGTAGTATGATTTATAATCACTGAGAAAAATAAAATACAAGATGTAAATCTAACAAAACACAGCGAGGTCTCGTATGCTGAACACCTCACAATGCTGATGTAAGGAATCGAAGAAAATCTAAATAAATGAAGAGGCATACCACGTTCATGCAAACAGAAAGGAAAAGGGACTAGAATAGCCCACTTTTCTTTAAAACAATAAAGTAAGAAGAATCACTCTACCTGATTTTAAGACTTATACAACTGCATTAATCAAGACAGTATGGTGTTGGCAGACAGACAGACAAATAGATAAATGGAACAGAATAGATAACCCAGAAATAGCCTCACATAAGTATGGCCAACTGACTTTTGACAAAAGTTCAAAAGCAATTCAATGGAGGAAGGATAGCTTATCAACAAATGGTGCTGGAGAAACCAGATATCCATAAGCAAAAATAAAATCTAAAAAATAACTGAAACTTACACCTTATTAAAAAATGAACTCAAAATGGATCATAAACTATCAAATGTAAAACTATAAGATTCTTAGAGTAAAATGTATGTCAAAATTTGGGGACTTGGGCTATGTAAAAGGTTTTTAGACATGACATCAAAAACATGAATCATAAAAGAGAAAAATCAATAAATTGGGTATCTTCAAAACTAAAAACATCTGTTCTGTGAAACAGAACAGAAGACCCTGTTGAGATGATGAAAAGACAAGCTATGGACTGGGAGGAAATAATTGCAAACCACACCTCTAACAAAAGAATCGTTTCTAGAATATACCATGAACTCTCAAAAATGAACAGCACAAAAAAATCAAATAATCCAATTAGAAAGCAGACAAAAGACATGAAGAGACAGTTCACCAAAGGGCAAGAGAACATATGGATAAAAAATGAGCACATGAAAAGATGTTCAACATCCTTAGCCATCAGTGAAATGCCAAAATAAAATCATAGTGAAGTATCACTACATACTTATTAGAACAGCTACATTTAAGAGAGAGAGAGAGAGAACACCAAATGCTGGTGAGGATGGAGATGAACTGGATCCTTCATACACTGGGGATGGGGATATAAAATAGACACTCTGGAAAACAGTTCGGCAGTTTATGAAAAAAATCTAAACATGACCCATCAATCACACATCTGGGCATCTATCCTAGATGAGTTAACATGGATGTGCGCACAAAATTTCGCACGACAATGTTTATGGCAGCTTTATTTGTAAAAGTTAAATACTGGAAACAGAAATGTCCTTCAACAAGCGAATGACTAAACAAACAGTGGTCTATCCATACCATGAAGGACTATTTAGCAATGAAAGGAAGGCACTATTAACACACACAACTTGGATGGATCCCAGGGGCATAATGCTGGATGAAGAAAAACCCAATTTCAGAGATCACATACTGTATGATACCATTTAGAGGGATGATTCCAGGTAAAAACTTCCATACTCAAGGGGAACCTCTGTCCTGAAGCTGGAGATAATGAGGAAACCATGCTCAGAGTCCTTGCCAGCGCAAATCTCTGCTGCGCCCAGCAGCTTTTCCATTGCCAATTCAGGCTACAACCCCAAACAAGCAGACCTTGACTTGAGTTCCCTGCCGGTCACTGGTTATCTACCTGAGGTTGGGCTTGTTCAGAAGACCAGTGGTCAGTGCCAACTGCTCCCTGGTCTGACAGTTCTGAGAGTTCACGTGAAGGGTTGATGGACACAGGTCCACCTTGAGGTCAGGGCTGATGGACACATGTCCAGCCTTAAGTCGGGGCAGACGAACATGGGTCCACCCTCCAGTTGGGGCAGATCCACACAAGTCTACCCTCAGGTCAGGGACTGAAGGACACAGGTTCACCCTTCAACATCAAGTCAGGGACTGAGGGACACAGATCCTCCCTGTGGTCAGGGCTGATGGGCACAGGTCCACCCTCAGGTGAGAAAATGATGGACACAGGTCCACCCTGGATCAGGGAATGATGGACACAGGTCCACTCTCAGGTCACGGAATGATGGACACGAGTTCTCCTTCAGGTCAGGGACTGAGGCATACAGATCCTCCCTGTGGTCGGGGCTGATGAACACAGGTCCATTTTCCGGTTGGTGCTAATGGACATGGATCCTCCCTCAAGTCAGGAGTAATAGACATTGGTCCACCCTCAGGTCAGCCACACCTCCAAACCCTGTCACCACCCAGCATCCTCTGCCTGTCAGCTCACCTGCTGTGTCCTGGGTTACTGACTGTCCTCCACAGTCATAAATCACAGTCCTGGGCTGTGACGGGCATCCACGAGAGTGGCCAACACATTGAGAGGAAGGTAGCCGTCCTTCAGTGAGTAGATGATACACACATCTCTGAAAATGTACCAGGAACAGCCCAAGGCCACAGGGATGGACAGGAAGGTGAAGCTCCTACAATGTCAAAAGAACCCTGGAGGATGCAGTGATATCACTGACCATATTAACAGTCAGAGGGGGAACCACCAGGCTAAGCATCTTAATACCTACTCAAGAGTATTTTCTAAAATTCAACATCTGCTTATTAAAAGAAAAAATTCAAAAGCTAACTCCAATGGATCACTTTCTTGAAATAATTAGCCATATACTATTACTTCTAACCCAAAGCATCACAATTAGTGGTAAAACCCTATTTATTAAAGCCAGAACAAAAAAGAATGCCCACCCTATTGCAATCATTTAACATAGGATGAAAAGGAGAAAGCAAAATTATCACCATTTGAAAAACATACTATTGTAGATCAAAAAAATGCAACAGAATTAAGTAAAACATTATGGCAATCAGTTTCAAAAAGTGTGGACCAAACAAGTTGAAATTTTATCTTCATTAAATTCAGATAGATATGGTAGAAGTTATATTTTAAAAAAATTTCCAGCCATGTTTCAACAAAATGCCCAGGAGATGGGGTAGGAGAGCCCCTAGGTGGATCAGAAACAGAGAAGAAAATACGCAGAACTCTCCACTCCAAATCAACAGAATATACATTCTTCTCAGCACCACACCACACCTATTCCAAAATTGACCACATAGTTGGAAGTAAAGCACTCCTCAGCAAATGTAAAAGAACTGAAATTATAACAAACTGTCTCTCAGACCACAGTGCAATCAAACTAGAACTCAGGATTAAGAAACTCACTTAAAACCACTCAACTACATGGAAACTGAACAACCTGCTCCTGAATGACTACTGGGTACATAATGAAATGAAGGCAGAAATAAAGATGTTCTTTGAAACCAACGAGAACAAAGATACAACATACCAGAATCTCTGGGACACATTTAAAGCAGTGTGTAGAGGGAAATTTATAGCACTAAATGTCCACAAGAGAAAGCAGGAAAGATCTAAAATTGACACCCTAACATCACAATTAAAAGAACTAGAGAAGCAAGAGCAAACACATTCAAAAGCTAGCGGAAGCCAAGAAATAACTAAGATCAGAGCAGAACTGAAAGAGATAGAGACACAAAAACCCTTCAAAAAATCAATGAATCCAGGAGCTGTTTTTTTGAAAAGATCAACAAAATTGATAGACCGCTAGCAAGACTAATAAAGAAGAAAAGAGAGAAGAATCAAATAGATGCAATATAAAATGATAAAGAGGATATCACCACCGATCCCACAGAAATACAAACTACCATCACAGAATACTATAAACACTTCTACGCAAATAAACTAGAAAATCTAGAAGAAATGGATAAATTCCTAGACACATACACCCTCCCAAGACTAAACCAGGAAGAAGTTGAATCTCTGAATAGACAAATAACAGGCTCTGAAATTGAGGCAATAATTAATAGCTTACCAACCAAAAAAAGTCCAGGACTAGACGGATTCACAACCGAATTCTACCAGAGGTACAAGGAGGAGCTGCTACCATTCCTTCTGAAAGTATTCCAATCAATAGAAAAAGAGAGAATCCTCCCTAACTCATTTTATGAGGCCAGCATCATCCTGATACCAAAGCCTGGCAAAGACACAACAAAAAAAAGAGAATTTTAGACCAATATCCCTGATAAACATTGAAGCAAAAATCCTCAGTAAAATACTGGCAAACCGAATCCAGCAGCACATCAAAAAGCTTATCCACCATGATCAAGTGGGCTTCATCCCTGGGATGCAAGGCTGGTTCAACATACACAAATCAATAAACGTAATCCAGCATATAAACAGAACCAACGACAAAAACTGCATGATTATCTCAATAGATGCAGAAAAGGCCTTTGACAAAATTCAACAGCACTTCATGCTAAAAACTCTCAATAAATTAGGTATTGATGGGATGTATCTCAAAATAGTAAGAGCTATTTATGACAAACCCACAGCCAATATCATACTGAATGGGCAAAAACTGGAAGTGTTCCCTTTGAAAACTGGCACAAGACAGGGATGCCCTCTCTCACCACTCCTATTCAACATAGTGTTGGAAGTTCTGGCCAGGGCAATCAGGCAGGAGAAGGAAATAAAGGGTATTCAATTAGGCAAAGAGGAAGTCAAATTGTCCCTGTTTGCAGATGACATGATTCTATATCTAGAAAACCCCATCATCTCAGCCCAAAATCTCCTTAAGCTGATAAGCAACTTCAGCAAAGTCTCAGGATACAAAATCAATGTGCAAAAATCACAAGCATTCTTATACACCAATAACAGACAAACAGAGCTAAATCATGAGTGAACTCCCATTCACAATTGCTTCAAAGAGAATAAAATACCTAGGAATCCAACTTACAAGGGATGTGAAGGACCTCTTCAAGGAGAACTACAAATCACTGCTCAACGAAATAAAAGAGGATACAAACAAATGGAAGAACATTCCATGCTCACGGATAGGAAGAATTAATATCATGAAAATGGCCATACTGCCCAAGGTAATTTATAGATTCAATGCCATCCCCATCAAGCTACCAATGACTTTCTTCACAGAATTGGAAAAAAACTACTTTAAAGTTCATATGGAACCAAAAAAGAGCCCACATCGCCAAGTCAATCCTAAGCCAAAAGAACAAAGCTGGAGGCATCATGCCACCTGACTTCAAACTATACTACAAGGCTACAGTAACCAAAACAGCATGGTACTGGTACCAAAACAGAGTTATAGACCAATGGAACACAACAGAGCCCTCAGAAATAATGCCACACATCTACAACTATCAGATCATTGACAAACCTGACAAAAACAAGAAATGGGGAAAGGATTCCCTATTTAATAAATGGTACTGGGAAAACTGGCTAGCCATATGTAGAAAGCTGAAACTGGACCCCTTCCTTACGCCTTATACAAAAATTAATTCAGGATGGATTAAAGACTTCAATGTTAGACCTAAAACCATAAAAACCTTAGAAGAAAACCTAGGCAATACCATTCAGGACATAGGCATGGGCAAGGACTTCATGTCTAAAACACCAAAAGCAATGGCAACACAAGCCAAAATTGACAAATGGGATCTAATTAAACTAAAGAGCTTCTGCACAGCAAAAGAAACTACCAGTAGAGTGAACAGGCAACCTACAGAATGGGAGAAAATTTTTGCAATCTACTCATCTGACAAAGGGCTAATATCCAGAATCTACAAAGAACTCAAATAAATTTACAAGAAAAAATCAAACAACCCCAACAAAAAGTGGGCGAAGGATATGAACAGACACTTCTCAAAAGAAGACATTTATGCAGCCAAAAAACACATGAAAAAATGCTCATCATCACTGGCCATCAGAGAAATGCAAATCAAAACCACAATGAGATACCATCTCACACCACTTAGAATGGCGATCATTAAAAAGTCAGGAAACAACAGGTGCTGGAGAGGATGTGGAGAAATAGGAACACTTTTACACTGTTGGTGGGACTGTAAACTGGTTCAACCATTGTGGAAGACAGTGTGGCGATTCCTCAGGGATCTAGAACTAGAAATACCATTTGACCCAGCCATCCCATTACTGGGTATATACCCAAAGGGGTATAAATCATGCTGCTATAAAGACAAATGCACACGTATGTTTATTGCGGCACTATTCACAATAGCAAAGACTTGGAACCAACCCAAATGTCCAACAATGACAGACTGTATTAAGAAAATGTGGTACATATACACCATGGAATACCATAAAAAATGATGAATTCATATCCTTTGTAGGGACATGGATGAAGCTGGAAACCATCATTCTGAGCAAACTATCGCAAGGACAAAAAACCAAACACCGCATGTTCTCACTTACATGTGGGAATTGAATAATGAGAACACTTGGACACAGGAAGGGGAACATCACACCCCAGGGCCTGTTGTGGTGTGGGGGGAGTGGGGAGGGATAGCATTAGGAGATATACCTAATGTAAATGACGAGTTAATGGGTGCAGCACACCAACATGGCACATGTATACATATGTAACTAACCTGCACATTGTTCACATGTACCCTAAAACTTAAAGTATAATTTAAAAAAAAGAGAGAGAAAAGAAAAGACACTGCATTGAGCATACTGGTGATTTTTTAAACCATGCTAAAACACAGAGCTGACTCCATTCAGGAAACCAAGGCTCAGGTGCATCAGTGGTGCGAGCGAGCACAGCAAGTGCCTGAGAGAGAACAATTTGGCAACAGCTATCCAAAATTAAAACAGACACACCATTTAACCCAGCAATTCCACTACAAAGAAATACCCCTAGGCTATCCTCGTAAGATTTACTAAGACATTTGTGAAAAAAGATGTTCATGACACCAGTAGACATGAGATCAACCTCTAGAAATAAAGTCCCCAGCAACCAACAAGCCAGTGGTAAAGTCACATCCCTCCCTCCCTCCTGCAGTGGGAGGCCATCCAGCCACTTAGAAATGACTCCAAGATTTCTAAAGTCTGTCACCTAGTGAAAAGGTGTGGAAGACAAAATGATAAACTTCTATTTGCATTAACCTCTGGTGCACACCCAAATTGATTTTCTAGAAGGAAATACAAAATGGCAAACATTTTGGAAGACTTAATTTTTGTATCATGTGTGGATGTTGCTTTTATTTTTTAATTCAAGCTTAAATATTTAAGTGTGAAGAGAAGAACAAAAGAAGCGCTCAATAAAAAGAGAGAGAGACTGAATTGGGAGGCTTCTGGGTGTACCTATTAGAGGAGACAACTGTGCTGCCAGGTATTAGGAAACTGGAATAGAGACGTGTTCCACGGTGACTCAGGCAGGCAATGTCATGTTCCCCACCTGGTGGGCCCAGTGGGCGATGAGCGTAACTACCCTAACAGGCTGCACACACTCAGGCAGACACTTGACTCTCTGGATTCCATTACACAAAACCATCAGAGAAGTAAACGTATTTTCATGACCAAAAGCTCTGTCCACGATTTGCTTCATTTAAATATAACAGAAATAACCTAAATATCAATGGAGGTTGATTAAGTAAATGGTTTCTTAGGCTGCAAATCTATATAATGATTTTTAAAAATCATATTTTTGCAGCCATAAAAAAGAATGAGTTCATGTCCTTTGCAGGGACATGGATGAAGCTGGAAACCATCATCCTCAGCAAACTAACACAGGAACAGAAAACCAAACACCGCATGTTCTCACTCATAAGTGGAAATTGAACAATGAGAATACATGGATACAGGGAGGGGAACATCACACACAGAGGCCTGTCAGCGGGTGGGAGGAAAGGGAAGAGAGAGCATTAGGACAAATACCTAATGCATGCGGGACTTAAAACCTAGATGACGGGTTGATGGGTACAGCAAACCACCATGGAACATGTATACCTATGTAACAAACCTGCACGTTCTGCACATGTATCCCAGAACTTAAAGTAAAATAAGGACCAAAAAATCATATTTTTGGCAAGTATTTAATAATGGAAGGAAATGTTTATGATATATTGGCAATTAAAAAAAAAAACAAGCAACCAAACTGCCTGTGTACCATCCAGTCAAGTTTATTAAAAAAATACAGACACACAAACTTAAGAAACTGGAAGGAACAAAATGTTCATGATAGCTTTTTTGTGAGATGGTAGGATTCCAGATAAATGCTTTTCATTTTCTCCCTTGTGCATCTTTGTGTTCTCCATATTTTCCATAATCAATTATGTTTACGATCAGGAGAGAGTGCTGAGAGAAGAACAGAGCTGGCGTGAATGCCCTGGGGGATAAGGGCTGATGGCAGGAGCTCATCCTTGCAGCACTGGTGACAGTGGCTGTTGGGCAGGACCTGAAGCTACGTGCACAGTCGTCCCCGTTGCAGGGTGGGAGACCAAAACCCCAGGAGGACATCCAGGCCACTCAGTGAGGGATGGATCTGAACCTACAGGAGAGGCATCAGATGTGTGGGGTCCGACACAGCTTCTCTGCTTGACCAAATTTTAGCCAGGCTCTGAAACTTCTCCTAGGCCCAACGGTGCACTTCCTTGTAAAATCCAGTTTTAGCAGGAACGCCCCACCCTCAATATCCCATCCCCCACCTATCTGATCAGGTTCCTCACCCTCCACCAGCCCCCAGGGGAGGCCTGATCACCTAGGCCTGTCTTCAGCAAGAATCGTGCTAGGTCAGTTGGCCACAATCCCCTTACCCCTATGTTTCCTCTTAGAAATTTTCCATCCACTGACCCTCACTCCCCTCCTTCTGTTAGGAGCTGAGTCTAACCTCTCCCCGCAACAGCACGACTCCATTCCACTGCCGTGGTTCCTATGCTATAGCTATGGTCCCACATACAGAGCATCTTACTATGTTTGAGCAAGTGTCACTGAATAATTTTCTTTTTCTTTTTTTTTTTTGAGACACCGTCTCACTCTGCCATCCAGGCTGGACTACAGTGGCACAATCTCGGCTCACTGCAACCTCCACCTCCCGGGTTAAAGCGATTCTCCTGCCTCAGCCTCCAGAGTAGCTGGGACTACAGGCATGTGCCACCACGCCCGGCTAATTTTTGTATTTCTAGTACAGATGGGGTTTCATCATGTTGGTCAGGCTGGTCTTGAACTCCTGACCTCGTGATCCGCCTGCCTTGGCCTCCCAAAGTGCTGGGATTAGAGGCATGAGCCCACCGATCCAGCCAAATAATTTTAACAGCTCCCGCCCGCCTGGCTGCGACTGGGCCCTTGTGCAACACCGCCACCTAGAGGCCAGTCCCCTCTGCCCTGGCTCCCACACCCCTGAATGAGCACAGCTGGGGAACAGGGACCCTGAGGAAGAGGACAGTTTGAGGTGGTCCCAGTCTGTCCAAGAGCCTTTGTAAGACATTCCCCTGAACTCTGGACACGTTTGCTCACAAAGCTGCACCAAGGTCACAGACGGCACATGCACTCTCCCACCTGACGCCTAACTCCAGCTCCAAGGCTGGGCTCCATCAAACGCTGAGGCTGGCAGGCCTGGGCTGAGTCTGGAGGTGCGGGTAGCAGAGCGGCAGAGAAGAAAGTGGTAACAGGCCTGGACGCCTGCAGAGGGTGACTGCTGCAGGTTGGGGCTGCTCTGTGCACACAGACTGCACCTGTTCCTCTTGTCCTAGGCACACGCCCTACTGGGACCACCACAGACATCTCTGCAGAGACTACCTGCCTGCCATGCCCTGTCACCACCCTTTGATGGCTCCTGCAGTGGAGACGCTATTCTCCTCCCCATTTCTGACTTGCTTTCACTCATCACAAGGCAGCAGCAGTATGGAGCCCTGTCTGGGGGGCAGATGGTGATGAAGGGGTGACACTGGAACTGCAAAAGCCCAGGCTTCCAGGCTTCCGGGCTCGCCCTGCCCACAGCACCTGACGCAAAGCTGGGAAGCCTGGGGTCCGGGGGTGGGGAATCAGGCACTGCGGGCGAGGGGTCAGAGGTGGAGACTGCTGAGAAGACTGTTTTGCTGTTTTGCTCGTCTGGACGTCCTGGCTGGGCTGCTAACCGAGAGTAACAGAGGAAGGCCATCTGCAGGCAGCGAGCTCCTGCATAGAGAGGGAGCCAGGAAGCCGCACAGGCACAGACAGATGAGGCACAGGCTTGGACGCTGGGGGCAAGGATGACAGGTGGGTAGGGCCAGCCTTAGTGTGAAATCCACCTAAGGAGGGAGGGCCTAGCACATCTGTCCAGAATGAATACCCTCAGAGGCCATTTAGACAGCAGGTGGGGAATTTTAGCTTGAATTTATGGATAAACAGGAATAAATACATGGATTATGGACAAATACAAAGAATGCCAAGGAGTAAAAAAGTACACTATAATGACTTTTGCAGGAAATAAAAAGTAGCTCAGCTCTGAGCAGCATTTACAAGATTATCCACATGTGAACAGGGAATTCTGATCTAGCCAAATGGCACGGGGGCCATATTGGGAGGGCAGGACAGAGATCAGTCCCTGGCAGCTCCAGCATGGCAGGCTCCCTGGCTGCTCCTACCTTGTCATCGTCCTCGCAGGTCATGACATTGGAGAAGGGGATCTCGGCCTTGAACATTTTCCGGCAGTGCATGAGCTGCACCAGCAGGTAGCAGACAGTCTTGAACTTCATCCTTTTGGCCGGTTTTATATCTGAGAGAATCAGGCCTGGAAATATCTGTCCAAACACACAAGGGGCAAGGAGAAATGCTGTGAATGAGACACATTGTGCCTCTCGGACTGGGAATGCCATCCTGACAAACACAGCCACCCCAGGGCACTGGGATTCATTTGCTCAGCGCCTACTTCAAGCCAGGCATTGGGGAACGTGCCCAGAATAGAGCAGCAAACAAAACCATATTGGGAGGGCCACGTCCAAAACGTTCCATTCTCAATCCGCACCAAAGGCCTCTAAAAGCCTACGTGATGCTCGGAATCCTGAAGCAAAGTGCGGGGGAAGGCTGGAGGCCCTGGTCAGGAAAGACAACCAGGGCTTGGAATGAAGGTCTTTGTTACCCCGTTCAGTTTCCAGTATGTCCCCTTCTACAGACAAGGAAAGAAATCGCATGGGGAGGATGGGGAGGGCTGGGCAGTGCACCCAGCTGAGGCTCAGAACCTCAATTCCCTCACAGTCCTCATGTTCTGGGTGAAATTCCATCTGTAAAATCGGATGAACATCACCCACTCACCCGCTGGGGCCTTCTCAAGGTCAAATGAGGTGATAGGAAAGTGGGACCCCATGAATGCTCCACTGTCATCGTTCCTGCTGGCCGGCCTGTCTTCTGAGTGAGTCCAAAGTTCCTGCACCCCCACAGCAGCTCTGACCCCATCTCCTCTCCAGGAATGCGGTACCCCTTCCTTGGCCTCGCTGCCTACCTCTCAACTTCACTTTCTCTGGCCCCTACAGGTAGGTACAAATCTCCACTCTTCAAAACAACAAAATCCCCTTCTTCTGAGCATTCTCACTCTTCCCCTCCCGCTATTCAAACTTCTCTAAAGTGGGGCTGTATACTGTACCTATCTTGTCACCCCCTTTCACCCTCAAACTACAGGACTGGATACTATTGTCTATGTCAATGTGACAGAGCCCAGGGGCCTGCATCCACTGGGGTGCACAATGACTAGCTCCCACAAATTGTTTCTTTAAGAAGAGCCAACACAGTAATGGCTCTGCACCCTCACCTGAGGCATCGACCCTCCCCTGAGCCTGAACCCCTCACCTGAGCCCTGAATCCCTCACCTGAGCCATGAACCCCTCACCTAAGCCCTGAACATCTCACCTGAGCCATGAACCCCTGACCTGAGCCCTACACCCTCAATTGAGCCCTGCATCCTCACGAGCCCTGAACACCTCACCTGAGCCCTGAACCCCTCACCTGAGCCCTGAACCCTCACCTAAGCCCTGCACCTCACCTGAGCCCTGAATCCCTCACCTGAGCCCTGCACCCTCACCTGAGCCCTGCACCCTCACCTGAGCCCTGAACCCCTCACCTGAGCCCTGAACACCTCACCTGTCCCCTGAACACCTCACTTGAGCCTGAACCCCTCACCTGAGTCCTGCACCCTCACCTGAGCCTGACCCCTCACATGGACCCTGAAAGTGACTTGATCACTCTTGATCATGTCCAGACCACTTTTCTCTGGGCAGGGTGACCTCAAGTGCCCCATGTAAGACGGTAACAGCCCACCTCTGTGCCCAGCACCCCTCAGTTCACAGAGCTCCCCATCCCTGGCCCCCCTGCGGGGTTTCATGCCCACTTTGCAGGGGAGGCAGTGAAGGCCCAGGAAGGGGAAGGAGGACACAGAACGGCCTGCCCCGAGGTGATCCCAGATCTCTGACTAGGGGTTCTGGCTCCCTTACCTAGACCCCTCCCCACACCAGTAAGAGACAAGGCTCAGGACGGTGTCAGTGGGGACAACTCTCCCCATCTTAGCAAGTTCACAGCCCAGAGAAGCAGTGCTTGGAGAGGAAGCAGGAGGAGTCACATCTGTAAAGCTCTGCACAGGCCAAGAAGCTAAGGATCAACCAAATGAGGGGGGCTCTGGTGCCTACCTTTCGGCGATGGGATGGCACAATAAAAAAGGTTTCGATGTTATGAGTTTTCAAGAAACTGTTCCTCTCATGTCCGTAACCCGGTTCTACCTCGTAGTCCCCATTCAAGCACGCTAGGGTCGTCTTTGTGATATGAACCTTCCTACAAAAGGAGGAGGCAGAGGCCAGATGAGTGGGGAACCACTGCTGTCAGAGTCTGCAGGGCCTTACCAGAGGGGAAGGGGCACAGACAGAGGCTTCCCCACACCAGGGCAGGCTCCACGGGGAGTATTCATGCTCCCATGCAAGTCCGTCCATGCCAGGAGGGAGGGCCCAGGCAGATACAGTAGGGCCATCAGGAACCATGCCCAGCAGGACAGCAGGGATGGCTGAGGTGGGGGACACAGGGCCAGAGGGAGAGCAGAGGAACCAAGAGAGAGAGAGAAAGAATACATCAGGACTCATTAGGGAAGTTGAGGAAAAAATGGGCAGTGATGTGAAGAAGAGAAAGAGGAGAGGAGACATGGGAGTCCCTCCCCAGCCATGGTCTGGTCTGGTCAGCACAAGGAGTGGGCAGACCCCACTGGGTAGCAAGAAGTCAGGGGTGGCCACGGTGTTCACACATGAGGTGGGGTGGGAAGCAGGGTGGTAAGAAACGCTGTGGAGCCCAGGCATTCACGCCTCCCCAACCCAATCTTCTGGTGAGGACAGGAAAATCCCCCACAGTTGGCATCGTCTCAGCAGAAAACGAACACCCACAGTCTCTGCTCCTTAGCAGGGCACGCCTGAGCTCGCAGGTTTATGGGGCGAGAAGCAAACTCCCCACCTTCCAAAACCATTCCCTGCAAACCCAGTTCTTCACTTCACCGCACAACCTTCTGAACTCCTCGCAGGGGAAAAGCTTGGGATTCATAATTAAACTCTAAGGCTGGCTGAGGACGAAAGCAGGGAGCCTGGCTCAGATAGGAGGCAGTTGAAGGCAGAGCTGCCATGCTCACTGGGATCCTGAGAGGGTGAGGACAGGGCTCAGGAGATCACGAGGCCTTTCCCAGCAGTGGCTCCACCAGGATCCCCAGAGGAGCAGGGGGTGGGAGAAGGAGGGACAGGGAGGGACTGCCAGGCCAGGAAGAGAGGCTGCAAAGGGGCCAGAGGGCAGCACAGGCAGGTTCTGACTCCAGCCTCAGCTTGTCCCTGTGCTGCCCCATCTACAGGGGCCGATTCCTGTCATCAACTCAGAGTGCTTGGATCCCCGGGCCCAGTCCCTGCTGGGATGCTCCCTGGGTGTCCCCATCAGCAGCTCCCATTGGCCTGGGGCAGGCAGGGCGCTCACGGCAAGCCTCAACCCTTGCTGCTTCCTGCCCCCCCGGAGGGGCCCTGGAAGCACCTGGGGACACTGTCACCCCCATCAGCCTGGCCCTGAACTACAACGGTCACCGAGGCTGTCTGGAAACTTCCAGTCACCACAGTCTCCAGAAAGGCAAGTGTCTGTGCATTCCTGTGTTCAGCTGATGCTTCATCCATTCCATCAGCAATGAAGACAGCGGCTGCATAGCCCGGCCTTGGGAGCCAACGGGGAGAGGAAAACACCAGCTCTCACTGAAGCCCCTGCTTTATGCTGAGCCCCGGGCACACTGAGGGGCAGCCAGTGTTCTGCAAAAGTTGCCTGCTGAGGGGCAGCCAGTGTTCTGGAGAAGCTGCCTGCCATGATAGCCACTGCGAGATCATACAAAAGGGAGATTACAGGACCTGGGGGTGGCAGAGGGGTGCATGGAAATCTTCCTCAAGACAAGGCTGAGCCTGCCACGGTGCACAGCCATCAACAGCCCATGGCACTTCTCAGAGAGCTCAAAGAAGGCATCATCTGTGACCCAGATGTCCATGAGCTCCTAGATGGCTGTGTGGAGCTTGGGGGTGGAGAAGGAGCTCTAAAGTCCCAGCACTTTCCATTTGCACATTGAGAAAATGAAATCAAAGACAGCAAAAAGAGAAGTGATGCAGTGACAACAAGCCATGAGGACAGCACCATGCCATGGGCAGAGGTCCCCACACGCATCTGCTCTGGCCTTCTGGTCCAATGACAGCTTTTTGTAGATGTGCGCCAGGCTCAGCTGGGCCCAGCACAGACTGGCAGCCAGGCTGGGTGGGACGCCCACCACAGGGAGTCTGGTTGGCAGGTGCGGCTGGGACAGGCAGGCTCCTCCAGGAGCACTCACACAAGTGCCCTCAAGAGCACAGCCCAGAACCTGAAGCAAGGATTTAGCCCAGGGGTGCACAGCCATCACCCACCTCCCTCCCCTCCCCACCCCATCCCCGACTTACCCTGGCAGGCCAGCGGCTTCCATGACATTGGCCAAGGTCACATCATTGGACCACACGTCGTACTGCCACTTGCGCAAGCCCAGGACACCACAGAGGACCCTGCCCGTGTGCAGACCCACACGCATGTTCAGATCCACCTCGGTGGCTTCAGCCACAGATCTGCAACACAGACACAGAGCGTGGGGCTAGGGCCCACCTTGTATCCTCCCAGGGGGCCACCTTGGTCTGCACTGCTAGGCTGTGAGCACCAGGGAAACTGGGTCTTGTCCTTGCTGCATGTGGCCTGAGCGTGGAGGTCTCCTGGCATAGTCAGTGGACATGGAGCCTTCCTGCCCACCTGTGGGCTGAGGGCCTTAGGCAGGAGGGGTGGCTCTGGCCCATGCTCCCAGCCAGCTCGCACCATGTCCACACCAGACTCATGAGTTCCATTCATGGCCTCCTAGAGGGCCCTCCCTGACCAGGGCAGTCCCCAAATCCCAGGTGGACCTGGTCATTACTGTGGAGTGTGGCATCAGGACAGTTCAGATTAACATAAGGCTCTGTGAGGCCACTGCTCCCTCGCAGGGACCCATGCCTGCTTGCCAGCCAGATGCAGATGACAACCTGCTGGAAACATCCACAGGATCTGCAGCCCAGGCATCAGGCTCTGCCTCCCACCCCTTCCTGACACACACTTGGCCTTAGGCCTCAATGCAAACTTATGGTCAAGGCCTGGAGGCCACATCCAGACATGAGAAGCTGGTGACATGAGGGGCATTCACCAGGAGCTGGGGTGGGGACAACAGAGTATGGCAAGGGGTATTAGGGAAGGGAAAAGAGGCAGAGCAGGTGGTGAGAGAACTGAGGGCTTCTGGGAAACCCCAGGCCAGCCTGGCCGAATTTGGGTACACGATGCCCATCTCTATGCCTCAGTTTCCTCGTGTATACACCCAGCTCCAGCTAAATTCACTTTGACAAGCTTTGAAATCATTTAAACTCTAACCCAGTACATCTCAAGGCTTAAGAGGCCAACCTCCTCTTTCTATTCCATCCGGGATGGAAATACTAACAAAAGCTCCAAGGACTAAGGGGTGGGCCATCAGGTGGTGACAGCAAACCAGCTCAGCCTGGAGTCCCATTCTAGAGGCCTCTGTATATCACATTTGTCAATAACAACTCGGTACATGCAAGGCAAGGCTGTGCCACCCACCCGAGAAGCCTGTGTCTGGTTCACCTTCACCCCAACTTCCCACTGTGGCCTGCTTCCTGGAGCCCCAGCCAAGGCTCAGGGAGCACCTGCTCCACACAACCCCACTGCTTCCCCAACCTCCACTCAAACCCTTGCCAGCTGCCCATCACTACCCACTTCATCCTTACAAGGGCCTGTGCCCAAAAACCATAGCACATGGAGGCCCCAGCAGCCACTCCAAGGCAGATGGCTGCCCAGACCACAGAATCACACAAGTCCCAGCACACGTTCAGAAACCTCAGTAAACTCAGAAGTATGCATGCCACAGATTTACATTATGTGGAAGTTAGACTACTGATATATCTTTAATACCTATGTAGTTTTACATATTTTGAATATACTTTTTTTTTTTTTTGAGACGGAGTTTCGCTCTGTCGCCCAGGCTGCAGTGCAGTGGCGCTATCTCCCCTCACTGCAAGCTCCGCCTCCCGGGTTCACACCATTCTCCTGCCTCAGTCTCCCGAGTAGCTGGGACTACAGGCGCCCACCACCATGCCCAGCTAATTTTTATTTTTATTTTTTTTTTGTATTTTTAATAGAGTCGGGGTTTCACCATGTTAGCCAGGATGGTCTCAATCTCCTGACCTCGTGATCTGCCTGCCTTGGCCTCCCAAAGTGCTGGGATTACAGGTGTGAGCCACCATGCCCAGCTGAATATACTTTTTTATTTTAACTTTTTTTCAGTTGTTTGCCAATCTTCTTTGAGGCACTGAAACCAAACGCTGAAATAAAAAATTTATTTTTCAAAATTCACAAAAGGAAATGAGTACGGGAAAATGTAAATAACATAACATACTAATAACGTTTTTGTGCACTGTTAGTGTTTGTGCCTCCGAAGCCATGAAACAGTAAATGGCACGGAGACTTCTGGGACCCATGCCCACCTTCATCCCCAGATCCCCTCGAGCTCACCAAAGCAAACCTTTAGGCTCCTAGCAAGTGGCACCTCGACCAGCCTCCAACCAAATCCACGCCACCATGTTCTACCAATACTCTCCATCTTCAATCTTTCCCAGTCGGTTCTGCCTCAAAGATCTCAATTCTTGGTAACATCAGATCTGCCGTTAACTGAACAGTTACTTCTAAAAAACTGATGCACCCAGAACTGTTCTCATAGTGACTCCTCTTGGTTTCACCATTCCTGGGATGCCCAAGCTGGCTTCGTCTAAATCCAACAGAACCTTTAACTTCATTTCCAAGGAACAGAATTTCCACGGACTTTCTTGGCTTTATTTGTACTATGTTTTTTCTTTACTTGTGCTCTCAGGTTCACTTATTTATCACAAGTGTTTTTTATGCAGAGGAAGAGTCTGACACTTGCCCACCACCTACAGCCCTGACCTTGGTCCTCTGAGCTGGACCCCAACAGGAAGGAAATGAGGAAGCAACCCACCTCTGGCAGAGGGGGCCACTGTTGGCCCCTTGGCGTGAGTAAATTCTGGCAGAGCTGAAACCTAGTCATGGCTGCACTGAAGCTTGGAAGTGAAAGGACAGGTAAGCATACATTCATTCACTTGTTCAACAAACATCTACTGAGTGTCAGCCATTATTTCAAGCACTGTAGCTATAGCTGTGCACATAACAGGGGGAAAAAAAGAGAAGAGAGGACACCATAGAGGCCGATTTACTGTCACCTAGGCAGAATTTCTAGAAATAACAACAACACACACGCCTGCAGCAGCCTCCAAGCCCCCATCCTTGTGTGGCGGGAAGGGCAGGGCAAATGGTTTCAGCCTCAGGTGGCTCAAGCTCATCACCTCAACTTGGGCTCCTCCCTTCCCTACCTAGGACTCAGTTTCCCTAACTGTAAAAATGCAGCTTCTCGATCTAGAATATAAAGATTCAGAAGCTCCATGTCCCCTAAAATTTTAGGGAAAACCACGTGTGGTGGTTGTAGAAGTGTGTGCACACAGGCATCACCTCTCCCACAGAAAATCCATCCCTAAATGTATCAACAGGTCTGGCTCTGAAAACTAGAATCCAATAATTAGACGAAGTAATCCTCCAAGTTTCTCTGCGCTGAGAAACTGAAGCATGCTCCATGTGGCACACACTAGCCCCCTTGTTAAAAAGTAAGATACTGCTGGGGACAGCCCAAGTGCCAGGCAGACAAGGCCAGCAGGCATCCCTTCTCGCACGACCTCCAGGGATGCAGGCTGGGGGACAATCAAGTTCTACTGACGACCACAGCACACACAAGCTGAACTTAGCAGCTCAAAAGTGGGTCAGGGAGGAAAAGCACATGCCATTTACTTCTAATTTAATTCAATGTAGTAAACCAAAAATACACACTGCCAGCAAGGCATCTGGATTGAGTCTATTTAGCAAAAATGGTGGCTTGCATACTTGGTGGTCATGTGGAAGAATGAGGTTCCTGTTCAAAATCTGATTCACGGTTTGCCTATCACCTGTGACGAACAAGGCTTCCCCCATGAAGTGGACAGAAAAATCCACATTCCTATGGGTACACAGAACCATGTGGCTTCAGATAGAATCCTGCCATATTGGCCACCGGCTCCCTCTTTCTGGGAGCTGATGAATCAATACTTGCAGCGGCTGCTAGAACCCAGTCCATGCAGGCCCATTTAATCTGAGATCTCATTAAATTATCAAAACAACTCAGAGATGCAAACACTGTTTCTCCATTTTACTGCAAAGAAAATTAAGGACTCGAGGAACCTGAAGCATCGCCTGAAGGATGGGAGCCAAGAATCTAGCAGGTTCCTGAAATCAGAAGCCCCCCAGCCCACTCAAGAAACACAGCAGCTGGGGATGAGGTAGCTGAAACCATATGAAATGCCATTTTGGTAGGCCAGAACTGGCTGACTAGGAGCAACTTCCTAGGGTGACCTAATACTCAGGGCAACTCTGGGAGAGCAGCAGAGCTGGTGGTGCGTGTCAGAGGAGAGGGGTATGAGCAGAAGAAGGTGGGTGAGCACAGACCTCACACAGAGCAAAGCCCCAGTGGGGGAGAGGGACTCAAACCTGAGTATCCCCCAAGCCAGGCCCCAGGGAGGGGTTCAGGCCTCATCTGACTTCACCAGCAGGAGAAAATGCCCCCTTCTTTCTGCCCCAAGAGTGTCACACATGACTTCCAGGTATGGAATACAGAGAGGGAACATTGGGAAGCCTCAGACTAAGACTCTTAACACGTGGAAGGTCTCAGATTGACACAGGGACTGATGTGCTGCCTGTGTCCCTGCAGTCTGGGCATCGCGGGCAGTCCTGCAGAAATCCCATTGGAAATTCAAGGTCAAGGACTGGCCCCAAACCTCAGGACACAGGGCCTGGTCTTGTCAGCCTGGCTGCAGCAGCTGGGAGGTTGGTCCTGCCACCCTCATCTTTCCAATGCTCTGTGGGCTCAGAGACAGGATGTCATGAGGCAGAATTGGCCATTTTACAGAGGGGGAAAACTGAAGCTCCAAGACAAAAGGAACATGTCCAGGGTCACACAGCTCTTCAGGAGCAAGACCAGCACAGTCACCAAACTCACTGGACAGTTAGGATACTTCTCATCCCATCTTCATCTCTCCTATAGACAGGAACCACCTGGCCCAAACAGGGAATGTATATCACTTTTAAAGCATTCACTAAGAATCATACCAATAAAAATTAACGGGCATTTCCAAAATAGTATACCACACTCCTAAATAGAGCCCAAGTTTGAGAGAGAGGTGGAGGTCAGGGCAAGTAAGCTGGGGGCAGGGTCAGACTGCCCAGGGCCATCTGCAGGAGCCCAGAGCCTTGGAGATGCCCCAGCCCACTGCTCTGGCCTTTGGATGCTGTGGCTCCCAGAGGGCCAGGATGGCTAAGCTTGGTGGCTGAGGAAGGTAGGGGCCCTGGGATCCCACTTTCAAGTCCAGCATTCTTCACCATGTCTTTACAAAGAGATGCCCCACCCTGCACTTCAGAGGGCCTCTCTCAGCCCCACCTTGATTCACACTGGAGCCTCACTAGGCCCACAGGCATTTGACAAAACGGGTCCTAGACTCTTCCCAAATGACCGATCTGCATGAAAAAGGACTAGATGCTAGGCGTGGGAGGCCTAGGTTTACAGATCAGAAAAGGAAAATATGTCTATCCGTTTTTCCCATAGGAATAAACATTCTTCAAAGCGATAAAACAAGATCTTTCCCACTTGTTCAACAAGGAAAAGACTTTCTCCAGCCTCAGAAATCAAGACCCAGCTCTGGCTGCATGCTTGCCTGCACCTGCAGCAATTTCTTTCTTGTGCTACCAGCAAAGCATTGGCCTGAAAAGAGGCTGACAATGGAGCCCCAACACCCACCCTCTATCAGAGCAGCCTCTGGAACCACGGAATCTGCATGGGATGCTTCAAGAATCTTCCAACCAGCCAAACCATCCTGATATGATTTGGCTCTACGTCCCCACCCAAATCTCATGTCCAGTTGTAATTCCCAATGTTGGGACCTGGTGGGAGGTAACTGGATCATGGGGGTGGATGTCCCCCTTGCTTTTCTCATGATAGTGAGTGAATTCTCACGAGATCTGGTTGTTTGAAAGTGTGTAGCTCTTTCCCCTTTGCTCTCTCTCTCCTGCCGCCATGAGAAGACGTGCTTGCCTCCCCTTTGCCTTCCGCCATGATTGTAAGTCTCCTGAGGCCTCCCAGCCATGCCTCCTGTACAGCCTGTAGAACTACAAGTCAATTAAACCTCTTTTCGTCTTAAATTACCCAGTCTCAGGTAGTTCTTTATAGCAGTGTGACAACAGACTAATACACATTCCTTATGTGCCTTAGGATTTCCTCTGCCCACTCAGAATTCCCCAAGCCTGGAACAGACCTCTCTGTGGGCCTTGGAAAGGGACACATCTGACCTGCAGGCCCCTCTCCTTCCTGGTCACTCAGGCACTGAGCCTGCCACCGAGGACTCTATTAAAAGAGGAAGTCAGTGGGCAATTACTGAAATTAGTGTCTTGGGGCATGGCCCGCTCCTTTGGAGATGGGAAGGGCTTTCTGGAACAGAATCAGACTCAAGACAGGAAAAAAATGCAGTTGAGAGTGCAGACCTCGCTACTGAGGAGTGGCGGGGAGCAAACAGAATCAGTGGGCCAGCTGCGAGGCCCAGCATGGAGCCCTGCGGGGAAAGGTTAGCTCTGGCCACTTCACCTGTTCACCTGAAACTTTGTATTTCCAAAGTTTCAAATAAAACACTCCACTCCAAGGTAGGAGGAAGAGAAAGACATTATATAAAGTGTCCTCCTCTGCCTGGGCAAGCTCCCCCTGTTGATAAACATATTCCATCCTGCATGTGCAAGGCAGGGACACACACAGCCCAATGTGGCTGGCAGGGGATGCACCAGATGCCAAGATGGTCCCAACAGAAGGCCGGCCGTGCAGAGCACACACTGGTGGGTCCCAGGGTCTGTGACAGTCTGAGGAGGAAGAAGGGTCTGTTTGGCTGGGAGGCATCTTCCGTGCTCAGTCTTCGGTGGCTTTTCTTCCGGTCCAGAGCCAGGAAGCTGAGTGACAGGAACTCTGGCGTGTAGAGCTTCCTGAGGCCCTGGGAACACTCTGGTAATCAGGAGCCCAAGCAGACAGCAGCTACAGGAGGCCCAGGAAGATGCCCCTGGCACTAGGGTAGACCAGTTTCAGGTAGCAGGGGTAGAGATGTGGAGCTGAAGGCACCAAATCCTGGAGAATCTCACAGACTGAGAGCCAGCAGCTGGAATGCCAGGAGAGCTGGCCAAGAGGACACAGGTTCATGGAGCAAGTGAACCAGAAAGTGGAGCAAGCCAGGTGGGTTTGCAGCTCCAGGCAGCTCCAGGCCAGGTGCAGAACCAGAGCGTAGACGCAGGGCTTCCTGGGCAGCGGTCAGGAAGAGGCACGTCTGCAGAAACAGCTTATAACCCATCAACATGCAGGGCAGAAACAGTAGAAGGAAGGACAGCACCCTTTAAGGCCCAGAACCTCAAGCAAAAGATGGGGTGTTACTGAGCACAGGAGCATACACAGCCAGGTAAGGAGACCAGGGGCCAAGAATAAGCAGCAGACCCCTCTCAGGAGGACCCCACTCGGCACAGTCAGGGTCACCAACCTTCAAGGGCAGAAGGCCATCCAGTTCAGCTCCACGAGCCACCTGGTCAGCCAGGTCAGCCCACATCATTCAACTCTGCTTGTGTCTGTGCTCAGCACCGAGTGGGGGCTTCACAAATATTTACTAAGCAAATGGACTGACATCTGTCTCCTTAAAGCATCCACCTACAGAGCCTCATTTTCCCCCAAGGAGATCACACAAAACCAGATCTGATATGATATATTATCTATATACACACAAATAGCATATGATATGTGATGTGATATAATGTCATTTATGACATAATGTGATATGATGTGATCCATTAAGAAATACGAAAGACAGTTATATGACGTGTGATATATAATATGTGATATGTTATATGGTAGATTATGTGATATGTGATATATGTGATATATATTACATGAAACATGATGTGGCATGTAACATATGACATATGATATACAAGTGATACATGATGTAAGGTGATGTATGATGTCATCTGAGATGCAACATACAATATATATGATATGCTGTGATAACATCCCATCCTTTCAGAGAACAGGTGATGGTCATCACTTCTAAGTCTTCTCCACGCCAGGCATCTTTCCTTCCTTCCTGCTTCTGCCCAGCATCTCCTCCAGCCAGGCTGCTTTTCTCTGGGGCAATGGCTCTCTGTTAGGCTGTGTACTGAGGTCAGCTGAGGGGGCTTTTCCACTCTCAGTCCTAGATCACACTCCAGACCAGCCACCTCGGGCTCTTGAGGTGGAGCTACCATCAGGGACTTTGGTTTTCACAGGCAACTCTGACATGAAGCCGTGTTGGTGAACCGCTGCCCCACAGGGCTCGGCTTTGCTCATGTGTCCGACACACAGGTGCCAGAAGTGGGCACAATGCTTGAGGTACCAGCCTCCTCCCAACCGCCTCCTTCCAGTCACACTGTCTGCAGGAGCACTGCATGGGGCAGCCCACGAGGCAGTGATGGGGCAAAGGGAGCCAGCAGTCTCGCCCCATCTCTCAGCCTAGCTGGGTGGGGTGTTTGCCTGTGCATCCTTTCACCTGCAACTACCCATCATCTCCCTACAAAATTCTTATGCTACTACTTTTCCGCTCCAGGTATGAAGCTATGCCCCAATCCCTGTTGGCCCCATCTCATTGGAGCATACCCACCTCTCCACATTTTGAGATGTTTGTTTGGATCTACACTCCATACATTAGCTCAGCCTTCCAGCTCCACACCTTCCCTAACTTGACAAAAACATCTGTGTCTTCATCCCAGTCTCTGATAAGGACAATGACAACATAAGACTGACCAAGAAATGGGCAGGCCTGGCCTCACAGGTGTAATATTCATTCCATGAAGACTCACCTGCCCCGATCCCAAGCCTGTCTCCCCACACAGAGAGCATCTGAGACCCAGTTACCTTGCTGAGTGAAGAGAAACACACATATTTACTTCCTTTTAATAGAGAATTCAGCTAGATTGGGGCCAAACCTTTCTGTATGTCTTATCTGGCTAAGCTAAAGACTAATTTATTTTTGTATGACTCATGCATACCTGACAATATGCAGGATTCCTGTGGACAAAGAAATACAGCCACACACGAAATGTAAAGGCAGGGAATCACGGAAGCATCCTTTCATGCTTTCCTGAACCCAGCATCCTCCTAATGCTGGCATCATTCTCTGCAGCCTCAGACAGACCCATCAGGACAAAGCGAGACCCTGAGAGGGGAGCCCACATGGGGCAGAAGGTGGCTCAGCTTCTAGGATTTCAATGTGTAGATGCCCCAGGCCACTCCTCTCAGCCCCACGGGGTACTTACGTGATGGTATCAATCATGTCGAGTCCCATCTCCACACAGCAGTGGGCATGGTCAGTCTTGGGCTGGGTGAGGCCCGACACGCAGTAGTAGCAGTCCCCGAGAATCTTGATGCGGCGACAGTGGTTCTCCTTCAGGGAAGGGCAAGGCACATGGTAAGAGACAGCGCTACAGAGGCTGTGAGCGCCACTGCTGGCTCCACCACCTCTAGACACTGGTGGCCACAGAGCGCTGGCAAGACATGCTGCACCTGGGCCACCACCTTCCCGCCCAGGCCACACCCTTGCGTGGTCAGCACAGTCTTGAGGGCTGGGACCAGGCTCACATTGATCTCCTTCTCCCTTTCCCCATACCTCGCTCATGGCCTCTTTCCCCTTCGGGGGTCCATCCCTCCTGTCTGCTTCACTGAGCCAACCCTACAGGATGATCATTCAAGGTCCGGCTGGAATGCCATCTCCATGGGGCATCTTCCCCAACTCCCTTTATTCCCACGGCACCTCCCTTAACCGCCATGCAGACCATCACGGACAGCCCTCTGGAATGTGCTAGATTCCCCCCAGCAGCTGCTTCTCCCCAGGAAGGGTGGACCTCTCACCCATCTGGGTGTCCCTGGGGCTTCTGACCTCCCCACCCACAGGGCACACTCCCAGGAGGCAGAAGGCACTGGCCAAAGCTGAATGTCCATCTGCTCGTCTGTACAGTGGTATGAATAGGAACAGCAGCACCAGCCTCACAGGGCACATGGAAGGTGGAGAGAGTTAACTCTAAGACCCTGTATTGTCTTACTTGGATCAATCAGTGTCAACTGGGATTATCATCACGACTGTTGTGTTTATTTCAGGGACAACATTAAAACAGCAGCTCTAAAACATTTCCATTTCAGGACCCCTTTATGTCTTGAAATCACTAAGGACTCACTAAAAACTAAAACTTTTTGTGTAGGTGGGTTATAGCTACTGATATTTAACAATAAGAATTTTTTCATGTACAAATGCATTTAAAATAATAATGAATCCACTGCATGTTAACATAAATAACATTTTATGAAAAATCACGACATTTCCCCAAACAAAAGACAATGAGTGAGAAGCACAGTATTGCAGTCCACTTCTGTGAGCCTCTGTGGTGCCGTCATCTCCAGGGCAGACAGTGGATTCTGTGACCCACTTCTGCATCCAGCCTTCGTGCTGTGCTATCTCTGCAGATGCCCGTGAAGGAACCAGCCTCACACAAGCACAGTGCTGGATGAGGAAGGACCTCACAAGTCCCCTGAAATGGTCTTATAAGGCCACAGAACTCCTTCAGCCACTCTGAGAACACATCGGTGGCTTATATTTAATGTGATCCTTTGGTTTCTTACAAATGACTGGGGCCCTGCAGGTCCTGTCGAATGCTGAGTTAACACAAGTGCATTTGGAATGAGAATCATCAGCTCTCATGACCCCTGTGCTCATCTGTGCCCCACATTCTTAGAGAAAAGGAACCATGGCCAGCACAGAGTGAGTCAGGACAGGGACAGGCCACACCGACCGCTGGGAGCCCCAGTTCCCAGGCTGAGCAGGGATTGGCCTAGCAGCTGAATGGCCTGTCCATGGAAGTATCTTCCCAGAGCTGAGCAGACAGCTGATGACCCTGCTGTTGTCCTGAGCTGCCCTCAGGCCTGGCGTTGCAGGGACCTTGAGAGATGGCCCTGGCCACCGCCCAGCATCAGAGGAGGGGGCGCTGTTGGGCATACAGTTGGCTCTCTGCCCAGCTCCTTCCACCACTGAGCCTCCCTCAGCACTCCAAGACCATGGACGGGAGAAAAGGGGAGGAGGTGATCAGAGATTTCAGTCTGTGAGATGGACACTGAGGCCAGCCTTGTAAAGCCCAGGGTCCAAGTCTGCTCTGTGAGGGCCCGGCAGGCTCCTCCTGCTGACAGGGAGCTGGTCACAGAGAGGCTGGTGACAGTACAAAGACATCCAGGGTCTGGCCACTTAGGGTCCCTTCCATCTCTGCATGACTGTGACAACTACTTAGCCCTTAGAACCCTGGCCTCCTCATCTGCAGAAGGGGGCCTTCCCACCTGCCCTCATCCCCCAGCAGGCTGAGCTGCAGCTGACATGAGCCTGTGGCAGGGGCCCGGGAGCATGAGTTCAGAGCTGGGTAGGTAGGTCCACTCCACCCAAGGGCAGGCTGCTTGGCCCCACAGTGCTGTTTCCCAGGTGTCCAAATGTTTCAAAGGGGTCAGGATATGCCTGCTTGGAGGACCAGTGATGATCTGGGCAAGGGTCTCTGTGCAGTGGCTGGCACCATGGTTACTGTCACTGCAGCAATGACATGGCCTGGAACCACAGTCAGTGCTCACAGAAAGGACCGTGTCCTGTCCCAGGGAAGGTACAGCCAAGAGGCCACAAAAGTGACCTGGACACATGGTTGCTGCCTGGTTCCAGTGCCAGCCCCTCAGGGCCCAGCTTGAATGACCATTCACTGGACTCCAGCGTGGGCTGCCAGCGCCAGTCTCTGTCCTGCAAAACTGAAGGCAGGACCCCTCAGGGACTCACCAGGGATGCGACCGGACAGCCTTCTCAAGCCATACTCACCAGAGCCTCCAGGCCCACAGTCAGCTCTGGGCTCTCTCCTGGGACACTACCCTGTCCCCATTGGCACTGCCCTGGTGTGCTCTGTGCATTCAGGCCTGCTTCCAAACATCCCCCAAATGTCCCCAACGGTCAGACACAGGCCTGAATGCACAGGGCTTGCCAGGAAGGGGAAGCGGCCACACCTCATACTCAGGCTTCCTCCACCCAGCCCTTGCCACCTCCCACCCCCTCCCTGAGATTAGAAACCCCGTGAGCACTCACAACCTGTGATGATAGCCCTGACACATCAGGATTTCTTCTCAGAGGCCCAAATGAGGGCTCAAGACCCCTCTGGGAGCCCACAAGAGCCACAATGCCCACTGGCTGCTGGAACTCTTCTTGCACATGGTTTTGGGAGGGTCACCAATCCCCAACTCTAAGGACCTGTGCTCTGGACGTCAAGGACTTTGAGGGTGATGTGGGTCCCTGATCATCCCTGCATCTCATGTGCGTGAGTGGACTCAGGGATTGTGGGCAACTGCTAGTGTCCCTGCCCCCACCTCAGCTCTGAGCTGTGTTCCCAGCATCCTTCCAGGGTCCCGTGGTTACCAGGGCCTCCTGGTCATCTCTGTGAGTCCAGAACAAGCCTATCCCTGGAGTGGGACAGGTGTGCAGGACAAGGCTGCTGAAGGGATGAGTGTGCATGAGTGAACAGGCCAGTCAGATCTGATGGTAGCAGGGCCTCCAGGGTAAAAGGCAAAGGTGGGGCCTGTCAGTACAGCTGCTCCAAACAGCCCACCCTGTCAACCCAACTATCCTATTTGACACCAAGACTTGGCATGGCCACCGCAGAAAAGGACATTGCTGTGGGGCTGGCTGGGGTGGAATCTTCAATTACCATCCCTACAGGAGTCCTATGTAAAAGGAGGCATAAATAGCACACGGGAATGAAGGCTAAAGAGATGCCCACGGAGCCTCAAGTGTGACCGTCACTGCATGGTGTGGGCGAGCTGTGAGTGGGGAGAACCTATCTCTGCATGAGGACCAAGGGCAAAGCCATCTAGCACAGGCTATCCACATGCACATGGTCATGTGGCAAGGCCTTACAAGCAGATGAGGGCTTGTGTATTCTAAAGAAATTGTCCAGAACACTTGTCTTTAGAACAGCAATCCTCTCCTAGAACCTGGGCAACTCATACCATACACACATGTGTGCACATATCCAGCTCACTCAGCATCACACATGAGTCTCTGGAAACTGTTCTGAGATGCAAAGCTGAGAACCCTCCTGGGCCCTCATGGCATCCCTTTCCCACCCACCTCCACCACGCTGGCACTAGTGGAGACAGCTTAGGACAAATGTTGAATATATTGCTTTATTTTGTCTTTAATCTCAGAGGCCCTGGCTTTTGTTAGCAAGCTTAAGAGATCAAAAAAGGTATTTCTAATTGGTTTTAGTGTTTCTGATTTTAGACTCTTTTGTATAAATATGGAAAGTCAGCACCTAGAGTCCACTGCAATAAAGCACCACAGGAAGTGTTGTGTCTCCTCCAAAAGAAGAAAGAAGAAGATGAGATGGAGGGTTGGCAGGGGCTCAGAGGCATGTTCAGCCCTAAGGGACAAGAGCTGCCCCCTCCCTCCCAGGCTTGAAAGGGACAGGACTACAGGCAGGTGACATGACAACAGAAGCTTCTCAGTATAACAGAGCCACTGCAGGAGAATCCAGATAGGAAAGTCTCCTGATTTGCTCCAGGTATGGCCTAAAGAGCTGCGGCCAGCTTGCAGACAGTCTGGGCCCATCATGGCCTTGACTGAGCAGGCAGCCACAGAGAAGGGTCTAGAACAAAAAGGGCTCACATAGGCCAGTGCACTCTGACCCTGCCCAGCCCCAGGACCCGTCCCAGAAGGGCACAGAGGTAACGTCTAGAAGAAAGCAGAGAGTCAGTGGCTCAGGAAGATCCACTGCCAATTCCAGAGCTCTGACATGCCCAGGCCGCTCTAGGGCCAGCTCTAAAACAGTAGAGTCCAGAGAGGTCATGGACTCGCACACTGCATCCCAATTCTAAGAAAACAGATACCTGGGAGAAGGAGAGGATGAAAAGCCTGAATCAATCCAGTTTTTGCCCGAAAGTGACTGCATCCAAAACCCAAACTGGCCAAGTCCAATTAACTTTGTAAGACTGGAGTGTTTGGCTATCAGTGGAAGAACGAAATAAGAAATTTTAGAAAACCCTAGAGGAAGCTTCCTGCTACAGAGATAGCGCAGAAGAGCTGAAACACAAGAACTCTGCAGACACCTGTTCATCAACAGGATCAAATCAGGTCCCCGGAAGCCTCCCTGCCTCAGGGGAGGACTGAGGAATCAGCGTGCCCTGTTGGGAAGCACTCTCCAGGAACAGTTTCACAGTGCATGCACTACCAGCATCAAAAAGAAACCAAAAGGAACCATGGAGGGGCAAGGGGAAACCCAGCACAAACATCTAACTACACGCACGGGAGGAACAGTGAGCAAGGGAGGGGTCTCTCCATGTACCTCGACTTCGGTTTTTTACTGTGGAACTGAACCATGCAATTATTTTATGTGCCTAAAAAGAAAAATTAAAAACAGTTATACCTAAAAGATCAAAACCAAAATGAAATAAACCTGTTACCAGCATGACCACAGAGAGAAGAATTATTTCGAGCGATGAGAAAATGCATATTTGACTGTATGTCTGGTAGAATATAATGCAAGGACAAAAATAACCACAAAGAAATCTCCAATTGCATTCAGCAGACTTATTGTTGAAAATAATATTGGCAATGTTATTTTGAGCCTACTATATATGGAAAGATGAAATAAATAATATTACTGTCATTAGAATTTTCAGCATCACCAAAAAGATACAAATATAAAAATCCAAGGAGTGAAGTGAATTGGAAATATCAATATAAACTCATAATTTATTTTTATTTTCCTAAAAAAAAAATCCTATCTCAATGCCCTAAAAAGCCTCGGACCAATTACAACCCAGATTATGGTGTTGAAAAACCATTTCCCACTGAAAGAAACCAGGCCTTCTAGAAAAATGATTAGTCTGAAGATGCTGCTCAGAGGTGACTGACCTTAAAAAAAAAAAAAAAAAAGACAGAAAACAGAAAGTAACCTGAACAGGCTCCCACTTGCCAAAATAGGAAATTTAACACCAAAAATAAAAAAGACGGCAATCGATCAAAACACATCAAATTTTTAAAAATCCATGACTTCATAACGGGGTGCTGATTATTATTTTGAAAACTGATAAGTAAAAAGAATTGAACATTTACTATTTTTGAGAATAACCAAATAGCTGAATAAGTATTCTTTTTTAGAAAAAATCATGAGCTAATAATGCTGAAGAAATTAGGGAATTAAAAACCTCCACCTTGCAAAGTCAAATGCAACACAAAATGTCAGCCATGCTTGCAAGGCAGCTGCTATAAAACCATTGGGTGCAATGTGGATGGGAGACCATTGATGGACGGGTCTCACTGATAACCGCTCCACCATCAACCTCAACCTGGCAAGAAGAAAAGGAGCCAGCACCTGCCTGCTAGAGAGAAGCAACGAGAAGTGCACAGCCACCCAGGGAAGGGTTATTAAAACAACAACAACAACAACAAAAGCAGATCCAAGAAACTACTAAGTCTCCTGAAGATCTACCAGTTCATAGAAGCCAACAAGTGGGCAGGAGGAGCACATAAAAAAATGTCACAGAGGATGGGGGGCCAAAATGGGAGGGGCACTGTTAAAGACTAAAAGGGAAATCCCAAGACTAGCTAATTCCTAGAAACAGTAAATACTTTCACATGCAAACCAACCCATCCCCAGTCCATCCCCTGACCACCCTTTGTCTAATCTAATTCTCACCTACCTGCCCTAAATCACCCCCTGGCCAGGTACAAACCAGGGCCCACTCCTATAGCCCTGAGCCCATGCACATTATTCAAACTATCTAATCCTAAACCTGATAAGCTGCTTAACCTGCCCCACCCCTTCCTTACCCTGAAACCACAATGAAGGCTCAAGGCCACACTGTCTCCTTCCTCCTTCTGCCTGCTGATGACCTGGGTGCTCACTGTGTGGCCCTGTTTGGCATGGCATGCATGCCCTCTGGTCTACAGGCTGTGAGTAATAAACTTCCCTCAATGGCACGGGACTGTCTGTGTCATTGTTCAGTCACCTCCAAATATTAAAATCTCGCAAGACAATCAAGACATATGTCCATCTCATTTGTATCCTGGTTGGAACAAATCAGCCAGGATGAAAAGACATTTTTTTTTTTTTTGAGACGGAGTCTCGCTCTGTCGCCCAGGCCGGACTGCGGACTGCAGTGGCGCAATCTCGGCTCACTGCAAGCTCCGCTTCCCGGGTTCACGCCATTCTCCTGCCTCAGCCTCCCGAGTAGCTGGGACTACAGGCGCCCGCCACCGCGCCTGGCTAATTTTTTGTATTTTTAGTAGAGACGGGGTTTCACCTTGTTGGCCAGGATGGTCTCGATCTCCTGACCTCATGATCCACCTGCCTCGGCCTCCCAAAGTGCTGGGATTACAGGCGTGAGCCACCGCGCCCGGCCGAAAAGACATTTTTGAGACACAAGGGTGAACCGAGCCCAGACTGGGTTTTAGAGATGATGTAACTTTCATCAGTTTGGTTGGGTATGATAATGGTATCGTGGTGGTGCCAGGTCAAAAGTTCTCAGATGATAGAGTTAAAGGATTTATGGAGGCAGCGAGATGATGTCTAGGATTTGAGGGAAGGCAGAGGGTAGAGACCAAACAAGACTAACCAGACATTAACAATTGTTGGAGCTACATTACGGGTGAGAATTCACTTCAGGCCTCCAGTGTGGCCAGTTTTTTAGCAGCTCACAGAACTGGGGTATGGGAGCAGCAAAGGATGTACAGACTTTCCAGTGTCCTTTTCACATTTTATAGTCATAGAAACCAAGACATGAGGATGACGTGGGTGCAGTCCTTGCAGCTGCCTGGTGATTCCTGGCCTCGGAATCAAGCCCAGTGAAAGGATCCACAAGGAGAGCAAAGGCTGGGAGGGGCTGAGGAAGTATGGAAGTGAATACACAGCTCCATGAACCTGAGACTTGACAGGGACAGCTCTGTCTCCTGGGCTGGCTTCCATGAGTCCCTTTTGGAAATATCCAGAGTAAACACAAAATAAATGAAAAATAATGACCTCACTAACACAAGCCATAATAATGTCATCTTTTGGCAATTAAAGGTTGAACAAAATGGTCAGACTGTGAGATAGAGCAGGGACCCCTCTTAGGGGTATGCAGGACCCCACAAGCATGGAAATAAAGGAAAATCCTGAGTTCCTTCAAGGGAAATTCCAGGCTCCCAGCTAGCCCTGAGAGGTAAATGAGCAACCTGATAAGCAAGAATATAACAGTAGCTTAAAACAATAGCCAAGGAAGTTAAAGTTACTTTAACAATAGTTAAAAGTTAAAGGATGTTTGGTCCCCTATAGAAAATAAAGATAACATCTTAACATATGTCCCTGAGTTGTTTTTTAGAAACCTAGACCCCAAATGGATATGCTGGCGACCTCAAATAATGGAGAACTGAGGACTGAACTCTGACTGCCAATCTTTGTCCTAAATTTCTTCCTTAAGGGCCTGAAGGAAGTCACACCCACAAGCCAGAGCTGACATTCTTTTCTGTTGCCTCGACATTTTAAACAAAACTTCTCTTCTTTAACCAATTAAAAATCAGAAAATCTTTGACTTTGACTCTACCTAGGAGTCCTATTCAAGATATCCCTATTCAAGATATCCCATCTTTTTAGGCCAAACCAGTGTATAACTACCATGTATCAATTTATGATTTTGTCTGTAACTTCTGCTTTCCTGAAATTTACCCCTGCCTTTAAAAACCTTGCTTGCAAGCCATTGGAGAGGTTCTGTCTTAAGCGGGAGCTGCTCAATTCTCCTTGCTTGGCACCCTGCAAATGAAGGCCCTTCTTTCTCCTGCTGTAGATATTTCTCCCTCCATGTAGATATTTTGGCTTTACTGTGCTGGGCAATCAAAGCTAGGTTCAGTTGAGTAACAACTGCACCATAAAGCCATGAATGTTCGCCTTGTCATCTATGACCAGGAGGCCCAGTACTGTGTCAGCCTGTAGGAGGATTCTTAAACCCGGCACAACACTTGTCTTATATTCCCTTAAAGCAAATTATATGAATGCAAGCGATCCTAACTTAAACACTCATTAAATCATTGCTCAACTACTCCTCTGTGTTGGGTCCCCATGGATCAGAATGTCTACTGATGTGTCCATGTTTGGGGTCAGCACAGACTTTCAGAGGCCATCAGTTGGCTCAGCATATCCCACAGGATTACTTAGATCCAGGTAGCCTCAAGCCCAGTCCAAGGAATGGGAATGTCTCATGGGGGTTGTCTAACCTCACCACACTGACCAGTCTACTCTTGCACTGATCCCCATCAGGGACCCGCCTGTACCATCTGAAATCTGAATGCATCTCTGGCATGCGCCAGGAAACAGTCACTGTGGGACTGAGAACTTACAACAATGTGAGGTGCTCTCATTGGGAAAAAAATGTTCCCAGAAGGGTCTTGGAGTTATGACCAGAACTAAGGGGCTGTGCTCCCATCCACTTGAGGAATGGGATCAGGATGAGCCCCAGGCAGCCCAGCTGATAACCTGCCAAGCTAGGATTGTCTTACCTCTGCAGATGGCACACAGTGAACCCCTCCATGCTGCCCCACAGTCTTCTGGAAATGGATGAAGGAACTGTATGCTTAGTTCAACCAGTTCATGTTCCTGTTAAGAAAACTGACATCCAGAGAAGGGGCCCTGTCCCTCCACAGGTGAAGGTGGAATGAGACTGGGCCTTGGCAGGTGTTTCTCATCAATTCAAAGGGGTGTGGCCAGTCTCCCAAATATACATGGGTATTAAAGCAAATGTAAATCTAACAAGTATCCAATAAATGGGGAAAAGGTCAAAAATATTGTTCACATCTGTGACTATCAACCATGGCTAAGGAGGTAAATAAACCATCAGCTACTATCGAGACTAAGGCAAACATGTTCTGTGTTTGTTTAACTTCCCCCAGAGACCTTCATAGAGAAAGATATGTTTGGACTGTAGCTGTGTGTAATTTTCCAAGCCTGCACGTCACAGGGGCCACTTGCATCACCAACACAAGGGCCTCAGACTTATGACAAGTTTATATGTGGGACACACATCCCATGTGGTCCTACTTCATGGGGGTCACCTGCATCTCCAACACCAGAGACTCAGAAACAGGCCCTTGCAGCCATCAATTATACAACCTTGAGCCTACAGTCTAAATATGACCCATCCTGGCTACCAGTGGGCTTCAGTATGCATGGACATCTGGCAGCCACGACTCACTATAAACCATTAGAAGGAAAGGTAGCTCTTTCCTGCATATAATGCCCCTATGGAGACCAAAGCATTTAAAAGACATGCTCCATTGCTGCCATACTCCCAGACACAACGTGAGCACATCTGAGGGACACGCATCTCACATGCTCCTACTTCACAGGGGCCACCTGCATGTCCAACAACAGGGACTCACACACAAGACCAGCACATATGAGGCACACACATCCTCCTATGTGCTCCTCAAAAACTGACTCAGGCAGATTAGAGTAAAACATACACTTGAAAAATACGTAACACCAACAATGCACAAAGAAAAACCAAACAAGTAATACAAAAAAAAAAAAAAAAAGGAGCAAACTGGGTCATTCCAATTTTGAACTTTCAGGCAGTTACCTCAACAAAGGGAAAAAAGATTCAAATTGAACTTCTGAAGATGAAAACTAGAGTGTCTGAGATGGAAGCTATACTGGATAAAATTAATGACATGACATACACTGCAGAAGAAAATAGCTACTATCCAAATGAAATAGAAAGGAAAAGAATCCAAAAATTTTGAAGAAAATCACCAATGAGCTACAGGCTCCCTCAAGAGTGGAACTCCCTAATACATGTGGAACTGATGTCCCCGAAGGAGGAAGAGGAGGAGTCATAAAATGTATTTGAAAAAGGATCACCCAGGTTTTTTTTTGTTTTTTGTTTTTACAAATTTGATTTAACTGTAAAACTACAGATGCAAGAAGCTCAACATACTGCAGGCATAGGAAACATGAAGAAAACTCAAATTCACATCAAAATCAAATTTCTTAAAACCAGTGATGAAAAGAAAAAAAAGTAGACAGAGAAGACCTATTTCAAACAAAGAAAGACAGTTGATGGTAGACTTCTTATTGGAGACAGCATGAGAGAAGACAATAGAACAACATCTTTAAAGTTCTGAAGAAAACAAAGCAAAACTGTCAACCTAGAATTCTCCATGTGGTGAAAATACATTTTAAAAAATTTAGGCAAAATAGAGTCTTTCTGAAGTACGAAAACTGAAAGAGTTCATCACCAGCATACCAGCACTACAAGAAATGTTTTTTAAAATTCTTTTATTTATCTTTTCACACATAGGGTCTCAATCTATCACCTAGGCTGGAGTCCAGTGATGTGATCATAGTTCGCTGCAGTCTCAAACTCCTGGGCTCAAGCGATCCTCCTGCCTCAGCCTCCCAAATAAGTAGGACTACAGGTATGTGCCACCACACCCAGTTAAGTTTTTTCTTTTTTTCAGTAGAAATGGGGTCTCATTATGTTGTCCAGTCTGGTCTCAAACTCCTGGCCTCAAGTGATCCTCCCACCTCAGTTTCCAAAGTGCTAGGATTACAGGTATGAGCCACCACACCCAGCCAAAAGAAATTTAGGCAGATACATAAAACACAAAGAAATAGACTGCATAAATGAATGAAAAGCAAAGGAAATAGTTACTACATGAATAAACAGATCAGATATTTTTACTGTTTAAATTGCTTTGAAAGAGAATTGACTGTGTAAATAAAATGTAAAATGGAGTTTATAACACTAGAAAAAGTAAAATGTATGGGAACAATGTCATAAAGGCCAAGAAGGAAGAAACAGATGTATATAATTGTAAGTTTCTTATGCTGTAATTAATAAATCATGTGATGGTAGACTGCTAAAAGTTAAAATACCTATTATAAACTTTAAAGCAACCACAAAAATAACAAAACAAAGAATTATACTAGTAAGCCAATAAAGGCAGTGAGATGAAATCATAAAACATAATAAATTAGCAAAATGGCCAAAGAAAACAAAAAAGGGAACAAAGAACAAATGAGACAAAAAGCGAATGGCAAGGTAACAGACCAAACCTAACCACATCACTAATGCAAACAGTCCAAACACTCCAATTGAAAGCAGAGATTGTCATCTTAGGTAGAAAAAATAAAAGCAAAACTAAGAACAAACTTCAAATAAAGAGACACAAACAGGCTGGGTATGGAGGCTCATGCCTGTAATCCCAGCACTTTGGGAGGCTGAGGCAGGCGGATTCCCTGAGGTCAGAAGTTCGAGACCAGCCTGGCCAATATGGTGAACACCCTTCTCTACTAAAAATATAAAAATTAGCTGGGTGTGGTGGTGTGCACCTGTAATCCCAGCTACTAGAGAGGTTGAGGCAGGAGAATCTCTTGAACCCGGGAGGCGGAGGTTACAGTGAGCCAAGATTGCGCCACTGCACTCCAGCCTGAGCGAGACTCTGTCCCAACAAAAACAAACAAACGAACACACACAAACAGACTAAAAATAAAAGGATGGAATAAGACACAGACCCTCCACATCCATGGGTTCTGCATCCATGGATCCAACCAACTGCAGATGACAGAATGTAGTTAGGCCTATCAAGGTTGCATCTATACTGAACATGTACAGCTTTTTTTATTGTCATTATTCCCCAAACAATACAGCATAACAACTATTTACATAGCATTTACACTGTAGTAGATATTATAAGTAATCCAGAGAAGACTTAAAATATAGAGGAGGATGTGTATAAAGGTTATATGCAAATACTATGCCATTTTTTATAAGGGACCTGAGTATCCAGATTTTGGTATCCATTGGTAGTCTTAGAACAATGCCCTGTAAGTATTGAGTGACAACTATTCTTTCTGACAATAGTCAAAGGAAAGTTGAAATGGCTCTATTAATATCAGACAAATGGGATTACAAAGCAAAAAATATTACCAGAATAAAGAAGGTCATTTCTTAATAATAAAATAGTCAATTTATCAAGAAGACATAACCATTACAAATATTTAAAAATTGAATAACAGTTTAAGAATACATGAAGTAAAAATAGAACTGAAAGAAAAAATGTACAATTATGTTGGAGATTTTAATACCCCTCTCTCAATAATTGAGAGAACAAGTAGCCAGGAAATCAATAAAGATATGGAAGACATGAACAATTCTATCAACCAATTGACCTAATTGGTACTTACTGAACACACTCTTAACAACAGAATTCTACAAAATCAGAGCACTAAACCACCAAAGTAAGCCATATTCTGGGCCATAAATTTAAGAGGCTTCAAATAATAAAAAGTATGTTCTCTGACCACAAAAGAACTAAATTAGAAGTAAAAAACAAGATCTTTGAAATATCCCTGAATCACATCTCTAAATAACCCATGGGTCTGGAAAAAAAAAAAAAAAAAAAAAAAAAAAACAAGAGAAATTAGAAAGTATTTTGAACAGAATTAGAAAAACACACAACATACCAGAAACTGTGGGATACTGCTAAAGTAATACTTTCAGGTAAGTTTACAACAATAAATTCTTATATTAAAAGACATAAAAAATGTTTAATTAATGGCTTTGGCATCCACCTTAAGAAACTACAAAAAGAAGAACAAATTAAACCCAAAATAACCAGAAGAAAAACAATAATACAGATACGAAAAGAAACTAAATAGAAAAAATAGAGAAATCAATCAAATGAAAAGCAGTTATTTTTTAAAAACTCAATGAAATTGATAAACTTGTAGCCAAAATGATCAAAGAGAAGACAAAACTTACCAAAACCATGGATAAAAGAGGTGACATCACTATAGATTCTACAGATATTAGAAGGAAAACAAGGAAATACTATGAAGAACTACCACCAAGCTTATTTAAGGAAAAAAAAAAAACTGACCTCACTAGCTCTATTTAAAGAAATTAAATTTGTAGTTAAAAACTTTTCCACAAAGAAAATATCAGGTCCAGATGGATTCACTGGTAAATTCTACTACACATTTAAGAAAGAAAGAATACCATTTCTACAAAAACTATTCCAAAAAATTCAACAAAAGGAAATGTTCCCAAACTCGTCTATGAGTTAAGCATTATCTTGACACCATGTACAGAATAAGAAAGCCACAGACTAATATCTTTAAGTAACATAAATGAAAAATTTTCTAAACAAAATTTTAGAAAAGCAAAGCCAACAATAAATAAGGATAATGCAATACAAATCCTCCTCAACTTCTGATGGGGTTACAACCCATAAATGTATGGTAAGTTGAAAATATTGAAAGTCAAAACTGTATGACTGATCAGGAGCTGTGGTTTGCTGCTGCCTCCCAGCATCACGAGAGGGAGGCACTTTGTATTGAATGTGTATCATTTTCCCATCATCTTAAAGTCAAAACAGCATATGTCAAACTATCATAAGTCGGGGACCATCTTTATGTCCAAGTAGGGCTTGTCCAAGGAACAAAAGGATGTTTAAATATCCTACCATCAATCAAGGTAATTCATTATATGAGCAGACTAAAAAGAAAAACCATATGATCCTTCCAATAGATGCAAAAGAATTAGACAAAATTCAACATCCATTTCTGAATCAAAAAAAAAAAAAAAACTCAGCAAACTAGAAATAAAAGGAAACTTGCTCAACTTGATAAAAAGTATCCACAAAAAATCCAACTGGTAATATATTTAATGATGCAAGACAGAATGCCTTCCCCTACTGTTGGGAACAAGACAAGAATGCCTGCTCTTGACACTTCTATTCAACATTGTACTGGTGGTTCTAGCCAGTAAAAGAAGGCAAGAAAACACAAATAAAAGGCACCCAAGCGGGAAAGGCAGAAGAAAATCTGTCTTCATTTGCAAACAACATGATGATTTATGTAGAAAACGTATGTATACGGAAACCTACCAGAAATGAGTGAGCTCAGCGGAGTTTCAGTACAGTTTATCAATACAAAAACTCAATTGTACAGTTGGCCCTTGAACAAAACACAGGTTAGGAGTGACAACCCCCCACACAGTTGAAAATCCATGTATAACTTTTGACTACCCCCAAAAACATAGCTACCAATAGCCTACCATTGGGCAGAAACCTTACCAATAACATTAACAGTTGATTAACATATAAATAGGCTAGTATCTATTTAGGTTGATGCAAAAGTAATTGTGGTTTTTGCTATAAGTAATTTAAGTAATTACGGTTTTTGCTATTACTTTTTTTTTTTTTTTTTTTTGCGATGATGTCTCACTCTGTCACCAGGCTGGAGTGCAGTGGCACGATCTCGGCTCACTGCAACCTCTGCCTCCCGGGTTCAAGCGATTCTCCTGCCTCAGTCTCCCAAGTAGCTGGGACTACGGGCGCCCGCCACCACACCCAGCTAATTTTTGTACTTTTAGTAGAGACGGGGTTTCACCACGTTGGCCAGAATGGTCTCGATCTCTTGATCTCGTGATCCGCCCGCCTTGGCCTCCCAAAGTGCTGGGATTACAGGCATGAGCCACCGTGCCGGGCCTTGCTATTAAAGGCAAAAACCACAATTACTTTTGCACCAACCTAAATACATGTATAATCGTTTATGTATTCATGGCATACTCAAACTTTTCTTAATGTTTTCAATATTTCTAGGCTACGCAGTTCATCTGTGAGTTTTTCCAAACTATCACAAATCTCCAAAGTATTTTCCAATATATTTATTGAAAAAAATCCATGTATAAGTGGATCCACACAGTTCAAATCCGTGATGTTCAAGGGTCAACTGTATTTTGCTATACCAGTAATGAACAATCAGAAATTAAAAGTTAAAAATCAACAGCATTGGCCGGGTGCTGTGACTTACGCCTGTAATACCAGGACTTTGGAAGACCGAGGCAGGTGGATCACTTGAGGCCAGGAGTTCAAGACCAGCCTGGACAACATGGTGAAACCTCGTCTCTACCAAAAATACAAAAATTAGCCAGGCATGGTGGTGTGTGCCTGTAATCTCAGTTACTCCAGAGGCTGAGGTAGGAGAATCACTTGAACCTGGGAGGCAGAGATTGCAGTGAGCCAAGATCACACCACTGCACTCCAGTCTAAGCAACAGAGCAAGACTCCGTCTAAAAAAGAAACAGCTAGGAGCTACTTAGGAATAAATCTGATAAAATATATAAAACACATATACATTGGCCGAGCATGGTGGTTCATGCCTGTAATCCCTGCAACTTTGCGAGGCCAAGGCGAGAGTATCTCTTGAGCTCAGGAGTTTGAGACCAGCCTGGGCAACATGGTGAGACCCTGTCTCTACAAAAAAAAAAAATTTAAAAATTAGCTGGGCATGGTGGCATGTGCCTGTCGTCCCAGCTACTCAGGAGGCTGAAGCAGAAGGATTGCTTGAGCCCAGGAGGTGGAGGCTGCAATGACCTGTGATCACACCACTACACTCCAGCCTGAGTAACAGAAAGAGACTCTGTGTCAAAAAAGAAAAAAGAAATACATATACACTGAAAACTATACATTTCTGAGAAATGTATAGAATTTTTTCTATACATTTTTTCTGAGAAAAAATTAAAGAATATCTAAATAAATCTAAATAAACATACAGTGTTCGTGAATCAGAAGACTATTTTTTAAATGTTAATCCTCCGAAGATTGGTAACATAGATTCAACACAAATCCCAAACAAAATTCCACCAGCCTTTGTTACAGAAACTGACAAATTGATTCTAAAATTCACATGGAAAAGCAAAGCACCTAGAATAGCCAAAAATCACTTTGAAAAAGAACAATAAACTTGGATAAAGCACAGGACCTGATTCCAGACTATACATTATAAAACTACAGGGCCAGGGTGTGTGGTTTTTGATGTCAAGATAAACACATAGGTTAATGGAACAGAATTTTTTAAAATCCAGAAATACATTCAACTACATATGGACAAGTGATTTTTCTAACATTTTGGAAAGGGAATTCAGTAGAGAAATGATAGTCTTTTCAGTAAATGATTCTGGGACAATTAGATATCAAGATAACAACAAAAAAAAATCCAGCTTTGACCCATACCTCGAAACATACACAAAAATTAACTCCAAATGTATTATAAACTTAAATGTAAAACCTCAAACTATAAAACCCCTAGAAGAAAACACAGGAGAAAATCTGACTTTGGTTAGGCAAAGATTTTTACTTTATTTTTTGTAGGTATATATTTATTTACTTTGCAACCTTACTCTGAGATGCAGAGATATGCAGGCTTGGCTTAGATAGCTGGCAAATGAAACAAATGATTGTGATTATTTGTGTATCTTTCTCATGTGAGTTTTCCTTAGGACAATGTGTATTTGTAAAGCTACAGAATTCACATGCGCACAAAAATTATGAATACACTATGTTGTGTTTTCACCTTATTAAACATTAATCTGATAATTGCATCTAATGCTTTGACTTTTTGTGGATGATGTTTGTTTTCAAGTTTGGATGCAGAGCTTATAAAATTGAGAATAAGTGAAATAGTACTCAATTTACTTGTGATATAGTATGTGCTCTGTAAAACAAGTATTTAAGGAAAACTTTTGTTCCCCTGCTGGATTGTGAGGCAGACTAAGTCACAGATTGTATTCTCCTTACATATGCCCGTACCAGTGATTAGCAGTTTCCTGCACAGAGCAGAATGAGAGGACATTTGCAGAGTTAAAATGGAATCCGGTTGCATTATAATGCTAATAAGGACAACGTTATTTGACAATTCTCTAAAACAGACAAAGCTGATAAATGGACAATTTCTAGCATCAAATGTTATCTGGTTATCTAAGAACTTGATGGGATTTTTAAAATGAGTTTATCATATCTTTATGTTAGAGGGTCTCAATGATTTTCAAGTTGGATTTTCAAATACCTGCATAGTTTTAACAACACTGACCCCACTGATCACAGCTTTCCTGGTAACAATGATAATTACCATATATTGAGTGTAAACCTTGTCCTAGGCACTGTGCTAGATGCTTTAGACCTTTTATTATTTTACTTTCCATTATTTTACTTCTCACTAACCAACCAAAATAGTCATATTTAGTCTTATTTTTGAATAAGGAGACTGAAATCCAGAGAGATTTTGGATGGCTGCTCTCAGTGTGTGGTAGGCTGAAATTCCATGCCTCCCGAGACCCCCAGAGATACCCACAGTCAAATTTCTGGAATCTGTAAATGCAAACTTACATGGCAAAGCACAAAACAAAGCAAACAAAAACAAAGATCTTTCTAATGTAATAAATTAAGGATCTTAAAATAGGGAAACCATCTTGGATTATCCAGATAAGCCCTGAATACAATGACCTGTATCCTTATAAAAATGAGGCAGGAGGAAATTTTACACACATACAGAAAAAGGGAAAGAGAGAGGGAGGGAGGGGGAAAAGGCAGAGAGTGAGAGAAAACAGAAGAATGAAGAGGAACACACAGCAATATGAAGACAGAGGGAGACTGGCCCACAAGCCAAGGAATTCCAACAGCCAACAGAAGATGTAAGAGTTAAGGGACAAATTCTCCCTTGGAACCTTCTGGATGGAGTATCGTTCTGCAAATATCTGGATTTTGGCCAAGCAATACTGATTTCAGAATCCGGGCCTCCAAAACTGCTCTCAAAGAAGTTTCTGTTGTTTCAAGCCACCAAGTTTGTGGTACTTCACCACAGTAGCCTTGGGAAACCAACACACAGTTATAGCACTTTGGGCAAAGACTTTTTAAATACAACACAAAAGTTACAATGCATTAAAAAAACTGATAAACTGGACTTCATAAACACTAAAACTTTCTGCTCTTCAAACAACACTGTTAAGAGAATAAACAAACAAGCCAAAGTCTCAGGGATCATATATTTGATGGAGGACTTATATGTAGAACATACAAAGAATGCTCAAAACTTCACAAAAAGAAAAAAGTCAACCCAAATAAAAAGAAGTGGTCAAAAGGTTTCAACAGACACTTCACCAAAAAGATAAATGAGTGGCCAATAAGCAATGAAAAGATGCTCAACCACATTAGCTATTAAAAAATAGGAAATTAAAACCACAATAAAATAGCACCACATGCCTATTAGAAAAAAACTAAAATTAAAAAGACTGACCACATCAAGTGCTGATGAGGATGCGGAGCAACTGGAACTCACACACTGCTGATGGGAATGTGAAATGCTACAATAACTCTGAAAACATTGTGTCTGTTTCATAAAAAGTTAAGCATACGGCCGGGCGCGGTGGCTCACGCCTGTAATCCCAGCACTTTGGGAGGCCGAGGCGGGTGGATCATGAGGTCAGGAGATCAAGACCATCCTGGCTAACAAGGTGAAACCCCGTCTCTACTAAAAATACAAAAAAATTAGCCGGGCGCAGTGGCGGGCGCCTGTAGTCCCAGCTACTAGGGAGGCTAAGGCAGGAGAATGGCGTGAACCCGGGAAGCGGAGCTTGCAGTGAGCCGAGATTGCGCCACTGCAGTCCGCAGTCCGGCCTGGGCGACAGAGCGAGACTCCGTCTCAAAAAAAAAAAAAAAAAAAAGTTAAGCATACATCTGCCATGTTTTTTAGCCATTCTACTTCTAGGTATTTACCCAAGAGAACTGAATACCCATACATAGACTTGTACATGAATGTTCATAGCAGCTTTATTTGTAATAACCAACACCTAGAAATAACCAAATGTCCATCAAAAAGTGAATAAACAGACAAGCTTCAGTACAGCTACAAAATGGGATGATTCTAAGCAATGAAAAGGAATGAAGTACTGACACATGCAACAAGTTGGTTGAATCTCAAAACAATTACACTCAGTGAAAAAAAGCCAGACAATGTAGAGTACATATTGCTTTGTTCCATATATATAAGGTTCTAGAAAATTCCAACTTATTTGTAGTGATAGAAAGCAAATTAGTAGTTGCCTGGACACAGGGAGAGAGTAAAATGAGAAGTGGGAGGAGACAGGGATTGCGAAGGGTCTAGGAAACACTGGAAGATATGCTCAGCATCTTGACTGTGGTGATGGCTTCACACGTGTACATATGCCCAAATGAACAGAACCGTACACATATGCAGCTCATTATCAGTCAATCATACCTTCAAAGTAAGGAGCCCTCTGTGCCACCTAGGACAGTGGGAAGCTGAGGAAAGGTTTGAAACAGGAAGAAGAGCTCCTCATGCTCACCCCATGAGGAGCTGCTGCAGAAATCCCGGTGAGGTGTAACATATCCCAGAGGTACTGAACCACAGAACTCACACGCATTATCGGAAGGCAGGCACTAGTTAGGCCACACGTGGTGCAGTTTGTTGGAAGAAAGAAGCATGCCAGGTTGCAGAAGACAGAGTATTATGTAAACCTTTCCTAGGAAAATTGACAGATTCCCTTTGTATTCAAAAAGTCATCCACACATATTCGAGAACTCTTCTTAATAATTTTCCTAAAGACACCAAAACACAGCCCATGGGATGTCCTGCCTTGGGGAAGGGCAGGGGTGCCTCCTCATATACTCCCCATGTTCCCCTTCCTCCAGAAACCGCTCACCCTCCACCCCTGATAGAGTCTGGGCAGGTCACTCTGCAAGGATCCCAGGACAGGGAAACACTTTCCCTGCTGTGTGAAGAAAGATGTGTTTCCATTCTGTCCATTACAAACTGTGCAGGGGTCTGGAGGGGCTAGAGCATGGGCAGGAGCATGGAGATGGATGGCGGAAACCGAGGTCTTCAGGCAGGGAAAGCGAGAGGCTCACTTGGCTGGAAGGTTGGGGTGTGAGGAAAACCCATGGGGTCAGAGTGGAGAATGCCAAGAGACCCACCTCTGAGGCCTAGTGGCCTGTATACGAGCACAAGCTTTAGAGAGTGGCTCTCAGCCTCTGGCCTGCAAAATCCAGGGCAGTTAGCAAAATGCAGATTCCTTATCCCTAAGACTCTGATGAGTGGTTCTGGATCTGGCCTAAGAATCCACCTTAAGGTGTCCCAGGTGACATGACAATTGCTTCTCAATCATGTGCTGAGAAATAGCAAAGAACCTCCCCACCAGGAGCCTGCCAGGGGCAGCCTCATGCTCAGCCATGGCTGTGCATATGCGAAGTGGGCGCCGGGGGTCTTGGGGAGCTTGGTATCCTCCCTCCAACCCCACAGGACACTCACTACCACCTGGTGACAGCCAGTCAGACTTGTGCTTGCTCTGCAGATGCATCTCCCCACGAGTGGATTCTGGAGCCTGTTTACAGCTATGGGGAGGGTAAGAAGTGGCCCCTGCTCTTCAGAGCCATCATGCACAGATAGTTGAGCCCTAAGGAAACCCAAAGCCAGCTGTCCCAGGTACTGACCCTGCTCCCAGCCCAACTCAGCTTCCCCAAATGAGGCTCCTGCTGGCCAAAAAGTGCCTGTTGTAGGCCACCCCAGCCCCTCCTCTGGCCATTCTCATATGTGGGCGCCATCAGAGGTCCCCCAGCTTCAGGTAACAGGCCAAGGAGTCTAGAATCCATCGGAGAGGACACACTGGCATGGCACTGTCCCACTTAAACAGGCGGGGATAGCCATTGTGTGCCAGGCTCCATGGTCAGCGCTGGGACTCAGTGCCAACTCAGACATGTGTATGGGCTGTCCACAGGCCAACCCCTCCCTGGAAAACAGCCACACACACAGTGATGAATGAGTAGGGTTAGCTGGACAGGATGCACCCGTTCCACAGAAGGCTGGTGAAAGGTCAGAGGCCCAGTGGGCAGAGACCTAGAGAAAAGATGGCCTTTGGGGCTTTCAAGGATGAGTAGGAGTTCTCTTCTAGGGAGACAGGCTTCGGAGCCATAATGACACCGCTTCCAATCCTGGCTGTGGCTCTGGGGATGTTGTTTTACCACATGAGCCTCATTCTGCTCACTCTTAGAATGAAGATGACATCATGTGCTGGCCAGGATGTTACAAAGACTTCTGTGAGGTCAACAACTTGGCCTTTGTCTCCTCATGTTGCATAGTGCAGCCAAACTCAAGACTTTCAACTAAGGCTCTTAAAGTTCTACCCTGATTTTGAGGGCAGGGGTCAAGAGAAGAAACAGGTCCAGCCCCTTGTGCCTGCATCTGCTCACATTGGAGCATCTCCTTCTGGCCCTCTAGTGCTATAAAACAATTGCTGGTCAATATGTGCCCCCACCCACACACTGCCCAGCCCTCTGCACCCCAAGGCTGTCACTCTGTGGTGGCATTAGTGCACTAGGGCAAGGCCCCGTCCTCCTTCCTGCCTGGCTGGTGAGATCCCTAATCGAGCTCCCCTCTGCTCCCATGTGGTCAAGGGCTTCATGCCCAAATGGATCCCATTTACAATAATGTGTTCCTAGAAACTAGAAAATATTCTCTTCAGCTCAAACTCAAATGTTGCTGGGGACTGAGCAGCCAATTTACACCAGAGTTGTAGTTATCGGGGGTGATGCTATTTCTGCTGCTGCAGGGACTGCTGCTTCATTTCTCTCTGCTGTGCTCCTCGTGGGCACGTGGAGCTCTCAGCTGGCAGAATTCAAGGGCTGCATGAAGGCATCTTGCAGCTGTAATGATATCCTAACCTCTGCCAGCACTGTCAGCCCTGCTACCCAGAAACAGCGTCCCCAAGAACAAAGGCGGCCAGCAGCACAACCTGGAGGCTCCACGGGGCTGACTCCCAGGACACTCCACCGCCCAGAGGCCAACACATCAGCCACTGCTCAGCTGCTGGGCAGGCACATGGCAAACACAGGGCGTATGGATGTCTTTAAACGTAACACTGTTTGGGTGTCACGGTTTAGAGCAGAGGCTGGCACGCTGAGGCCGTGGACCACTCCTTGTTTTGTAAAGTTTTACTGGTGTACAGCCACACCCATTTGTTTACGTATTTGTGGCTGCTTCTGTGCTCCAAGAGCAGAGTTGAGTTGCTGCAACAGAAACGATACGTAACCCACAGAGCCTGAAATATTTACTATCTGCCCTTCACAGACCTCGTCAGCTAACCCCAGGCAGAGAGCCTCGCATTAGGGGCTGGTAGGTCCAGAGCCACCAAGCCTCTAGGAAGTAGCTGGTTCTCCCTGACCCTCAATCTCCTTCTCTTGGACATGGGTTAACACCACAATCCTGCATGGTCACTGGGAGAAGCAAATAGCAGAGTGCAGGGCTTTGTGCTTCAGCAGGTGTCTGCAATGCACACATCCGTGCACACATGGGAAGTCAAGAGGACAGACTCCCCTGACACAAAACCATGTCAGCTCAGTCCCCATTTCTCATGAGGTGACTGTGTTCTGTGCTGCCAAAGGTCTCCAAGAGAATGTTCCCAACCAAAGGTGGTGACCCACAGGGGACACACAAGGCACATACATGCATATACAGATGCACACTCACACAGGTACACACACATGCACATACTCATATATATACCACATGCATGCTCACCTACACACATGTACACACGTGTGTTCATGTAAGCACTCACACATGTAACACATCTACACACATAACACACATATGCATTTGCAGGCACACAGGCTCACTCATGTACATTCCCACACATGCACACCCATGTTCACACATTCATGTGTACACACGTGTGCACATGCATGCTCACATATGTGCACACTCACACACATATGTACAGGCACACACATCTCAATACATCTCTCACTCCACTTGACCCATCAGGCATCTCCACCACGTACGTCACCCACTCTCTGATGCGTGTGTGCATTCTTCTTGATAAAAGTATGTAAGCCAGCATCCCAGGCATGAATCAGTGTCCTGGCAAAAGAGCCAAGTAGGTTTCAAGGAGCCACTTGGAACATGGAAACATGAGATGACAGAGCATGTGACGATGCCTCGAAACAGGCCCAGAGCCCCCGCCCATACACCCTGGACAGTGGCACAGATAGAAAGGAACAGCAGAAGCCAAGGCCTGGGACCAGGGTGACAGCCCAGCACCATGAGCAGCAGGCAGCTCTCCGTGACACCTTCAGCCTCTCCTAGGAGCCAGCACTTCTTTATCAAAGGAAGAAACTGCAAAGCAACTGGGCTGAAATAAGGTGCCTCATAAGAGAACTAGAGCCACAGGGAGTCTACAGCAGGACTGCAAAGGGCCTGGGCTGACCCAACGTGGGTCCTGTCCCCTCACAGACAAAGGTGCTCATCTCAGGACTGCCAGGAAGACAATCAGATGCTAGGAGTGGAGGGCCCAGCATCAGCTCCAAGCACGGTGAGAGAGAAAAGGCCCAGGTGGGGCCAAGCGGGACCCTCCAGAAAAAAGTTCCCAAGATGACCAGCTTCCTGCTGAAGGGGTGGGAAGCAAGGAGCAGGCCCAGGACACAATACTGGCTGCACAGTCCAGGGGACAAGCCTAGTGGACAGCCCAGACAAGACTGCAAGGGCATTGCAGACCAGAAGCTCCAGTGCCCAGCAGAAAGATGAAGTGGGCTTTCCCAAACAGGCTGCTGTGGAACTTTGGCCCAGGCTATCAATGGGGTGTGACTGCCCACAAAAATTCCTGTGGGGAATAAAAGGTCTTGAGATCCAGTTGTAAAGTCAGTTTACTTTTCCACTATTTACTGGAAAAGTAAAAGGTGCTGATCTTTTCCACTGTTTATTAGAAAAGTAAACAGTGACTTTACAACTGGATCTCAAGACCTTTTCTTCCCCACAGGGATCTTCCAAAGGGAGTAGCGTCCAAAATCCCCCATGCCCACCCTCCTTCCCCCTGCCCCTCCTACCTTAACCTCTCTCCCTAACCAGGTGTCTGCAACAGGCTCCCAAGTTTTCTCCCACCTCCAGTGGGTCCCCCTAACTGCTGCCAGGCATGGCAAGTCTCACCGGCCTCAGCTCGTGTGACTACCGCCTGGCTCTGTCCTGCCCAGCCCTGCCCTGTGCTCAGAATGCCCCTCAGGACTCTGCACAAGCCAGCCCCCAATCAGGGTGCCCTCTTCTCCCCTCCTTCATTAAGGGAGCATCCACATTTTCCCTCAAGACTCTTCACTGTCACCTTCTCTGAAAAGATGCTGCCTTGCTGAACAGAGCTCACTGCCCCTTCCTCTCACACTGATCTCAGCGCCCCTCCCTGACCACCTGGAGTGAGGCTAGACAAGAGGTGAACTTGAACTTGGCTCCATCTCACTGTACTCCTCCCACACCCTCACAGGGCAGGGATGCTAGGTGTCTGGGGTCCAAGGAAACTCGGGTGGGTCAGTGGCCCTGAAAAGCATCACATCCTGGGCTCTCCTGACACCGGACTCCCTCCTCCCCTTCCCTCTTCGAAAGAGGAGACTTCCTGTGCCCATGGTCAGTTGTCTGCAGAAGCCGACCCTTCCTGCACAGTCTGGGCGTGAAAATCTCAGGGAGGATGTGCCAGGTGAATGGCAAGAGGGGAAGTTCCATCACTTGCAAATAGGGCACATTCTAGCTTTCAATCTGATGGCTGATGAGTAGTACAATGTATCCATGGGCAGCGGAGGAAAACGAGGGGTAGGATATCGATGCCATGCAATAGATGTGCTCTCTCTGGGCCTGCAACGTCTGTTGGCTTCTGCAGCTCAGATCCCAGCCCGACATGTCCTATCTCTAAACACAGCACATTCTGTGGGGGAGAAAGGGGGACAGTGGCAGCCCCTCAGGAGCCTTGTGGCCAATGTGACTAAGTCCCAGGAGGGCAAACCTCTGTACAAGGAGGTTTGGCTAGCTTGCTCATCTTTGCTTCCTAACATGCACGTTACAAGCCAACGCTGTTGGTATGGCCTTGGCCCGACATTCAGCAGAACTTGGCTGCCAGATGTGACTGGTCCAAGGAAGGTCTTTCAAAACCCCAGCACGCAGTCTGCTGAGGGCAAGGGTGGCCACTGCCTGCACCAGGCATCAGGAGACGTCAGCAACTGGGCCCCCAGCTGACAAGTTTCAATCCCAGGAGGGTGGCAGACCCAGAATCAGGCCTGCTCCAGTAGAGCCCAGAACGAGGGATTGCAACACCAGCTCTGTCTACAGTGGGACACAATGGCAGCAGGATGGTGCACAGGACAGACCCGTACCTACGTATGGCCTGCACAACAAAGCCTTCTGCATGGAAGCCCCGATTCGACAGCATGCTGGCCATGCTTGTGCAAGCATTTTCTTATCTGGTAAATGCAAGGCTCCGGTTCAAGGAAAGGAATCAATGAACAGTGAGGCTAAAAACAACAGGTGATTTATAACCTTGCTGGAAGAAATGCTTAGCAATCAGTCTAGTTCATGGTCCAAATACAGGGAATCCACCTGGCTTATCGTCACTCCAGAAGCAATTCTAATTTAATTCGAACAAAGAAAAACGCTGCACTTACCGTGGCTAATTCATCGAACTTGCCGAAGAGCTCATTGAGGAGTTTCACCAGCTCCTGGGCTGTGCACTGGGATGCCAAGCCCGTGAAACCCACGATGTCAGCAAACAGGATGCTGCAAGAGAAAGGGGTGCCAGGCTGCCCTTCTCCCAGTCACTCAGGAAATAATCCCTAGAGATGTACAGATGTTTACATCTCCAAATCACTGTAGAATCAATCACCCCATTTATTCCTCAATGCAGACCAGAAATGAAGGCTTCCTGGTTCCCATCATACAGGTGAGAAGACTGAGGCTCAGAAAAGCCACAGAACGCCGAGGCTTGGCCACTGGGGGAGTAAATGCTGAGGCCATTCAGAGCTCGCCATCCCCCATGCTGACCCCTCACACCACATAGGGAAAGCCCATCTGCCCTCCACTAGACCTGCCTCCCCTTCTTGGGGAGGTTACGTGACTGGGATGTGGCCAGCGGCACCGAGCAGAAGTGATGTGCTTTTCAGCATGTGGGCCCCTCCACATCCTAATTTTCCCCTTCTGCCAGCTGAATGCAAGAAACTCCCAGGCCCTGAGTGTGGTGTCAATGCTTCACAATGAAAAGGGAGGGAGTCCCCGAATTCCTGGGCAAAGGGGCCGCCCCCTCAGTCTGCAATGAGAGCAGGAAACACACTGTCTTGCATCAAAGCCTCTACGTACTGAGTGTCTATTTATCACAGCACTGGGGGCAGCCCTAAACGACACAGTGTCTACCCACAGGGCAGAACTTTCATGTTTTCTGGAGATAATAAGACTTTAAAAAGATGTTTCCTATCTCTTCTTGCAATATTAAAACATGCTCTTTGAAAATATTAGAAAAAAATTAATTATATATTTTTGTCTGTAAAAATGTTGTAGCTTTAAGATATCTCTCCACAGGGTCCCAATCATTTATTCACATTTGTTCAAAGTGTTCTTGGCTTTTTCTCTAACTTTGAGGCTTCCTGAACCCAGAACGCCCCCAGCACCACTATAGGAAATAAACGCAAAGTAAAGGAAAATGACCTATTTTGTTCACAACACAGTGTATCGCCAAAGATGGGCCAGCAGGCAGGGACAGGAGGGAAGTAGGGTTCAGAATTGGACTCCAAGGGAACTATCCAGCTCCACTATTGACAGCAACTTATCCAACCGTTCCGCATGTCCGCCATGTAAAATGGGAATAAGACTAGAGTCCAGGTCATACCTTGCCCCTAGTAAGAGCTCAGTGATTGTTCACAATCATTTATAATAATTTTTAAGTATTCTAATTCATTTATTCACTTGCTTATTCAACAAATATTTATTGAGGGCTATATGTGCTGGCATTGCTCTAGGTGCTTGGGATTTAGCAGTGAATAAAAGATTCATGGCAGGGCATGGTGGCTCATGCCTGTAATCCCAGCACTTTGGGAGGCCAAGGCAGGTGGATCACCTGAGTCCACGAGTTCGAGACCAGCCTGAGCAACATGGAAAAACCCTATCTCTACAAAAAATACATAAATTAGCCAGGTGTGTTGGCGTGCACCTGTAGTCCCAGCTACTTGGGAGGCTGAGGTGGGAGGATCACTTGAGCCTGGGAGGTGGAGGTTGCAGTGAGCTGAAGCATGCCACTGCACTCCAGCCTGGGAGACACAGTGGAACCCCGTCTCAAAAAAAAAGGATTTGAACAAACCTCACTGCCCTCAGAAAGACTCCATTCTATTCAGGGAAGGGGCAAACATGCAGAGAACATCAAAGGTGACACATGTAACTATGGAAAAGCAGGGAAGTCAGATATGGAGCTGTGTGTACTGTCAACTAGGATTGGTCACGGGGGTCCTGAAGAAGGGCAGAGGGGGAAAGGGGCACACAGACACTGGGAGAAGAAGATTCTGCATGGTGGTAACAGCAGGTGCTGCTCTTGTGATTTTTGCCGGATACAGAATTATATTTTTATTTCAACCTTTGAACATGCCATTCCACTGCCTTCTGGCCTCCCTGGTTTCCGATGAAAAATCAGCTGATAACCTTGTTGAAGATCCCTTGTAGATGATAACTCGTTTTTCTCTTGCTGCTTTCAAAATTGTTCTCATATCTTTAGTTTTTGACAGTTTGATAATGACATGTCTCAGTGTGGGTCTTTTTGAGTTTACCCACCTTGGAGTGCACTCAGCTTCTTGGATGTGTAGGTTAACGTTTTCCAAAAACTTTGGGACATTTATGGCCATTATTTCTTCAGATATTCTTTCTGCCCCTTTTTCTTTCTCCTCTCCTGTGGGACTCTCAATATGTGTGTACTGATAAGTTTGATGGTGTCCCTTAAGTCCCTGACACTCTCTTCATTTTCTTCATCCTTTTTTTCATTCTGTTCTTCACACTGGATAATCGAGCTATCAAGTTCACTAATTCTTTTTAAAGTGTACTATACATTATTGTTGACTATAGGTAAAATATTGTACAGCAGATATCTACAGCTTCATGGCCATTGACTGGTAATTCCCCATTTCTTCCTCCCCCAAGACCCTATAACCACAATGACACTCTTTAATTCTATGATTTCGACTATTTTAAATACCTCATACAAGTGGAATATTGCAGTATTTTAGTCTTTATGTAACTGACTTATTTCACTTGTATAATGTCCTCAAGTTTCATCTATTTTGTCACATATTGAAGAATTTCCTTTTTTAAGGCTTAACAGCATTTCATTTTATGTGCATAACACATTTTCTTTTAACACCTTTATTGAGATACCATTGACATAAAAATTGTGTTTACTCATGTGTATATGTGGTGTACAATTTGATGTTTTGATAAACCTACATAGGTTGAAATAATTGACACAATCAAGGTAATTAAAATAGCCATTACTTCTGCATAGCTACGTGTATGTGAGCAAATTTCAAACATACAATACAGTATGGTTAAATATTGTGACCATGCCGCATGTTAGATCTCCAGAACTTATTCATGCTGCCTAACTAAAATTTTGTATTCTTTTACCAACATCACCCCATTTTCCTCTGCCTCCTTTCCCTAGCAACCACCATTCTACTTTGCTGCTATGAATTTGACTATTTTACTTCCACATACAAATGAGATCATGCAGATATTTCTCTTACTTAGGTTACAGTAATGTCCTCCAGCTCCATACATATTGTTGAAAATGGCAAGATTTCCTTCTTTTCTGTTACGTATATGTGTGTGTGTATGTTGTATAAATATTTGTATATATGCACATATATATATTAACTGACACATAATTGTACATACTTATGGGTTATGGTGTGACACTTCAATATATGTATACAACATGCAGTTATCAAATCAGGGTGATTAGGATATCCAACACCTCCAATTTTTATTATTTCTTTGTGTTGGTAACATTCAAATATCGTCTCTTCTACGTACTTGAAAATTGCAATAAATTATTGTTTACTATAGTCACCCTACATGCTATAGAACAATAGAACTTATTTCTCCTATCTACCTGTAATTTTGTACTCATTAACCAATCTCTCCCTGTGGCTTCCTTCCTCCTACTCTTCCCAGCCTCTAGTAACCACTATTCCACTGCCTACGTCTAAGAGATCAACTATTTTAGCTTCCATATAAAAGTGAGACTATGCAGTATTTATCTTTCAATGACTGGCTTATTTCACTTAATATAACATCCCCTGGGAACACCCATGTTGACACAAATGACAGAATTTCATTTTTTAATGCCTGAATAGTATTCCATCCTGTAAATATACCACATTCTCTCTATCCATTCATCTGCTGTTGGACACTTAGGATGATTCCACATCTAGGTTACTGTGAATAGTGCTGCAATAAACAGGGAGAGCACATATCTCTTTGACATACTGGTTTATTTCCCTTTGGATATATACCCAGTACTGGGATTGCTGGATCATATGATAGTTCTATTTTTAGCTTTTTGAGAAACTTCCACTCTATTTTCCATAATGGCTGTACTAATTTACATTCCCACCAACTGGTACAAGAGATCTCTTTTTTCTGCATCCGCATCAGTATTTGCTTTTTTGTCTTTTTGATAATAGCCAATCTAACTGGGGTGAGATGATTCTCATTGTGGTTTGGATTTGCATTCCCATGATGATTAGTGATGCTGACCATTTTATCATATACTTGTTGGCCATTTGCATGTCTTCTTTTGAGAAATGCCTATTCAGATGCTTTGCCATTTTAAAATCAGATTATTTGTTTTCTTGCTATTGAGTTCCTTGTATATTCTGGATATTAATCCCTTGTCAAATGAATAGTTTACAAATGTTTTATCCTATCCTTCTGTTGTCTATTCACTCTGTTGATTGTTTCCTTTGTTGTGCAGAAATTTTTCAGTTTGATATAATCCCATTTCTCTAGTTTTTGTCTTATTGCCTGTGCTTTTGAGGTCTTAGCCATAAAACATCTGCCCAGACCAATATCCAGAAGTATTTCCACTATGTTTTCTTCCAGAAATTTCATAGTCTGGGTCTTACATTTATGTCTGATCCATTTTGAGTTTATTTTTGTGTATGGTAAGAGATAGGGATCTAGTTTCATTTTCTGCATATGCATATCCAGTTTTCCCAGCACCATTTATTGAAGAGATTGTCTTTTCCCCAATGTATGTTCTTGGCACCTTTGTCAAAAATCAGTTGGCTAAAATTACATGGATTTACTTCTGGGTTCTCTATTCTGTTCTATTGGTCTATATGTCTGTTTTTATACCAGTACCATGCTGTTTTAGTTAATATAGCTTGGTAGTATATCTTGAAGCCAGGTAATGTAATGCCTCCAGCTTTCTTCTTTTTGCTCAAGATTGCTTTGGCTATTCAGGGTCTTCTGTAGTAACACATGAATTTTGGAATTTTTTTTCTATTTTTGTGAAGAACATCACTGATACTTTGATAGAGATTGCACTGAATCTGTAGATCACTTTGGGTATTACAGTCATTTTAGTAACATTCTTCCAATCCATGAATGTGAAATGTCTTTCCATTTTTATGTGTCCTTGTCAATATCTTTCATCATTGTTTTATAGTTTTTATTGTAGAAATCTTTTACATCCTTGGTTAAATTTATTTTTTGTAGCTATTGTAATTGGCATTGCTTTCTAGACTTCTTTTTCAGCTAGTACATTATTAGTGTATGGGAATGCTACTGATTTTCGTACATTGATTTCCTATTCTCCAACTTGATTGAATTCATTTATCAAATTCTAAGAGTTTGGTCCTGCCAAGGGGAAAGTGGGGTCAGCCCCAGCAGTCACAGCCTTGGCCAGCAGATGGGGTAAACACATCCCTCTCTCATCCCAGTCCCACCTATCACAGCTGACCCTTCAGACCTAGGCAGTCCATGCCTAGCCTGCAACTCGGCCCCAGGCCATACAAGCCCGCACCCAACTCAAGACCGAGACTCCATAGCAATTCACATCCTGCTTAAGCCCCAGGAGTGGTGCCTGCTTCCCAGTGCCAGTGGCTACAGACCACACCATGATTGCTTCTCAGTTACAGCTGCAGGAGCCCACCCCTGCTTTGCTCCAGTTCCACAAGCAAATAGCCCACATTTCCTGAATGCCTAGGACTGGCACTGCTGGATCCCAAAACAATGCACACTCTGCTAAAAGCTAGGATTTAAAAAATGGCATCTTGCTGTAGCCACATAGGTTGCAGAATCGGTGTGGGACCCAGGGCAAGTTCCCTCCCTGGAGCAGTTCCTGCTTACAGCCTCCCAGCTGCTTTCTAAGATGGATTCAAAACTTGGGAGGATCAAGGTGCCCTACCATCACCTGGATCTCCAGTGGGAAAGTGGGCTGCAGAAAGACTCTCACTTGCCCCTCCTGTGGGTTGCCTGTTTTCCTTCTGCTTCCTAGTTTTCCCCTTTCCATTTAGGATGCCTTTTTTTGTTGCTGTTCTTTCTTCTCTAATTGCTCTGGGCAGGACTTCCAGTACTATGTTGAACAGAAGTGGTGAGGGTGGATATCATTGTCTTGTTCCTGATTTTAGAGGGAAGGCTTTTTGTTTTTCATCATTGAGTATGATCATAGCTGTGGGCTTGTCATATACATAGCTTTTATTTTGTTGAGGGGATTTTTTATCCTAATTTGTTGAGAATTTTTATCACGAAAGGGTGTCAAATTTTGTCAAATATTTTTCTGCATCTATTGAGATGATCACATGATTTGTATTCCGTATTCTCTTAACATGTTGTTATCACACTAATTGATTTTTGCATGTTGAACTATCCTTGCATTCCAGGGATAAATCTCAATTGATCATGGTGTATGAGGCATTTAATGTGATCCTGGATGCATTTGATAGTATCTTGCTGAGGAAATCTGAATCTATATTTATCAGGGATATTTGCCCATAATTTCTTTTTTTGTAGTGTTCTTGTTTGCCTTTAGTATCAGGACAATGCTGGCTTCATAGTTTCAAAGTGTTCCCTCCTCTTCAATTTTGGAGACTTGGAGAAGGACTGCCATTAATTCTTTAAATGTTTGGTAGAATTTACCAGTGAAACCATCTGGGCCTGGACTTTTCGTTGTTGGGTTTTGATAACTGATTCAATCTCCATACTATATATAGGTCTGTTCAAACTTTCTACTTCTTAATGACTTAGTCTTGGTTGGTTGTATGTTTCTTGACATTTATCAAAATTTCCTGGGTTACACAGTTTGCTGGTGTTCACAGTAGTCTCTTATGATCCTTTTTCATTTTTGTGGCCTCAGTTATAATATCTCTTCTTTCATTTACAATTTTATTTGAGTCTTCTCTTTTTTTATTGGTCTAGCTAAGAACTTGTCAAAATCTTATTTAATGTTTCACAAAGCAACTCTTGGTTTTGTAGATTTTTTAATATTGTTTTTTATTTTCTATTTCATTTATTTCTGCTCTCATCTCTGTTATTTCCTTCATTCTAATAACTTTGGGCTTAATATGTTCTTTTTTGTGGCTTCTTGAGGTGCAAAGTTAATATTGTTAATTTGAGATCTTCTTTCTTTTTTAATGTAAGCACTTATTGCTATGAACTTCCCTCTTATTACTGCTTCTGTTCCATCCCATAAGTTTGGGTATGTTGTGTTTTCATTTTCCTTTGTCTGAAGGTATTTTCAGGTTTTTTTGTTTGTTTGTTTTGTTTTGTTGAGATAGGGTCTTTCTCTGTCACCCAGGCTGCTGGAGTAGAGTGGTGTGCTCATAGCTCACTGCAGCCTCAACCTCCTGGGCACAAGCAATCCTCCCACTTCAGCCTCCTGAGTAGCTGAGACTACAGGTGCATGCCACCATGCCTGGCTAACTTAAAAATTTTCTTTTAGAGATGAGGTCTTACTATGTTGTCTAGGCTAGTCTTGAAATCCTGACCTAAAGCAAACCTCCCACCCCGGCCTCCCAAAGTGCTGGGCTTACAGGTGTCAGCCACCATGCCCAGCCTGGAGGTATTTTCTAATTTCCTTTTTTATTTCTTCTTTGACCCCATAATTGTTCAAGAATGTGTTTTTAATTTCAACACATTTATGAATTTTTCAGTTTTCTTTCTGCCATTAATTTCTAATTTCATCCCTCTGTGATCAGAAAAGATACCTGATATAATTCTTGAAATTGTAAGGACTTGTTCTGTGACTTAACATATGACCTTTCCTAGAGAAAGATCCATGTGCACTTGAGAAGAATGTGTATTCTGCTTTTTGAGTTTTGTAATGTCCGCTATATGTCTGTTAGGTCTATTTAGTCTATAGTGTTATTAAAATCCTCTGCTTTCTTTTTGATCTTGTCTGGATGCTCTGTCTGTTATCAAAAATAGACTACTGAAGTCGCCTATTATTATTGTTTTGTGGTCTATTTCTTTTTACAGTTCTGTCAATGCTTGTTTTATATACTTAGGTGCTTTTATGCTGAATACATATATATTTACAATTATTTTATCTTCCTGGGAGCTGACCCTTTTATCATAATAAAGACTTCTTGTCTCTTCTGGCAGTTTTTGACTTAAAGTCCCTTTTTTCTGATACAAGCACAGCCATCTTTGCTCTATTTGGGGTCTCATTGGTATGAGCTATCTCCTTCCATCCTTTCACTGTCCATTTATGTACATCCTTAAATAGACAGCATATAGTTAGGCTTGGTTTTGGTTTTGTTTTTATCCACTCAGCCATGCTATGTGTTTTGACTGGGGAGTTTAATCCATCTACACTTTAAGTACTGATAGGGAATGGCTTACTATTGCAACTTTGTTAAATGTATTCTATTAGTCTCGGAGTTCTTTATTTGTGTTTTCCTCTCTTTCTGCATTCCTTTGTGTTATGTTAATGTTTTTGCTTTGATGTGCTTTGATTCCTTTTTCTTTCTCCTTTGTGTAGTTTCTATAGCCATTTTTTTTCTTTGTGGTTACCTCAGTGATTATAAAAACTATAACTGTCCATTTTGAGCTGATAACAACTTAAGTTCAATTACATACAGAAACTCTACACTTTAACTTCTTCATAATTTATTTTATGTTGTCACAGTTTCTATTTATTCATATAGTATATATTTTAACATACTTTCCAGTTATTTATTTTTAATACTTTTGTTTTCTTAACTTTTATGCTAGAATAAAAAGTGATTTATGCACTACAATTACAGTAATACAGTATTTTGTATTTGTTGATGTATAAAACTTTACCAATAAGTATCGTATTTTCTTATGCTATTGTGTTGTTGTTTTGCATCCTTTCATTTCAATGTAAGAACTCCTTTTTGCCTTGCTTGTAAGGCAGGTTTAGTCATGAACTTCCTCAGCTTTTAATTGTCTGGGAAGGTCTTTATTCCTTCATGTTTTTATGGAGACTTTTGCTAGGCATAGTATTCTTGCTCAGCAGTTATTTTCTTTCAGCACTTTAAACATATCATCCCACTCCCTTCTGGCCTGCAAGGTTTCTGCTGGAAAATCCATTATCCTACGCTGGTTCTGTTGTATGTGACAAATCACTTTTTCCTTTCTGTTTTCAAAATTCTCCCTTTGTCCTTGGCTTTTGAGAATTTGGTTAAATGTATCTAGGTGTGAATTTTGGGGTATTCATCTTATTTGGTGTCATCTCAGTTTCTTGTAGCTGGATGTCCATTTCTTTAACCAGATTTGGGAAATTTTCATTGTGTGTATACATATTCATATTTAATGATATATTTTTACATCATATATGTAATATATGATGAAAATATATATATAATGTGTATGTGTTGTGTGTACAATCTGGTTCTGTTGCTCACTCTTCTTCTGTAACTCCCATAAGGTGTATATTGGTCCACTAATGATTTCCCACAATTTTCTCAAGCTTTCTTCAGTCTTTTCCATTCCTTTTTCCTTTTGCCCCTCTATCAGAATTATTTCCAGTGACTGCAGTGACTTGTCTTCCAGTTCACTGATCTTTTATTCTGCTTGATCTAGTCTTCTGTTGAATCCTTCTAGTGAATTTTTCAGTTCAGTAATTGTGGTCTTCAGCTCCATGCTCTCTGGCACTTGTTAATATTTTCTATTTCTTTGTTGAAATTCTCACTTTGTTCATGCATTATTCTTTTGTCCTCCATGAGCATCTTTATGGGAGTTATTTTAAATTGTCTATCAGGTAAATTATATAACTCTGTTTCATTAGTCAGTTTCCGTATATTTATCTCATTCCTTTGTTTGGAACATCTTTGCCTGGTTCTTAACTTTCCTTAACTCTCTGTGTTGGTGTCTGAGATTTAGACAAAGCAGGTACCTCTCCCAATCTTCATGGACCGGTCCTGTACAGGAGGAGACTCTCACCAATCAGCCACAGATTCTGGTGCTTTACCAACCCTTTCTCTCCTGAGGGAAAAGCAGGCAGCTGTTATTTTTGTCTGTTCATTCTGTGCTGGGAAGGGGGTGAGTAGGGGGAAGTTATGGTATCTATCACCCCAGACTACCACCTCTGTTCTCTCCTGGCCAGACTGTACAAGACCTATCAAGAGATCCAGGGGAGAGATAGAGGCTTGTTCTTCAGGCAGCCCCATAAAAGTTGGGGCAGTGGTCACACTGACTCTTTCTCTCCCCAGAGAGAAGCTTAGAGCTGAGATTCTTCATCAGTTCACTCTATGCTGAGCAGGGGAAAGGGTCAGTGATGTCTGCCAGCTCTAGCTGTCAAAAGGCTCTTGACTTTTGATGCCTTTCCTGCAGTATGGAGAGGCTCTGGCTCCCCTCGAGGTATTCCAGGGATTATTCTGGTGGTCTGTTCTTCTCATCAGGGGACTGGGTCAGTGTGTCATGTCCTTATTTTGTAACAAGAGGCAGTGAGTGAAATGACAAAAGTCAAGGCAGATATTAGTGTCAGCTAATCCCAGTTCCTGTCCCAGCCTGCCACTCACTGGCCAGGGAGTCCTGCATACCTTTCACTTTGTTGAACCTAAATTTCCTCATCTATAAAATGGAGGTGACAATGCCAGCAGTTCACAGAAGCATGATGATATTAAACAGAACCAAGTATCTAGCAGAGAGGTTCTCAGCATAAATTCTGCAGTCATGCTGGGCTCAAATGCTGGCTCTTCAGCTACTTTCCACCCACTTGGGCCTTCACCCCACATTGCTTAAGCATCCTCCTCTGCAGAAGGAGGACAACACTGGTCCTTACTTAATAGCATGACAATGGGCAGTGAACACGTGTGCTCAGAACAGTGACTGCTGAGCTCTCAACCAGACAGCAATTAGCCATACTGGCTTGGCACACAAGGATGACTGACTCTGATGGACCCACAAACCTCAACTCATTTCCAATGAATGAGTGTTGGTTTGCAGGGACCCAGTCTGTGGTGCTCAACATAAGAAGGACTGAGAGTTTCTATTGACCTTTTGTGTCTTCAGAGGCCAAATGGGCAGTGAGGCCTGACACCAACATCCAGAAGAACCAGCAAAAAACAGCAGAAAAGGAAAAGTGTTTCAGGTCCCTCAAACACCATCTCCTACCTGAGTGATATTTATGTAAAGCATTAATCCCAAATAGGCAACACTCAAACCATTCTAAGCACACTATACTTGCATGAAAAGTATTTTTAAGTGGAATCCACAATTTAATAAAATAAATACTTTTAAACAGAATCTTTAAAAAAAAAAAAAAACAAGCAAACCTCAGAGTGTCTAAAGCAAGTTGGTTCACTTTGAAGGTTTAGTTTCCTCACCTATAAAATGGGAACAATCCCTTCCTCCTAGGGCTGTCATGAAATGAACAGAGTAAGACAGAAGAGCACACATATACCAGACCCAGCAACAACTAGCATAATGCTCAGCTACTATTCTGACATGGCAAATTCTGAGCCCAAAATGTCACTGCTCAAAGCCAGGTTTAGGGACAGATTTTTTACCCTCTCCAGTCAACAGAGGAAGTGTAAGAATACTGAAATAAGAAATTGGAAAGATAACTGTAACATGCATCACCCAAGAAGCCAAGAGCCCCCTACACGTAGGACCTGTTTCCCTGCTAGGCAGATGTCCACCTGAACCTCCTGACCACATCTGCCCTCTCCTCCCTTCACAACTGAGACCCTTTGTCCACACTCCCCCTATCTCCCCACCTGCACCATCACCTCACCTCCTCCATCACCTCTTCACTTCCATCATCAGTTTACTCACCTCCACCATCACATCCACCATCACCTCCCCACCTCCACCATCACCCCCACACCTCCACTATCACCTCCTCACTTCCATCATCACTTCTCCAACTTTGCCATCACCTCCACACCTCCACCACCACCTCCACACTTCCACTATCACCCCCCACCTCCACCATCACCTCTACACCTCCACTATCACCTCCTCACCTCCAAAATCACCTCCATACTTCCATTATCACCTCCCCACCTCCACCATCACCTTCCCACCTCCACCATCATCTCCACAACTCCAATATCGCCTCCACACCTCCACTATCACCTCCATACCTCCACCATCACCTCCCCACCTCCACCATCACCCCCACACCTCCACTATCACCTCTACACCTCCATCATCACCTCCCCACCTCCACTATCCCCTCCTCACCTCCACCATCACCTCCACTATCACCTCCTCGCCTCCACCTATCACCTTCTCACTTCCATCATCACTTCCCCACCTTCACCATTACCTCCACACCCCCATTCTTTCCCCACCTCCATCCATCCCTTCCCCACTTCTGTCATCACCTCCCCACCTTCACCATTATCTCCACACCTCAGCTTCCCAGGCTCCCCGCTGTGCCGGGTCAGCACCAGCCCTACCTCACATTGTCGTGCCTCTGGATGTAAATCTTGTGGAAAATCCTCTCAGGGGGCTTCAGGAAGTCCTCCTTCATCTCCATGGCAACGTTCCGGGGCAGGAGGCTCATGAGGAGCCGCTCCTGGACAGAAGAGAAGGGCCCGGGTTAGACAGCAGGGCCCCCTCCCTCCACTCCTCCTCACCTCACCCTCCCCAGTAAGGGCGCCGGGCCCCTGAGCCTGGGTAGGCCCACGTCCAGGGCTGGACTGCCACTGAACAAGCAACTCCCTCCAGGAGCACTAGCCAGGGCTGGCACAGCCTCCCCAACACCCAAGCCTCCCTGCGGCGCTCCTCATGCTACTCCCTGGACACACTCCTGAGTCTCGGCCTGTGCTTCAGTGTACAGCAGGGTTACAGCTGTGAAAACACTGCTGTCTCCACCAGGGCCCCAACCTGGCTTCTCTCCCTCCCCCTACTGCTCCAACAATATCCCAGAAAGAGTCTTTCACATTGGCTTAAAAAAACAAGCTGTCCTCCTGAGGTACCCACAGAGTCCTCTTGTTCTTACACAGATAGGCGGGCTACGGGACCATGTGGCATTCTTTCTTGGTCTTTGTCTTCTTACTTCTCCCTTAGCTGTGTAGGTCAAGCATTTTCTTTTTTCCCCCAAGAGAAAAGAATAAATGTTTGGATTTTTCAAAATAAACTATGCCATCCTGGAGAGTCCTTTCCCCTTCCTAGACCTCAGTTTCCTTGTCTGGACTGAGGGAGTAAGTAGGACTTTGATTCTCATCCTCCAGTTGGATGTTCCCTGACCCCAACCCCAGCTGGCCCTTGACCTGTTGGGCACACCCCTACGTCTGAGAGACCATGTTCCAGAAATGTGGTGTGAGGGTCCCCGACTCATCCCTCAGTCCCTCCCATGCCCCTCCCACTCTGCTTTGAAAAGAAAAGCAAAAGAGCAGAGTTTAAATCCCACGTAGAATCAGGTAGAACATCCCACTGACAAGCGCGGAAACAGGCTGAAGAGGGGAAGAAGCTCCATCCCTCCCACCGCGCCCTCTGGCTCCAAGCCCCTCCGCAGCGGCCTGTCGTGCTCAGTGCCAGCAGCATTCCCTCCCTCCAAGGAGCCTTAGCAGTAGTCACGCGGGCACCCAGCACTGAGATGCTTCCGCCTCCTCTCCATCCCCAGCCACGCAAGCCTGCCGGGCACAGCCCTGGGAGTCCCTCCTGCACAGGCTACATCCCTGACCCAGGAGCGGCCTCCATCCTGTGTGACTTTCTCGGAAGGAGCACAGGTGCCCAGACACCTTCACGTTCAGGAGCCATAGGAGCAGCCACAGTGAAAATAGCTACCCACATCCCAAAATCCCAGATGATCTCTGGGAAGTGGCCATGAGGGCCTCACCCCTCTGTTCCACATGGCAGATAGCATTCCATGAGCACAGCCCATTTTACAATGGGAGAACAAATTTGGCACACTTGAAGTTTCCCCTGGTAAGTTACTTCCACATAAACTTCAGAGAAGGAAGACCAGGTCCAGCTCTGTCTGATGCCAAGTGAGGCTAAGTCTATGCCTCAGCTGCCTGAGTCCTGGCACCGGAGTCTGTGGCCTGGAGGTGTGTCCTAAACAAGGCCAAGGTCTACACTGAGAACCCACCCCCACCAAGGGCCCCACTGCAGTCCCCACCCGAGCCCTCACTATAGCCCCCAAGTAGCTCCCATGAAGCTCTGCCGCAGCCCCCATGTGGCCTCCACCTTGGCACCCACTTTCTGAGGAATTGAAAAATGCAGGATACTGAACTCCAAGGACCACAAAAATGTGACAGGTGATGGGGGAGCATCCAGAGCCACAAATGCTGATCCCAGGAAGGAAAGAAAGACTGCTGGGAAGCCCCTGGCACACATCCTGACTTCCCGCACACGGCCCCCAGCATGGGAGACTGGAGCTCACGTGGACAACTCAGCCGTGGCACAGGGTGCTGCAAGAACCAGCTGTGGCAGAGTCACCCAGCTATCAGCTGGCTGTCCCCAGTAGCCCTGCTCCACTGCTGGCCTGACAAGAGAGACCCTTATTTTCATTGGGGTTCTTGGCTACCTGGAATAAAGACCATACTTTCCAGCCTCCCATGCAGCTAGATGTGGCCAGGGAGACATGAGTTGAAAGGTCATGTGGAAGCTTTGGAAATGTTCCTTAAAAACAGCTTGTTCTAGCAAAAACCAAATAACCTTCATTAAAAACTGGGCAAAGGACATGAACAGTCACTTCTCAAAAGAAGACATACAAGGAGCCAACAAACATGAAAAAATGCTCATCATCACTAATCATTAGAGAAATGCAAATCAAAACCACCATGAGATACCATCTCACAGAAGTCAGAATGGCTACCATTAAAAAGTCAAAAAACAACAGATGCTGGTGAGGCCGTGGAGAAAAGGGAACATTTGGTGGGAATACACTGCTGGTGGGAAACGTAAATTAGTTCAGCCACTGTGGAAAGTAATTTGGAGATTTCACAAAGAACTTAAAACAGCACTGCCATCAAATCCGCAATCCCATTACTGGGTACATATCCAAAAGAAAATAAATCATTCTACCAAAAAGACACATACATGTGTATGTACATCGCAGCACTATTTACAATAAAAGACATGAAATCAACACAGGTGCCCATCAATGGTGGGCTGGATAAAGAAAATGTGGTACATATACACCATGGAATACTATGCAGCCATAAAAAAGAATGAAATGATGTCCTTTACAGCAACATGGATGCAGCTGGAGGCCACTGAAGTAACACAGAAACAGAAAACCAAATACCACATGTTCTCACTTACGAGTGGAAGCTAAACATTGGATACATATAGACATAAATATGGGAAGAACAGACACTGGGGACTCCAAAAAGGAGGAGAGAGGGACGGAGGGAGGCAAAGGTTGAAAACTAGCTACTGGGTACTATGCTTTAGTACCCGGGTTATGGGATCAATTGTACCTCAAACCTGAGTATCACACAGTATATCAACGTAACAAACCTGCACATGTACCCTCAATCTAAAATGAAGGTTAAAATTTAAAAAACAAAACAGCTTGTCCCTCTTCCCTTCTTCTCCTGCTGTTGTTGGGAACACAGTCATAACAGCCAGATCTCCACCTACCATCTTGGTTTAGGAGGATGAAGGCAACACACTAGGGACACAGGTGGCGAGCTAGATGGAGACAGCTGAGGGTTTCATGGATCACATCTGCCGCACCACCATAAAGTGTCTACCCTGGAATGTATACGTAAGACAAAAAGAGCTATGTTACTTCTGTAAGCCACTGTCACACGACGTTCCTAAGGACAACTGCATTTCTAACCAAGGGCTCAGCATTAGCTCTGTCCATTGGATTAGCAGCAGCATCTAAGCCAATGCAAGTTAATAACCACAGACTAAAGTACAAAACCTTTCCCACAGGAAGCAAGCTGCCATCTGATAAGACTCAGCATTCATTTCTGATTAAAAAAAAAAAAAGACGAAGTAGCTCATTCACATTATAAAGATTCCACGTGAAATTCACATCCAATCTCAAAACCCTCAAGGCCCAAGCAGCAGTAAACATTAGTGTCAAGAACAGATCATATGTCAATAAGCTCTAGCCAACAAAATAATTTAAATAGCCAGAAATCAAAAGTATAAAAGCTAATATGAATATGGATCATACAAAGTACCTCAGTGTCCTATAAAGGCTATATAAAAATCTTAACGAATTTATCTTGATTATCAAAATGTGACTTAAATGTACTCTTAAAAAAAACTAGATTTTCAGTGACAATTGTGAAGACTCTACTTCTGGGAAGATGGAGAAGTATTTTTCCCTATTCCTCCTGCTGAACACAGCTGAAAGTCCTGGATGTTACACATCAAACAACCAAGACTAAAAGTCAGAGGGAAGAAGGCAGAAATCTTGAAACCAAGAAATGACATAAAGGTGAGTTCCTGAGGTTTCTTTAGCCTCATATATGCCAGACTGAGTGCTTGAGAAGTGGGCAAGTCAGCAATACCAATAGGCACAGACCAAAGGAAAACACAACAAAAGCAGCTCTCTTCAGCCAAAGGCCCAGGACTGGGCAACCTCACAAGAAGAAAACTTCCAGACAATAACTTACCTACTCCAGGCCAGAGACACTGAAAACTCTGTGCCCCAACCCCACCCACACCAGCAAAGGCCAAGTAGAGAGGCCAGACCTCCACCCCCACCCCAGGCTGTGAAGGGGCCCCCAATCAACCCACCCACTCCCAGAGTGAGCCAAGCCTTCCCTCTCCACCTGCTGGTAACAAGCATCCCCCAACTCTGCAGAGTCAGTGGGAACCAAGGGGATCTCATTCTCCTCCCCCAAGCCAGGTACTATTAGCGGGGACCATGAGGGACTAGAACTCTCACTCCTGCCCAGCAGTAAGAAGGAGCCCTCCCCACATGGTGTCAACAGAGGCCCAGTGTGGAGCCTAAACTTCTAACCCCACCTGGCAGTAAAGAGACAGCAACCCCCCTTTCCCAACCAGAGTCATGTCACAGAAAATCATCAAAAACAAAATGTCCAAATAATATACAGAGGCTCATACACAACATTCCAAATGCCTAGGTTCCAGTGAACCATCACTCATCATACCAAGAACTAGAACAAGCTCATCAAGTGAACAAAGACAACCAACACACATCAATACCAAGACAGAGATGCCAGAATAACCAACAAAGACTGTAAAGCAACCATCATAAGAATGACTAAATAAAGAACTACGAATGCACTTTAGAAACATAGATATAAAAGTCTTTTACAAGATAGCAATTCAGTGATATGCAACAAGAAGTATATACCCCAAACACATGGGGTTTAATCCAGGGATGTAATGCTAATTCAAAATTGAAACATCAATCAGTGCAACACACCATGTCAACAGAATAAAAAAAAAAATCACATAGCAATTGATACCAAAAAAGAATTTGACAAAATTCAACATCTATTTATGATGAAAACTTCCAGAAAAATGAAAATAGAAAAAAAATTTCCTCCTCATTATAAGGAATATTCAGAAAAAGCCTACACCTAACAAACATTGAATGCTTTCACTGGGAACAAGGCAAGGATGTTGGCTCCCATTACTCATATTCATCATCTCATGGGAAGGTCTTATTAGTGCAGTAAGTTCAGAAAAGGAAAGAAAAGGCATACAGATTGGAAAGAAAGAAATAAAAGTAATATGATGGTCTACATGGGAAATACAATGGATGTTACAAAAGCAGAAACAAAAGAAAATTGTACCAAAAAGACTCCTAGAACAAATAATTAAGTTCAGAAGGTCACAGGATACAAGATCAATATACAAAAGTCAATTACATTTCTATATACTGGCAATAAACACATGGACACTGATATTTAAGATACAATACCATTTACAGTTGCTCAAAAATGAAATACTGAGGTGTAAATCTAACAAAACATGTATAGGATTTGTATGTTAAAAACCATAAAAGACTGATTAAAGAGATCAGAGAAGATCTAAATAAATGGAGAGACATACCATGTTCATGGATTGGAAGACTCAACTTAGTAAAGATGTCAACCCTCTCCAAATTGATATACAGTTTTAATATAAATCCTATCAAAATCCCAGCAAATTCTTTAGTACCTATAGACAAAATTATTCTAACACTTAAATATAAAGGAAAAGGAATAATACTACTTAACATAATTTTGAAAAAGAACAACAAGGTAAAAGAAATCACTTTACCTGATTTCAAGGCTTGTTATAAAACAACAATAATCCAGACAGTGTGACGTGGGTTGCCAGATAAACACATAAGACAATAAAACAGAATCTAGAATCCACAAATAGATCACACAAATATGCGCAACAAATTTTTGACAAAGGTTCAAAAGTAATTCAATGGAGGAAGGGTAGTCTTTTCAACAAATGCTACAGCAACTTGACATTCATAGACAAAAAAATGAATCTTAACCTAAACCTCATACCTTATGCAAAAATTAAATTAAAATACGTTATAGATTTAAATGTAAAAGATAAAACTTTCAGAAAAACACATAAGAACTAGGGCTAGGCAAAAAGTCTTTAGACTTGACACCAAAAGTACAAAAGGAAAAACTGGCGAATTAAACCTCATCAATATTAAAAATATTTGCTCTCAAAAAGACTCTGCTAAAAGAATGAAATGATCAACTATAGGTTTTGAGAAAATATTCACAAACAAAATATCCCAAAAAGTACTGTTATCTAGAACATATAAAGAACTCTCAAAGCCCAGCAGTTTAAAAAATCCAGTTAGAAAGTAGGCAAAAGACATGGATATGTTGCTGGGTACATAAATGGTACAACCATTCTGGGAAAGTTTCACTATTTCTCAGTAACCTAAATAGGCAACTTCCATATGACCCAGCAACTGTACTTTTAGGTATTTGAGCCAGAAAAATTAGTACCTATGTTCACACAAAAACCTGTGCATGAATGTTCATAGCAGCTTTATTCCTAATAGGCCAAAACTGGAAACTACCAAGACATTCTTCAATGGGCCAACAATTAAACAAACTGTGATACAGCCACACCATAGAATGCCACTTAGTAATAAAAAGAAACAAATATTGATATATTCAACAATATGGATGAACCTCCAAATAATTATGCTGAGTGAAAAAAAAGCCAATCCCAAATGTCTACAGTATTTTATTATTCCATTTATATAAATTTTTTGAAATCACAAATTTAAAGAAATGGGTAACAGGTTAGTGATTCCCAGGTCTTAAGAATGAAGGTGTTGTGGAGGGAAGTGGATGTGGCTATTTAAAGGGAACATGAGGGATCCTCAGGGTGACGGATGTTCCATATCTTGGCTGTCCCAATGTCAATATCCTAGTTGTGATATTGTACCACAGTTCTGCAGATGTTGCCACTGGGGAAGCTGGGTAAAGGGCACATGGGATCTCTCTGTGTTATTTCTTATAACTAAATGTGAATCTACAAGTAGTTCAAAATAAAAACAGTTTAATTTAAACAAAAAAAAAGATTCTGAATATGGAGAAACTAGAGGCTTTGCATACTCCTGGTAGGGATGGAAAATGGTGCAGCCACTTTGGAAAACAGTCTAGCAGCTCCTTAAAATGCTAACCATAGAGTTACCACAAGACCTAGCAATTCTACTCCTAGGTATTTATCCAAAAGAAATGAAAATGTGTTCACACAAAAACTTGTGCATGATTTTTTATAGTAGCATTACTTATTATAGCCAGAGTGGAAACAACCCAAATATGTATCAGCCGTGAACAGATAAACAAAATGTGATCCATCCATACAGTGGAATATTATTTGTCCATAAAAAAGAATGAAATACTAAAACATGCTATGATCTGGATGCACCTCAAAAACATTATGCTAAGTGGAAAGAGCCAGTCACAAAAGATCACCTATTATATGATTCCATTTGTATGAAATGTCCAGAACAGGTAAATCTATGGAGACAGAAAGTAAATTAGTGGGTGCCTATGTCTTGCTGGAGGGCAGGTGTGGGTATACATGGAGAGTGACTGCTAATGGATATGAGGTGTCTTTGGGGGATAATAAAAATATCCTAAATTTAGATTATTGTATACTAATTTTCTACAATAAGATCATTTGACATATGTATTAAATAAGATTAATGTGTAATAAGACTAAGATTCTTGCATAATTCTAAATAATAATAACTCTATAGGAAAAAGCATTTGAGTGAACTTTATTCAGTTGGACAAAGTTTATTTAATTGAACTTTATGGTACATAAACTCAATAAAGCCATTTAAAAATGAAAAATAAATCACAACGGTAGTTGTTTGAGAAGGTGCTGTCCATTGGCCAGCCCCATTTAAAAATCCATACTGCATCACTTAAATGGAAGTCTTCTTTCTCTTGATAAATTTCTTCACATGATGAGAACTCAAAATTGTTCCATTTACCTTGTTAGGGTAACAAATTGAGTGTGTGCTTTAAATAGCTGCATATTATTTTTGGAATTCTGATTTAATAATGGCATCTGAGGAACAGCCAGGGCTCTGGGAGGGGCCAGCTCCATAGTATGGAAGAGGGAGCTGAACTCAGGGATACAGGGCTTCCTGGACAGGCTGCAGGCAGCGGAGGAGGAAGCTGAGGGTGACCTCCTATGCCTCTCACCCTGTGCTCTCCAGCTGCGACAGGCACAGACTTCAGGCTAGACCCTTGTGGGGGACCATGAACACCCTGAAGCCCCCAAGTGGTCTTCACCACCCAGTGGAGCTGCACTTCCAGCCCATATCCCCTTCCTCTCCAAGCAGAAGGAAGGCAGAGCTCACGCTTACCAAAAGTAATACCTGTGACCACCTCCACCTCAATTTGCTGCCTGAATGCCTCCTCCAGTTCCCACCTCCCTGCCTCTACCTGGCAAACCCCTACACATCCCTCAAAGCCCTGATCACTCTTGTTCTTCCCCATAGTACGTCCCTATTCGGTTCAGTCAAGGCCACCTCCTGAAGCCCTGGCACTGGTCACTTCTGAGAGCATCTCTACAGCCAGAGCAGCCCTGGCGTCCTCTGCCCTGCCCCAAGCCTGGTTAGTGTTCTCAGCCATGGTGTCCTCCATCCACACTGCTGGAGGGTTTCAGGCCCCTTCCCTTCTCCTGGCACCATCTCCAGGCTGGACATGTCTGGAAGGTGAGGGCCATCTCCACTTGTCCTCACCCCTACCTCTCATCCCGAGTTCACTAGCAAGGTCACAAAAGCATGTGTATGAGATGCACACACAAAGAGGCCACCGCTGGGAGCACTGGGCCAAAGAAGCTACAGGATCAATTCCCCAATCACACTCAATTGCATTCATTCACTACACACCTATTAATGAGGACTCATGACTGCACCTCTACCAGCCATTGCTCCACAAGGTAAAATCACCATCGAGACAAACCAGAAGGAGGACTGGAAAAAAAAACAAACAATAATGGCCTCTAAAGTTGTGGCAGTACTGCGAAAAGGAGTCTCCTTCCAGGGTGGACAGCAGGCCCTGATCAGAGGAGCAGGCTAAGGGTGCAGTGCGCTCAGGTATGGATACCACCGCCCCTCATCACCCACAACCAGCCACACTCAGGGCTGGTGGATCTGAGGCCTGGAGCCAGTTAGGGAGCTGCCCAGCCACAGTCCATCAGAGCCAGCTGAGAACCTGGCAGGATCCCCTCTCCTGCCTCCTGCCACATGCAGTTCAAGTAAGAGCAGGGGGGGAAGGGAGGAAACCCAGCAGGAAGGGACCGTCCCCCCAGCCCAGGCCTGCTTCTCCACCAGCTGCACAGGGGCGGCCATATGTACTTCTATTTGCACTCAGCCATCCAGGGAGCCCAGAGCCAGGCACTCACCAGTCCAGGCACACTCATCCAGGACTCACACGCAGCATCTCCTTATTTTTAAATCATACACTCGACTTTTATTTGAAATAAAATAAGATGTTGTTTAGTGGCTGCTATGGACTAAATTGTGACCCTCCCCTCCATATTCATAGATTGAAGCCCTAAAACCCAATGTGGTGACTATATTTGAAGATAGGGCCTTTAGGGAGGTATTAAATTAAAATGAGGTAATTGAGTGGGCCCTAATCCAATGTGGCTGCATTCCTCTTCTCCTCCTAAGAGGAAATCAGGAGACACAGAGAGACACCAAGGGTGTGCGCACAGAGGGAAGACCATGTGAGGACACAGGGAGAAGATGGCCATCGGTAAGTCAAGGAGAGAGGCCTCAGATGGAACCAGCCCTGACAACACCTTGATCTTGGACTCTGCAGCCTCCAGAACTGTGAGGAAATACATTTCTCTTGTTGCAGCCACCCAGTCTCTGTTACACAGCCTAAGCTGACCACACCAGCCCCGGGCTGCCTCCCTCCAGACTTCTGCCCATGAGACAGACAACTTCTATTTTGTTTAAGCCACCATTTTCCAGGTCAGTTACTAGCAGCCAAACCAGATTCTAACTGACGTGCTGTCCCAACGGGCCACTTTACTCCAGACAGGCTCTCTCAGCTCTGTCTTCCTCAGCGAGTGGGGTCAGAGCCTGCCTTCCCATGGCTGCTCTCCCTGACTTGTGGCTCTGCTCCTCGGGCTCTTCCAGGAAAGGCCAGTGGGAAACTGCAAAGCTCCCTGCAGCCTGCAGCTGTGTGTGCTGAGTCCCTCACCCTGTCAGAGGTCCCCTCCATGGGTCACTTCATGTCACTATACTAGACATAGCTGGGCCCAGTTCCCTAATCATCTGAGAGCCAGGCTGCAGATGCTGGACTCCTTGCAGCGGATCTGCCCTCTCCCTCATAGACCACCAGATGCCCACAGCACAGCAGATCGCATGTCCTCACCAGCACAGAGGTGGGCCCTGGTGGGCTCAGGGACCTTTCCTCTCCCGGCCACACCTGGGCTCTATATCTTGGCATGTGGCTTCTGAGCCTGGGCTGTTCCATCAGGGAGAACCAAGAAGACCAGTGTGTCCAGGAGCCACATGTTGGCCACCACCTCCATCTGCCACACAGACTTCAAACAAAGTAGGAAAAAGACAGATGTGGCAAGGCCGCTCAAGGCGGCTCACACCTTTAATCTTGGCACTTTGGGAGGCTGAGATGGGCAGATCACAGGAGGTCAGGAGTTTGAGACCAGCCTGACCAACATGGTGAAACCCCGTTTCTACTAAAAATACAAAATTAGCTGGACGTGGTGGCACATGCCCGTAATTCCAGCTACTCGGGAGGCTGAGGTAGGAGAACTGCTTGAACCCGGGAGGCGGAGGTTGCAGTGAGTTGAGATAGCGCCACTGTACTCAAGCTGGGGTGACAGAATGAGACTCTGCCTCAAAAAAAAAAAACAGATATGGCAAACAACTGGGTACCCACAAACCTCCTCACAGCCCCCGAGGACATGCCGCAGAGCCTCCCACAGACCAAGGCGACAACCAGCTCCGGCATCTTCCTCAGCAATATTGCAGCACTGGCCACAGAATGACAGGGAGGAGACTCTGGGATTCCCGGAGCTGATACAGAGCAAACTGTGACGCACAAGCCACGAAAACCAAGCAGAAGGCGGTGACTGAGGGGCCCAATGTAGTGCTCCTGGAGAGCTAAGGAGACTGAAGAACCCAGTGGGCTGTGCCAGCCACAGGGGAACAAGACGCCTCAGCATGGAGCCAGATGTGTGACATCCACGCAGGAGGGGGATGCCCCCGACACCACTTTTGACGGTCCTCAGAAGAGATGCTGGCATTCAAGGCAGGAAGGAGGCTGGGCAGGGGCTGCTCCAGGAGGCCATATGACCAACAAGTTGGGAGCTGGGAGCATTCTAGAGCCTCTGATGCTGACCACAAACACCCTGGACCTCAGTTCCACTTGCACAGGTGTCCTGGCAATGGCAGGGGGCTGACAGCACACAGGAGTCATGTCACCCCGACCAGGCAGCATGCCCTGCCCCTCGCTCCTAGAACCTGGTGCATGAAACAGCAGCAGGGCAGGGACCAAGCATCCACCTGACGCCCACCCAATCCACTTCGGCACCAAGAAGCCAAACCACTAATGAAAACAAGACTGAGAAAGAGGCTTTTCCTGCCGTCCACGTGACAGGCCTTTGTGAGATGTGGGAATCCGAGCTCCGTCCTCCATAATCACCAGCCAGCTCGACCTAGGCTCAGAGAGCGAGCTTTCTATGCTGTGACTGATCAAATTGCAATCGCGTTTTCCTTGAAGTTCTGTCTAACTCATCTGTAAAACCATCTGGGCTTGCTGTTTACTTTTTGATGAGCTTGTAAATTACTGAATCAATCTTTTTAATAATTATAGGATTTTTCAGGCTTTCTTTTTCTTTGCGGATCATCTTTGGTAACTCACACTTTTTCTGGAAATTTGGCCATTTTGTCTCTCTTCAAATATACTGGCATAAAATTATTCTCAGCATTTCCCTATTATCTATTTTTAATCCCTGCTTTATCTGCAGCCTTTCTCATCCCTCATGCTCCTTATTTGTGTCTGCTCTTTTTCTTCTTGATCAGTCTCTTTAATGCTTTTCTATTTCAAAGAACCAACTTTTGACATTTTTGTTCAGAAACAGAAAAAGCTCTGTTAAAAGAACCTTCACACCCCTTTGGAGCATTTTAGCTCAGTTATTTGTAAGCCTAAAACATCTGTGTGAGCATTTTTTAGCTGAGGAGATCTGTGGCCACGAAAGGAGGAAACAGCCATGTGGTTCCCTTGGAAGATCCCGGGCTCACCCTGGCTCTGCCACTGGTGACTCTATTATTCGCTCCGTTATCTTTCCTGGGTTATTTAAATTTTCAGAGCCCCAGTTCTCAGATTTATTAAGCAGAATAAAGTCCTTACATTCCTAACCATGATATAGAGGGCTGAAATTAATTTTAAAGAGATCTGACAACTCAGAAAGAACATCTTAGTACCTTGACCTTCTTCTCTGCCCAGACCCTGCAGGCAAGGACAGATGAAGGGCAGGGGCCCAGGGTGACCCTTTGTTCTGTTTCTTTGTTTTGCTGTGTTGAGAGGAGGGGTCATTTTAGCTCATTCAAATCCCCCCAAAGGAATCAGCCTCAGGCACACTGACAATTCAGGTAAACCTTTCCTAAGTACAGCAGAGAACTTTCCAGACAGACAGGAAGTAGTGCAATGAAACAGACAAGCCCCCATCCCCACCCCACCCTTCTCCAGAGCCTCTTGTTCTATGGGCTGCCCTGAGAAGGTGGACGGGAGGAGAGTGAGAGCTACTGTAATATTTCCCCTCATAAGAATGTTGGCAGAAGCCTCACCCCTTGAGACTGGCACCTGCCTCGGCAGGAGCAGACCAGACCCTTAAAGCCTCAAAGATTCTGCAGGGCACCCGCAGGGCTATTGACACTAAACAGTACAGGAGGGGAAGGAGAAAGCTCCTAGTGTCTGTATCTGTTGTCACCCTCTTCATGGGTTGCTGCAAAAGTTAGCAGTAAGTAGGCACAGAGCACCCAGGGATGCATCCCGGCTGGTAAAAGCCAACACTGGCATCATAAGCCAGGAAATTGAGAGGTGCTCCCCAGGGCTTAAGATGAAGCACACCCTACTACTGGTGTCAAAACATAACTTATCAAACGGGGCAAGAACGATCTGGCATTGGGGAACAGAAGCATCCAATGCGTAAACAGAGTGGAGAAGAGCGTGAAAGCCGGTGGCCTCCACCCCTGGCACTGCCAGGAGGCTCGAAGCAAGGGCACTGCTGCTGCAGCCATCTCCATCTGTTCCATCAGTTCCCATCCCAGAACAAAACTGGTTCAGCTGGGACAGGATGAGGAGTTTTAATATTGGGAGTTTGCATTTCAGAACAGCAGTACCCTGCTGTGCTCTCCTGCAAACCCAGGCATTCAGTGGGGGCCATAAAGTGCAGACCTGTCCACACTGGGAGGTGTTTTCTGAGCCTCCTGAGCCAAACTCCTATTTTGTGAACTGAGCACAATGCTCTCCCTACTCACAAAGCCACTGACCACAGTGCCTCTGAGTTATGCATTCATCCCCCAGGAAGAAACAAAAAGAAAACCACCGCCAAACTCCCCAGTGTGTCTGCTCCCCTGCCTCCACGCACTTACCTGTGCACTGACCCTCAAAACGTGTTCATGATGTCTCTTTCCTGCTAGGCTCAGGAGCTCCCCTCTGTGAGCACAGAACCACAGGAGCCAGCCCTGCCCCACTCTCTACCGGTCAAGCCATCTCCTTCCAGCTGAGGTCACAGGACATGAAATGATTTCCCTCAAACACCGTGCATGGGAGCGTAAGGCTCGGAGTCTGCCCACAGGCCTCCCCTCAACTTGACCTCACTCAGCCCCCATCTTCTGGTCCCTCTGGACGTGCCCGGCATTCCACCGCCTCCTACCAGTGATGCCCACATCGGCTCCCAGGACCAGGGTGCATTGACCCAGAATCCCTCTCAGGACTGGGTTGTGTCCCCTCTAGATCCCATCCCGAAACCAAGGTGTGTCCCCCAGATCCCCTCTTAGGACCAGGGTACATCCATCCACCCAGAAGCCCTCCCAGACTGGGGTGTGTCCACACCCAGATCCTCTCCCAGGACCAGGTGTGTCTCCCTGGATCCCCCCACAGAATCAGGTCACATCCCCCCATATCCCCTCTCAGAACCTCAGTGCATCCCCCAATCCACTCCCATCACCCGTTGTGTTGCCTGGACAGTTCAAGTGGCTGGAGAAGGCTCTGGGAACAGGTGCTGAATGGAAATGTGTCATGAATGAAATTAAAACATGAAAGGCAGATGCTCACGACTAGCCACATGGTAAGGCTCCCTCACCTGTCATTCAGGAGACTGGCGTTTCATGCTGACACACATGAGGCCTGGGCAGGGCTGCCATGGCCACCTCTAGGCTCTCTGGATGGCCAGGCAGTCTCCAGGCAGATGCTGAGGGGCAAAGTGCCTGTGTAGCTGAGAGACCCAAGAGCTGGCAGGGCCCTACTGGGCCCCAAGTGCTCCCCTCTGCCATCCCAAAGAGACAAGGCTCCCTGCACTGACATCAGACAGCAGGTAGCCAGGAGGAACCTGGGTGCTGATTACCAGCCCATCTAGGCAGACAGTTATTGTGAGATACAACCCTGTAGGCTCAAAGGGAATCGACAGAAAAAATACAGCAAAAGTCAGGACAGCTGAGGTCTGAGGATATACTTGGTAAAGTCAGGGAAGGCACGTCCTCAATCAGCGCTCATGTGTCAAAACATCAGCTCAGCTATGAAGCAACAGAGGAAATCATGAAAGAAAATGATCCTTCCATTTGAAAATATAAGAGATTGAATTTTACACAAGGAAAAGCAAAGCTGGAGGAACAGACCTGGGGAAACGTGGGGATGAGGCATCAGTGTCTCTGTTATACAGTGAGAAGTTCACCCGACTGCCAGGAAAGTCAGAATGTAACGGGACGGAGGGTTGAAGCGTACTAATCACAAAGAAATACAGAAGGTGAACAAGCATGAAGGAGTCGCCGTCAGCCTTAGTAAACGGAAAGGGGCAGGGGAAACAGGAGGTGACAAGTCCTCACAGAGAGAGAGGGAGGCAGGGAGGGAGAAAGTTGGAAACCAATAGGCAGAAGGAGAGGGAGAACGGGAGAAAGACAGGGACTGCAGAGCAGCTCATCAGAACCCCAACCCCCCTGGGCCCCACCCTAGGGGCTTTCCCACCTACAGGGCTGGGTGAGGCCTGGTAATCTGCATTCCTAACAGGCTCCCCACTGCTGCTGATGCAGTGGTTGGCCTGGGCTGCTATAGAGAGCAGAGTATAAGCAGACATCATTTATAAAGATGTAAAAGAGCACAAGTTTGGGAAAATACCTCAGAAACTTGGGAAAGAAATGACATATTTACACTGCTAAAAATGTTACTCAGTGAATACTTCATGTGCGTGAAGAAAAAACTCTTTTAGAACGTGGTATCTAAATGTCAGACACTGAGAACACTGCAGAACATGCATTAAGGGGAAGAATAAGCAGATGTTTTAAATCACACTTATCACACCAGTAGCTATGTCTGTGCAAAATGATAAGCAAAAAGACAGAAAATAAAATTATATATACACCACAATGACAATCACGTGGGGAAAAATAAACATAAAGACAAAATCTGAACACTAAATAGCATTTGGCTGGGTTAACTGGATTGGGTGACATTTTGAAAATGTCCTCCTTAAGAACATCCACTCTGCAGTTAGAACTTGGACACATTTCTGAGCCTCCCTGAGTGTGGACTGCCTCCTCCATAGGGCTGAGGAAAAAATTCCTTGCTTACAGAGCTGCTATAAAACCCAGTGAAATGCTGCACATCAAGCAGCAAAGGCTAGACTAGACAATACTGGGAGGAAAGAGAGTCCTTAGGAAAGGCAGCAAGTGTCAGAAAATAAATGAAAAAAGACCAACACAGAAGTAGGAAAGGAAGGTATGGAAAAGGAAATGGGAGGGAGACAAAAGAGGAAAAGAAAAGGAAATGCACACAAGCAGGGCCCACAAAAAGAGCCTTTGCCTTCTCCACTACAGAGGATGTAGTTAAGGGGAGAACAGGGCTTCCAAAGATTCATTTCTGGGATCTTATGGTGGTAACAAAATAAGGCTATATGCCTCCCAGAAAGCACAAAGGAGATATCTCTCCTTGTGTGACTGACTCTGGTCTAAGAGAAAATGCTCAGGGTTCAGCCTTGAAAGATGCTCAATTTATACACACACCGACACATTCATGCACACACATAGACAACACATCAACACATGCGCATACACACATATACACATATCCCTGCATATCACAGACATACACACACAGACATACAGGCATGCCCACGCAAACACATCTACCTGATTACAAAGCCACACACACATGCAACCACACAGACGTACAGATAGGCACATACATGGACACATACACACGAGCACAGGCATTCACAGACACACATGCACACATGTACAGAGGCAAAGGCAAATATGCACATATCCACACATGCATCTCCACAGGGATGCACATGTACATATACACAGACACATACCACTGCCCACATAACATCCACATGGACACGCCCTCCTACGTGTTCACATAGACGGCAATGCACACACCACCTAAACATACATATGTGATCTATTTCCTACTTTTATTGTATATCCTACTTTTATTGTAACTATTAGGGATCATAATGTCGACACATGAAATGTGTTTGTGAGTTTTTACATTTATATTTGGTATAATACCTTATATTCACATCGTTGAGAAAGAGATCCTATATGTCAGCTACAGGCCTGAGACATGAGCAGTTTGGTGTCACAGAGGCCTGTAAGCCCCAAGGCTAGGGGAAGAATCTAGATCCTTCCAGTGAAGGCACCTGGAATGTGCCAGGCTTATCCCAAGGGCTCCCAGATGGTCCTTCCTAAGCCCACATGCTGGGCACAGGCCCCGCGCAGCAGACAGAGAGCACAGAAGATGGGTCATAGAGGGCGGTGGGAACCTAGGCATGGCTCCTTCCAAGCCACTGCTCTTTCCCTCGCGGCTGTTTCATCCTGAAAATGGGGTGATGCCGGCCACTGGAGGAACCCCAAGGGCTGTGGGTGCTGTATCATGACCACTGTGACCCCTCTACAACTCCCAGCAAAAGGGCATCTCTGCCTTCCAGAAGTGCCAGCGTGCTCTGGGGTCGGCCACACTGAGCCAAGGGCAGAGCTGGTGGAAGCCTCAGGCCAGTGGATCAGGGCCACCTGCACGGTCACATTCATCCGAGGCCCAGCCAGGACCTGCCTCGTCCTCCCTGGGCAGCTGACCTATTCCAGCTGCAACCGGAAGTCCGTGCGCCCAAATGCTGTCCCCAAAGCAGCCCCATCCCAACACTATCCCATGGGCAGCAAACTCAGCCTGCCTGTCCATTTGCTAACTATAAAACCTCAGGGCATCTCCTCCACAGCCTCAAATACCAACATGTACCAATGGGAATTGTGGCCCATGTCACCACGGGGTAAACTGAGGCTCAGGAAGCCAGCTTCTTCCACCTCCCCAGCCCCACAGCCAACCCCTCTAGGCTGACTGGCCCAAGCCACTGACCTGCTTCTCGTTCTCATCCTCCAGCCTCAGTCGGTCCTCAATGCAGCTCCGGGCCTGCAGGAACGCCTTCCTCTGTGAACGCTCAGTCAGAATCCGCACAAAGACCCCATACATGTTCACACCGACGAAGAGCAAGGCATTGGCACCGAGCTGCAGGGAGAGAAGGAGGCAACATGTGGAGCCTGACATCCCACACACACAAAGAGGGCCTAGGCCGCCCGGAGAGCATAGCAAGAGCTCTCCAAAAGCCACGCCGCCCGGGCCAAACCCACAGCGCAGGGCCAGGGACACAGGGAGTCAGCCGGGCAGGAGCTCGTCCTCACCCTGTCCGGGCGGCTGTGAGACAGCATGTCAGGGGATGAGGAGTAACCAGGCCTAGTGTCAAGGCCAAACTGTGTCCCCCAAAATGCATAAAGCCCTAACCCCCAGGACCTCGGGATGTGACTAATTGAAAACAGGGTCTTTACAGAGGCAATTAAGTTAAAATGAGGCCATCGGGGTGGGCACTAATCCAATCTGCCTGGTGTCCTTATAAGAAGGGAGATGAGGACACAGACACAGCCAGCGGGAAGACTCTGTGAGGGCACAGAGGGAAGGCGGCTGTCTGTAGCCCAGGAACGAGGTCTCAGGAGAGCCCAGCCCTGCCCACAGCTTGATATTGGACTTCTGGCCTCCAGACTGTGAGATTCTCCATTTCTGTTGTTTAAGGTGCCCAGTCTGTGGTGCTTTGTTATAGCAGCTTCAGAAAACCAAGACCCCTGGAGAATACATATGTGTAGAGTGGCTGTTCCCACAAAGCCTGCACAAACTCCTCTGGAAAGATTCAGGAAAGGTGAGTTCACAAAAAAAAAAAAACAAAAAACGAAAACAGCCCAGATGTTGATTTGGGGACACAGTGAGCACCAGCACAAGATGGGGAAACGCAGTGTCCAGAGCCCGGTCTCTGCACTCTCCCTTAGTCCTGTCCCCACTTCAGCTTCAACAGATGAGACACAAAGAAGGGGCCAGCCTGAGAAGGAGCCAGCACTAGCAGTGCACCCACACTCCAGGCTCAGAACCAGGCTCAGACCCAGGCATCAGGCACCTGGGGCCAGCCTGACCCAGGGTTCCCCTCCACAATCACTTCCCACTCCCCACTGCCTGCTGCCGGTCTCCTCATCTGATCTGTCTCTACGTCTTGCAGACCACTGGGTCTGGACACAGGCAACTCTGACGAGCCATGCAGGGCCATGGCATGTCCTGCCAGAGGCCCTGAAGAGGGGCTGCAGTTTGTAAGTATTGTATGAAACGGGTGTCCCTTGGTCACTCGCAAAATTGGAGAATTTCTATGTCTGATTAAGCCCAGGCATTTCTACCTGTCTCCCAGGGAGCAGAAACCTGCAGGCTCCGGCTGTCACTGCTCCACACAGATTAACCACAAACACCCCCACATGTGAATGTGTGCTGCACACTATGAAACAGAACTAAAATCAAAAACAAACTCACACAGTAGTGTGGGGAGCAGCTGCCACCTGACGGGGACCAAGCGAGTCCAGGAGGTAGACCCATGAGACGGGACAGATGGGTGTCACCCTGATCGGGCCAAGCTACAGGCAGCAGGATGGGGCCCCCAGACGGCTCTAGGAGGGAGACCTGGCAGCTCCTGGCCACCTACTGGATGCTGGGGCTGAGGAGCAGGTAGGAGAGCTGAGACTGACCAGGGGCAGGGGCCACAGGGAGGGGAGAGGACAGATTTGGAGCACCTTCAAACCTGAGGTGTATGACATAGCCTCAAAGGCACATCCATCAGGAGGCTGGAAAACAAACCTAGGACCAACGGTCACATGCAATCTGGAAACAACATCAGAGCCACTCTCAAAGAGGTGACAGGGAGGGAGGACAAGGAACACGAATCTGCAGGGCTCCAGCTGACAGCCATCCTCTGCCTGACACCTCCATGGGGGACCTGACCCTCGCCCAGCACAGCTCCCCACACACATCAGACACACCCCCACCTGACCCTGTGGGGCTGACGACGTTAAACACCACACACTGGCAAAGGCACAGGCAGGAGGTTGCCCCTGCTGGACAGCACCACCCTGACCACACCCTCTGCAGGCCAGACGGGATGGCTGTCACCTGTGAGGGGTCAGAGAAGGCAGCAAGACATCCAATAGGATGGTCTCTCCCAGACCCTGAGCATCAAGAAGGTGACCTTGAAATCTCCACTATGACCCTGAAGATCTCCATGGGACCTGAACACGGCCATTTAGCTTCCCTCTCGGTGCATTTGACAGAGCTGTCATCATGGTGTGGATACCACTCAGATCCGGCTTTTTCCACAAACAAAACGCAGAGCATGTTAGGGTGTGTTCAGCGCTCAGAATCACCAAACACCATGGATGTCTGGAAAGGGTCAGGGCCAGAGCAGGGAGCTGGAAGACCCAGGGGCCATCGGACACATGGGGCACTGGAGCTGCCAGAGCTAAGCCAGCAAGGCCTGCGGAGGAGCCTGCACAGGAGGCCACCACCCACTTTCTAAAGGAAGTGAATGGCAGGTGGACCCCAGCCCTTAAAACAAAAACGACAATTAGGAAGAACAAAACCTTCCTTGGAGATTTTCCACATGTTAGCTTCCTTTCTCCCCTGGTTTCCTCCTGGAACACAATGGGCTTAGATTACAGGTTTATGACAAGGAGTCCATGGGGGGGTGGGGACATAGCACAGCTGGCGGGTCAGTTGTCAAGATGACCGACCCTCCCCGTTTGCATCAGAGCTGTTCCGTGTGGGCTAGCAGCCCGTGGAGGCTGGGGGGATTGGCGGCCGGTCCCCCTCATCTCTGCACTATATGGAGGTGCCCCTGCAAGCCCTCCCAGGGCCCAAGGAACCCTTTCTCAGAGGGAACCAGCCACTCCTCTCTTTTCGTTAGCTTGCCTCCCCATTTCTGTTAACTACAATCTGTCCTCACGAGAATGGGAACCATCACTACCTGCCCTTGGGATATCTGAAGGGCACTGTCACCAGTGAAACCAACACTCCCACTGGAAGCTTCAGACCCCCGTGGCCCTGGAAAGGAAAAGCGCCATCAAACAACCCACTCCTCTAGGAGCTGGGCACTGCCTCCCTTCAAAAAAAAAACCCACGGTGGAGGGTGGTTGAGAAGAGACTGCTGCAGAAAGGACACTTCAGTAGGGCTGGGTGTCATCTGCCAAGTGCCCCACACCTGCCCATGAGCACAGGGCTCACCCGCCGAGACACCCACGCCCCCGCATTTTCCCAGATGAGCATCCTCAACCACCAAATGCATCCACTGTGTTGGAATTGAGAGTTCCAAACCTGTCCCCAAGGTCTGGAACTCTCGATTCTCTCCATGAAGCTCTCTGAACTCACGGCTAGAGGGGCATTTAGATCCAAAAGATGCATGTCACAGGGGCAAGGCAATTGTAATGTGGCTTAGCACATGTCACAATGACAAGAAAGGCAGGCTCGGGTCACCACGAGCTACTCAGAGATGAGGGCTGCAGGGGCCTGGGGGACAGGCGGCCTCCCCACCACAGCCCGCTGGCCACTCCTGGAGCAGGAGACCCAACCCCGGCCCGGCCCGGGCCATCTGCACACCACCACCACACTCCCTGACCACAAGGTGGCCCAGAGCCACATGCTGCCCACACCAGCCAGGCCCTGGGTGGCACCAGGCTGCTGGTCTCCCAGTATGGACACCCTCTCGGGCCCTCATCCCAGCAAGGGCTGTGCTGGGCTGCGAGCGAGGACAGGAGTCCAGGTGTCCTCACCAGGGTCAGACCCTGCCATAGCCCTGCCTTCTGCCTGCACCATCACTGTGGCTCAGTCTCTCCATCCACCAGATGGGCAGATTGGTGACAACTGTAGTACCTCCCAAATGAGCTTATCAAAGAGACCTAAGGAGAAACCCAACAAAGGACACTGCGTGGGACACAGGTTAGACTCTGAGGCATCAGGGTGAGCCTGGAGCACCATGCAGTGCCAGAAAGTAAGGAAAGTGTTACACACACACATACACACACACACACACACACACACATACACGCAATGATGGGGGTGTGTCAAAGGATACAGCAGCCAACTGAAAGAGCCCCCAATGGCCAAAGAGCCAGCACCTGGAAACACCCTGAAGAAATCTTCATGGGCCAGATTAACTCAGCCAGACAGCCGGGAAGAGAAGGGCTTCCCAGGGAGTCTGCTAGACTGAGCACCAGCATGCTCGGAAAAGGCAGCCAGGAGGAGCAGGACCTGTCCGCAGGCCCTGGGGCATCTCTACTTGACTGTGCACCACCTGAAAACATCACCAGGGCCAGCCCCTCACTATGGGAGGCAGGTTAGACTCTGAGGCACCAGGATGAACTCGTGTTTGACTTAATTCACAGATGGGTACATATGCAAACGTTTATAGAAATGTGTGTGCACATATATGTTCTAGCTCTGCCTAATGAGAGAAAACTAGAAGCAATGGCTCCCCAGGAGCAACGAGGACATGAGGAGGCCAGGTAATGGTCTTTAATAAAATTCTCCAATAAAAGGAACTGGGGCTCCCTGGAGAAATGACTGATTCTTGGGCTCAGGCAGAGAAAATATTTGCTAATCAAGCAGATGGGCCTGGAGCACCTTGCAGGGCCAGAAAGTAAAGCAAGTGTCACACACACACGCACACACACAAATGATGGGGAGGGGGTGTATCAAAGGACACAGGAGCCAACTGAAAGAGCTCCCAATGGCCAAAGTTGGAACAATTTGAGCAACACAAAGCAGTATTGAATTGTAACCCAAAGTATAAAATAAACATCAGTACTAATATAAATCAATGATTAAATAAAAAATAAATGAAGGATAACAGATGAATAGGCAAAAATTTGGATCATTCCAAATCATTTATAGCTACTCCGCCTTCAAGAAGGTAAACTCCCCACTCCTTCAGTATGGGCTCAGCACAGTAACTTCCTTTGGAAAAGCACAAAATGGAAAAGGAAAAGTAAAGAGAAAACCTTTACGGAGGAGAAACCTGCCAATACCACCTTAGCCAGCTGGTAACTGCCAGCACTGGCCATGATGAGTCCTGTTGACAGAAGTGCCCTGACACAATGCAGTGAGGGCATGTCCTCTGAGGCCTCCTGCTGAAAACCAACACCCCAGTCTAACCATGAGAAAATCATCAGACACTGGAGGGTCACTGGACTAGCATCCCTCATGCTAGACACCACTCGTGGTCACTAGACTAGCACCCTGGAGGAGCCCTGGGCCCCTCCCCCAACCCAAGACGTCCCATAGTCCTTGGAGAAAGTATCCCAATTTGACATCATCATCCCACATCCCCAGGTACCTGTCCTTCCTCCCCTCCAGAGACAGGTGCCACTGCCCAAGCCAAACCTGCAAGTCCTCTGACGTTCTCTCTCTGTCCTTCTCAAGCCTTCATCAGGCCCTGCCCCTGACAGCCCTATGCCACCAACTTCTCTCTAACCCCACCGCCTGACACAACCCACAATCAGGCTGTAGTCAAAGTCCCCGTGAGGCAGACCCTCCCATCATCCCAGATTCTGGATGGAGCGCCACCTCCCTGGCACACAAGAGACCCGCTGAGCCCTGGACTCACCTCTGACCTGTCTGCCATGCCATGCACATACATGGAAGCACACGCCCTGGCCATGCCACAGCTCTGGGCAGAGCATGCTCTCAGACCCACAACCCTCACTGCCACCTTGGCCCAGAGGGGTTTCCCTCCTTTTACAGAGCAGCCTCCTGATCCCTGGACTGGTCTGGGTGGTCCCTTCTCACCCCAGGATCACTCCTATTGGGTATGAAAACCTCTCTATTGAATTTGCTCCCATTTTCAACATGACATCACCCGGGCTGCCCCAGCACAGTCTCTCAGCCTGGGTGGCATTCAGACTATCCATGGGGACAGGAGAACCACTGCAGGACAGTCCTCCAAACCAGCCTCTCCTGAGCAGAGCAAGAGTGCAGGCACAGGTCGGGGGGCCTGCTGGAGGGAGTGCTTTCTCATATGAACCAACAGCACTTGGGCCACAGGCCAGCAAAGGAGCTGACTCCACACAACTGCTCCCTGCACAGCACTGGGCATGTTCTCATTGGTAAATTCCCAGACTGCGATCAGCCTGCCACCTCCCAGGTGTCTGGATGGTGGAGTGGTCCCTCTGTCCCCCTCCCTGACTGAGCCCCCAGTGGACACCACTCAGTCCCTCCATGGTGCTCACCAGCGGCTGAGTGCTGGTGTGACATCATTCTCTTTAAACCATGGCTGCTTCTTCAGTGTCTCACACAAGTGGGTTTTTAAATTAACGTAATTGCTTGTTAGCTTCTGGTGTTTGAATTAATAAAAGCGTTTTAGAATTAGCATCATTTGAAACAGGGCCGGCAGAATGCTGATAATTGTTGGAGCCAGTGATGGGTACTCAAGAAATCACTGTGCTGGTCTCTCTACTTTTGTGTATATTTGAATTTTCCATAATAAAAATAAAATAACACAATTTTTTAAAAAATAATTTGACAGGCTCTCCCTGAGCTCCCGTCATCAGGTTTCTAATGCGTGAAGCTATGTTCAACAGACCTGGGAAAGGATTCTCACGGGGACCTGGAGAAGCAGCCGTCTTTGGTGCTTCCTGTGTAACCACTGGCACCTCAGTTCCAAGGGGGTGTTAGGGCCGCATGCAGCCTGTTCCTCCATGGTGCCCCTCTCCAAGACAGCCCAGCCTCTCCTCCCAGGTCATGCACACTCGCGAGGTCAGCTTAGGAGGGAGAAAGGAAAAAGCACTGGTAGAATCTGACATAAGGACACCAGCAGGAAAGTGAGGAACACAAGGCAGGGAAGTCAGGAAGACAGATGCAAGCCCCCAGGTGGTAGAGCACCCTGGGGACAGCTCCCATCAAAGACAGTCCGCTCCCCACGTGTCTCAACACATCCCTGCCCAGAAGATCAATGAATGACACGGTGACCATCTGAACCTCCCAGAGAGGGTAACACCAGAACCTCAGAACAGCGCCACTTCCAGCTTGTCCACCCCCACCCACCCACAGCACCTGTGACACCAGCCAAAAGGAGTCACACCATCAGCTGAGCTCTCAGGCACTGCCCATTTCTGACCCTTGAACAAACTGAAGCCAAGGTGCTTGGCATAAAAGATGTGCCCACCTGGGCCAGGTGTGGTGGCTCACACTGTAATCCCAGCACTTTGGGAGGCCGAGGTGGGTGGATCACCTGAGGTCAGGAGTTCAAGACCAGCCTGACCAACATGGAGAAACCCCATCTCTACTAAAAATACAAAATTAGCCGGGCGTGGTGGTACATGCCTGCAATCCCAACTACTCAGGAGGCTAGGCCAAGGAAGGAGAATCACTTGAACCCAGGAGGCAGAGGATGCAGTGAGATGAGATCGCGCCATTGCACTGCAGCCTGAGTAACAAGAGCGAAACTTCATCTCAAAAAAAAAAAAAAAAAAAAAGATGTACCCACCCAATGGGACCCTGCCAGTGACGAGATCCCACCCAGCACCAGGACATGGTCAGTGCTCATGAAACATCTGTGATGTCTGCAAGTACAGATTTTTAAAAATTAACTATCAGAGATATTTCAAAATCTTTAGGCTAAGCCAATGTTTCCTAAACTGTGTTCCCTCAGTTAATCACTGACACTGCAGGGCAGGTAGGGTTTGAGAAAACAGCTGTCACAGAAAACAAGTTCAACGAACAAGTATTTAAGATCCCTTTTTGAGGCCACGGTTGTTTCAGAAAGGCAATGCATTCTCTTAAGAAGAGGCTATTCCTCTCATAGGGGAATGAAGGCAAAGGCACTCATGACTTCTGGGAGCATTGCCACTGAGCATGGCTCCAGCACAGGCTCGCTGCACTGGCTGGCACATGGTGCACACCGAGGTGACCAACCAGAATGCTCACTGCCACATGCTCCCTGGGGAACAGAATGTTCCAGAACAGGCTGCCCTGACTCCCGGCACAGGCCTGCAACTGCCTGGCATCTCCTGAACTTTCCACCATACTCCTAAGCAGACTCGCCCTCATCAGCTGCATGCTTACCACAATAATGCTGCTTCCAGAGACTGGACAGTAGAGCTGAGAAAACCCACAGGTGCCCCCACAGGCTGGGAGAGAAGCCCTCCTGGAGTGTAACCAGGTGATGCTTCACATGGAAAGCCTAGATGCTGGCCACAGGCTGGGACCTCTAGACCTGGCTCTAGACTGTGTGGTAGGTGGGGGGCACAGGGAGCATAGAATGCAGTATTAAACAGGTTTATCGAGAAAGCACTGAGCCCAGTTGTCAGGGAAGGGCGCTAGAAGGACCATGTCCAGGGACAGGAGGTCAAGTGAGTCCTTAGGGCTAGTGGGCAAGAGCCAGCCAGAGAACCACAGTTAAAGACATACAGCAGGGGGCAGCGGGGGGCTCTGTCCCAGGCATGGCCCTGCTGTGAAGGGGCCATCCTCTTTGTCCACAGTGGGTGCCTGACATCTCCACACTCGGACATGTGATGCCTTGGGCCCCACGCCACCTGTTGTGTAAACAACAATTCCCCATCCATCGGAAGCATCGATGCTCCCAGGAAGTGGGGGCCACCAGAGCCAGGGTGTGCCACACGCAGCAGGACGGCAATCAGGCGAACCATGTCAGTAAGAAAAGGGCACTCAGGGCCTGGCATGGTGGCTCACATCTGTAATCCCAGCACTCTGGGAGGCCAAGGTGAGGTATCACCTAAGCATAGGAATTCAAGACCAGCCTGGGAAACATACTGACACTCCATCTCTACAAAAAATAAAATTAGCCAGGCATGATGGTGCACTCCTGTAGCTCTACCTACTCTGGAAGCTGACACAGGAAGATCACTTGAGCCCAGGAGTTCAAGGCTGCAGTGAACCATGATAATGCCACTGCACTCCAGCCTTGGCTACAGAAAGAGACTTTGTCTGAAAAAAAAAAAAAAAAAAAAAAAAAAAACAGGGCACAGTGGCTCATGCCTGTAATGTCAACACTTTGGGAGGCCAAGGCAGGTGGATCACCTGAGGTCAGGAGTTCGAGACCAGCCTGACGAACATGGAGAAACCCCATCTCTACTAAAAATACAAAATTAGCCAGGCGTGGTGGTGCATGCCTGTAATCCCAGCTACTCAGGAGGCTGAGGCAGGAGAATCGCTTGAACCTGGGACTCGGAGGTTGTGGTGAGCCGAGACAGCGCCACTGCACTCCGGCCTGGGCAACAAGAGCGAAACTCCATCTCAAAAAAAAAGAAGGGGGAAAAGAACACCAGGTGGCCAAGCACCAGGAAGCCAGGCCAGCCAAGCACCATGCATCTGCATTTTCTCAGGCTGAGCCACTTCCCAAAGGCTGAAGAGTCTACTTCAGAGAAGAGTCTACTTGGGAGAAGGAAACAAGGAAACACTGTACTCTGATAAAAGAGCTGCTCTGTATTTTTAGAATCAAAACAAAAAGTTGTGCTCAGATTCAGAATGTGCTACCAGCATGGACTTTCTCCTCTGCAGGGCTCAGAGGCTGTAGTGCAGGGCTCCCAGCACTTCTGGGGACCCCACCACACTGCTGGCAGCATCCTGTCCACCTGCTCCCAGGTTCCTCTAAATGTTACCAATGCTCTTGCACTTGTATGCACACACAAGCATACACGCATGGAAACACATGCACATGTAAGAACACACATGCATGCACACATGCACATGGGCATGCACCGACATACAAACATGCACATCCACACACGATGTGTACAGTCACACGTATCCACACGCACATGTGTGCACACAGGCACATGCCCATACAGAGGCCCCACCCAGAGAGCTATGTTCAGGCTCTACGAAGTCACACCCGAGCTCTGGGAAGCAGACAGCTCTTCTCAGCTCCAGGCTTTCTTCCCAACCCAAACTGAAGGCAGAGCGAACACTAAAGCCTGGAGATCAAAGCAGTTCCTGCCATCCCTTTAATCCAGGGAGATGGGATTGTTCCAGGGACTGTGCTGCCTTCAGCACAAAGCCAGAGCTAGGCTGCTGCGGTGGGCTCCTATTCTCCTTGCCCTGCCCCCAGGGATTCCCCCACACCTCATACATCCTTCCTGGGGCTGGCATCTCTGCACGGCAGAGGGAAACACACATGGGGTAGGAGGACAGATGGGACCCCCTTAGCAAAATACTGCAGAAGACACCCCATGCTCCACTGAGAGAAGAGCCCAGATCAGCCTGAAGAGGGCACAGGGAGCTGAAGGGTTAAAGGGGACAGAGGAGAAACACTGGGAGGGAGAACAGGAAGACTGGGCAGTGGAGGCAGGCCTCCCACCCCATCCCCCACCACCCCCCACCCCCCGCCAGGTGCCTGCCCTGGCCTGCACTAGAGAGGGGCACAGCCGAGTGGCAGACAGCCCCACTCCCTTCCCTAAGGAAGGCTTTAGAGTCCTAGCCCGGTCCCTGCCTCCACAGCTCCCAAGTCCCATGTGGACATGCCTGCCCTCCCACTAGCCCTCACTACACTTCCATGATGCAGGTAAGGCTGGCAGCCTGGCTTCCCTTCACAAGCCAGATTCTGAGATTGCCAAGGTCACGGAGCTGGAGGTGCAGGAACTGGGCTTCAACCCAGGTCTCTGTGGTGGTGCTGCTGAGACACAGGGCACAGGCTGCCCTCCCTCAGAGACCAGGATGGCACATCTACTCAAAAGACCCACATATTAGTAACAGTGAAGTGAGTGTAGGTGAGCATGAACATGTAAGTGTGCATTAGTTTACGAGTGTGCATCAGTGTGCAAATGTGCATTGCTTTGTGAGTGTGTGAATCTATAAGTGGGTGAGCATGCATGTATTTGTGAGTGTACTGTGTGAGTGTGTGAGCTAGTGTGTAGGTACAAAATGAGTGTGAGGGCGCATGTGAATGTGTAAGTGCATGCACGCAAGTGGGTATGGATGTGTGAGTATGCACTGGTTTATGAGTGTGTGTTTCTGTGTGATTATGTGCATGCATGTTTGGGGGGAGAATGAGTGTGAGTGTATGCATCTGGGAGGATTTTTGTGTGGGTATGTGCATGTATGTGTGTGTGTTTATGTGTGTGTATGAGCATGTGTTTATGCATGAGCATGTGTGTTTGTGTATGTTCATGCAAAGAGGAAGGATGGATATAACTCATATGCTCAAATGGAGAGCAGGAAAGGTCTCTTCCTATTACCTTGCTCAGCCCCTCAGGGTAAAGGGAGGAGCCTGTGGTCGTGTGAACTCCACAAGGGGGTTATGTGGACATGGATAGGTGGTCAGGCTGCTTCTCCTGCCCAAACCATTGCCCCTGCCACTTCAGCCCCCATGCTGCTTGGGGCTCAAAAACCTGGCTGAAAAGGGGTCAGCCTGGCATGATGGCCACAGGGATGCCAGCCTCCACTGCGGACACATGGCCACCTCCGACTGGGGCTGTTCCACAGGGTGTTTAGTACAGTTGTCAGAGAACACTTGGGCTAAACAGACTATGCCTGCCACCTGCATTCTGGGAGTCTCTCCCAACATTTGATCAAGACCAGCGCCTCGCTGCAGCTGTTCAGTTTTACTAAGTCACAGACTAACTAGTAGGTCATCAGCTACATACAGCTATGTATGTAAGTGACGGTAAGGGGTAGGTCCCACTTCACTGAGCCCAGAACAGTGTGGGGAGGACAGGGAACGCCTCCCAGGCACAATCCATTCATATTAACTGGAGGATGTATCTGTTCTACAAAACCACAGAAGGGAGCTACTGTTCCCTTTGGTGAGGGAGAAACTGAGGCATGGGGATCATCCCAAGCCTAAAGTCACACAGATACACTAGAGCCCCTGAAATGCCAGAAGAGTCACCCACCTCACATGCCCACCAGCTTCCGTCTGAGTCAGGAAATGGTCCAAGGACATTTCTGGGCATCTGCAGGAACCTGTGAACCTAAGGAGTTGATCCCTGGCCCTCTCAACCTCAGAGATGTGACAGGAGAGGGACATCAACCTAAAACCACCGTGAGCCCCAAAAGGGCAGGCAAACAACTCTAAAAGCCAGTGGTGACAGTGGCAAGCGGACACCACTGACCGCAGCCTGCTGAGTGGTCCCCTCAGGTCCTCACACAGCCCCCAGCACACTCCCACCTCCTGGTGGCCACACTCAGCACTGCTCTTGGGAGAAAGGGCAAGTCCACAGTGTGGTTTTGCCCCACTTGGGCCTTTGCGGGACTCGCCCCACTACTCTCGCTCGCTTGCAGCCCTGTGCTTGGTCCAGTGATCCTGGCTGAGCGCCCAGTCCACAGGGAAGCCGCCTCAAGTGGTTAGGCCTGGTCTGTCCCCTGTGCACACCTTCAAAGGTCACCTGAATGTCCTGCCCTGTGGGACTACAGTGTGAGTTATTGACCAGGGTCTCCCCAATAGACTGCAGCTTCCCAGAGGAAGGGAGGTCTTATTCTCCCGGTACCCCAGCCCCGTGCTCAAGCCTGGCACCTAAACACCGTGGGGTCATGGGAACCAGAGCAGAGAGGCAGGGAGGCCCCGGCAGCTGCAGACTCCACCCCTGTGTCTGCTCCCAGCTCTTCTCCGGTCCATGAAGGAGCTGCCCCCCGGCCCCTCAGCCCACTTTCCATCAGTGCGACCAGACTCAGCACATGTCTAGGGCTCCTTCCACAGTGCAGCCCCTGCTGGGCACATTGTGGAGGGGCAGAGAAAAGCCCCTGGGCCCACTGGACCACTTCAGAGGTGGAGTGAGTGGGAGCCCCTGGCCCGATGCCCAGGACCATTCTCCCTCTCTTTTGTCTAGACTCATTTCCTGCTCACCCTCATCCCAGCTGCCCTGACAGGGGCAATTCTGGAAGCTTTTTATGTTAAAGTTAACTGCCCTTGAGGAAGGATAAGCCTGGGGGTGAAGGGAAATGGACCAGGGGACCACCCACCCCTACGAGAAAAACAAAAATGGGGGCGAGGGGGGAAGGGGGAAGGGGGGGACGGGGCAGTTTCCAGGGGCATGGATGTCCCCTGCTGTTGCTCCCTAAACACTAAACACAGGCCTGGGGGCAATCTGGAGCTGGAGGAAGCAGCGAGGCTGCCACAGGACTGAAGCCAGAGTCAGGAGCACACTGTGGGGGGCCATGCCCAGGACAGCAGCAAAACTGACCTCAGGAAGAGTGTCCAGCCAAGGACAAGGAGACTACCTTCAGGTCGCCAGGCCACCACACAGCAGGAGGCAGGGAAGCCCACTCCCTACCTTCACACAGCCTGACCCCTGTGCCAGGAGGAGCACCCCACCTCTTACCCTCCCTGACCCGGCTCTAACCCTAGCCCTGTCGCTGTAGGCAGTGGCTCCACCAAGGCAGATGGATGCACAGCAGATGGGTACTCCATGGTGACAGGACCAGGCTGCAGGCCACGAAGATAAGCGGGCCAGTGGGAGGGGAAGTGGAGGAGGGGTCCGTGGGGGAGTAGGGGCCAGCCACAGAAGGTGGGGCCCAGCCAGGGGAAGGACCAGCAGCGGGAGGGGCTGGTGGGGGAGGAGGATCCCAGCCGGGGAGGAAGGCCCAGCCAGAGGAGGGGCCAGCAGGGGAGGTAGGGCCAGCAGAGGGAGAGGCTGGGGAAAGGGAGGCAGGGCATGGGGTTAACTGGGAGTTGACAGCATGTTGGGCAGTGGGCACAGGGCACACAAAGGCATACGGGACACAGCCTGAGGGCTGGCAGATTGGTGTCACCAGCGCACACCTAGGCCACGAGCTTTGCTATCAACAACCAGGTCATCCAGGGCCCTTGAGCCCTATGATTCTGCGTGCTGGGGTTAGGTTGTTTCACCTCCAAGCAACCAAGCCATGGTTCTGAACCAGAGCTCAGACATAACTGGGGCTGCACAGGGAAATTTCAGCTGACTCCCATTTCTCCGTGATAATCGTGATTTCTGTTATCCTGCCTACAGCTAAGAACTCGGCAGAACAGAAATGTATTTCATTTACATTGATAAGCAACGAAATTGAAAGCATATAATTTGCACACTGCAATGGATCCCTACTACTTCAGAAAAAAATTAGGTAAAAATACAATATCCTGATTCACACTGGTCAAAAAGTGGGTATTTCAAGGCTGTGCAGAGTAAAGTAGCAAAGGGAGGAAGCTCAGAGCTGGCAGAGACCAGGTCTTCCTCTTGCACACATGTGCTGCACCCTGGTTCTCCCCAGGCAATGCAGGGCACAGGGTGGGAAGCGGACTCCTGTGGGAAGGACTGGGGCCCTGCCCAGGCCCCCCTTTCCCAAGATTCCAAGCTGCTCCCTCTGAGGCTCTCTGAGTCTGTGAGTGGCATCACAAGAGGCCAAGCCCAGACATCCAGTGTCTCCCTTTCTCTGCCTTCCTAATACCCCATGGTCCTTGGCACTCACCCCTACCCCACCCCCATGATCTTCAGCCCACCCTGGCAGGCCTTGCCCCCTACTGACTGTGAGCAGCCAAGGATGTCTTGAATAGGATGCTTTCAGTTCTGACAGGTGCTCGGCTAAATAAAAATGGATTGTATGTCATATAGGTACAATTAGTGACCCAAAAGCAAGGGGCTGGGAGAGGAAAGGAACTCAGTTCTGGCCACTTAGCACATATTTATGGATACCTCCCCCTCAGTGCCGGCCCAGGTAGGAACAAGGCTGTTTCCCCTAAAGACCTCTCTGCTCAGGGACATCAGCATCAAGCACTTCTCCGGGGGAGGAGCTAAGCCCTAGCTACTCAATTCCACCTGTGCTAATAGTCATGCACACTAGCTTTCAGCGTTCTCTCCTCTGCCCCCCAGAGTCCTGGGGCAGCTTGGGCTTTACAGGAGAGGAACCAGATGCCCCAAAGCACCCAGGCTGCATTCCCAGAGCCCTGTGCACCAGAACTGGAACAATGAATGCTGCAGGGAACCCTGAGAGCCTTGCTTTGGAGGGGCAAAGGCTCTGGAAAGAAAACACAAGAACTTTCTCCATAGCTCAGAGCAGGGACTTGAACCCAGGCCTCAGAAAGCGCAGGCTTTTTCCAGGCCTCCTTAGGGCTATCCTTGATAAGAAGGCATTTGGGTCTCAGAGAAAGGGGTGGGATTCAAGGGAGGGAGCTCCTTTGCCCCATGGAGTTAACCCGACTCTGGAACTCACTGGGCTCAGCACCAGGAGATCACTGTGGAGATCTCAGACTCTGAAGCAGCATCCTGCTATGTATGCAGTGAGGGAAATCCCCTGCAAAGATTCCTTCGTTCATTCACTCCATTTTTCATCCTCTTTGGGACATCCACTCCACACCCAGCATGGCTACTACCTGCCCAAAACTCAGTATGGAGGACAAGGTGCTGTCAACGAGTGACTGCACTGCACAGTGGCACAGGTCTGAATAGAAAGTGGATGGTAAAGCAGTGAAGAGCAGCAGAAACATCAATGCTGTGTAAATGCGTGTGCTGTCTTCTTCACCATCTCAAGCACCAAACTGCAGAGCTCATTATGGACAGATTTCACAGGCTCCTGGAATTCTCTAATTGGAAAGCAGAATCCCTGGGAATCATCTGCCCTGCTCCCCCCACTGTAAGTCTCCCTGCATTGATCCCCATGTGTTTGTCAGTATCACTACCACCTGTATAGACACGTGGACTTGAATAGAACATTCTAAAAAGGCCAATATGTGCTTTTCCAATAGGAAGTGTTTACCTTCACTACAACCCTGCAGGGGGCCATTCTGCCCTTTACACAGGTGAGAAACCTGAGGCTCAGTGAGGGAAGGCTTTGGATTGCCCAGGGAGTCACAGCTAGCAGGGAAACCCAGATGTCTGCTCCCTAAGAATCCTTGCTCCCAGGATGGGCTTCCTTCCCCACTACAGTGACAGTCACAGGGGCTCATCTTATCCCAGGGGGAGAGGCAGAGTTCCCTGTGTCCAGAAACTCCTTTATAGACTCTCCCCTCTCTCTTTTTTAATCTTTAATTCTCTAAAAGAAATGACTAGAGGCTATATAGGAAATGTCTTTATTTTAAAAGAGAAAGACAATAACGCAGCCTTTTATTACACCAGCTGACTCCCTGGTGTAATAAGAGAGAATGCAGTGTGGTTGGGATCCCTGGGCCTGCCCAGGGACCAAGCTCAGCCCCTCCCTATTCCCAAGCTGCCCTGGCATCTGGTCAGATTGGGGAGGCCGTCTTGCGGTTGCGGGTCTGGCTGTGGGGGCCAGCATGAGGCCCAGGCTAAACACAGACAGATGGGGGGTGGAGGCAGTAGGAGATACAGGAATGCCCCCTGAGACTGATAAGGCAAGGCCCACGTGCTGCCCACAGGAGGCTGTGGAAGAGCCTCCTTCCCCTCCAGGACATGAAGTCCTCTGGCTCCTTTCCCCTTTCCTCAGCCTTTAGCCATCCTTTTGTGCCTCTGCCCTTCACCTCTACCTCTCTTCCTCTCTTCCTCCGACGCCCTCTTTGACAATTCTCCATGTACTCCTGCCTTCTTCCCTCCCGCCCCTGCCCACGGGTTGAGCACATGGTGGTCTCTCTCTGACCCTAAGACACAAGTCCAGTGATGTGTCTATCCCTGTGCCAGGTTGAGCATCTCATGGCTCCTCTGACTGTGTGCTGCCCCTGGCATCACAGTCTAAGGATGCCTCCTTAGATCCTTGGGTGCTGGTCCCCCGGGGCCGGGCTGTGGGACTCCTTACCACCGCCCCCCAGTTATTCTTCCCTAATCTCTCTGGATTCAGCTTCCCCTCCGACCCCTTACCTCTCCCCAGTTTGCTCCCACCACTGCTTCCTTTCGTGAGATGGGCTCCCCCACTCCATTTGAGTCATACCATCCCCCTGCTAAACTGCAGCTAGAGGCAGAAACAAAACCCTCCTCAGGGTCTTCCAAATCTCCCCACCCCCCAACTCCCCAGCCCCATCCCTGCGGCCCGTTGGAGATGGGCACAAGGGGAAGCTCTCAAAGCCCCGCCGTGGGGCAAAGACCTCTGGTCCACGTCCACCTCCGGGCAGTTGGAAGAGCAGGCTCCTCCAGGGCCCAGGAAGAGTCCGCGGGAGGCAGACAGCGTCCCCGTCCTTGCAACCATCTCGCCCGCCCGACTGGGAAGACAGTGACAAAGTTCGGGCGCAGAAAAGGCAGGGTCAGGGCAACCGCCGAGTGGCAGCGGCAGGGACTAGACTGTGTTTGACCTTGGCAAACCCCACTCTTTCTGGGCCGGAGGCATGTCCACAGAAGGGTGGCCAGCAAGGCTGGAAGAGCCGAAGTCCTTTCCCACCACCCATATACCACCCTCGGGTCCGCAGGGTTGGGAGGCGAGCCCAGCACGCGCTCTAGGTGCGCAGGGGAAGAGCCCAGCGCTGCGCGCAGAGCCGGCCTTGGAGCTTGCCCTGGGGGTCTGCTCTCCTCGCCCACTTTCAGTCCCTCTGTGGGGATGGGTGCGGCAAAAGACCGGCGGACCCCTCTGGCCGCCGTCTGGCCGCTCATCAGCTCCCTGACCTTGGCCAAACCTTTCTCTCTCCACACCTGTCTCCCCTCTCCACACTTCACGCCAGGGGCGCTTCGTGGATTGTAACTCTGAAGAGAGCCCTGGCCGGAGGGTGCCAGCCCCGACTGCGTCCCCAACTCGTAGGAGTGACCTTGAACACACCCCCACTCGGAGCCTCAGTGTCCCCACCCGCCGCATAGGAAAAAGCGCGCCCGACTCCGGGCATTCCCAGCATCGTCCCAGCAAGTGTGTCCGAGACCAGATGAGGGGTGCGCGGCTGCACTTACCGTCCTCCAGAGACGTGGGCGCTTGGCGGGGACCAAGGTGGCTGTGACCAGCAAGTGCGACGCAGCCACCACGAGCCCAAAGCCTATGGCCAGCAGGCTGCGCACGGGCAGCAAGGCATAGGACACGAAGGTGACCAAAAGGAGCTGCCAAACCCCTTGTTCGGCGGTCGCTGGCCCCCCAGCGGCCCCGGCGGAACCCCGGGCGGGGCCGCCCAGCGCGAAAGGACAGCAGAGCAGCGCGAAGGTGAGGCTGAAGAGCAGCGCCAGCTGGCCGACCTGCTGCAGCTGGGGCACCTGCAGGGACCGGACGTTGGTTACCACGAGCAGCGCCAGGAAGAGGACGCAGTGCACCGGGTGTGAGCCCTTGGCCAGGCCGGGCGCGGGCCCCGGCGCGCCCAGCAGCTCGGCCAGCGCCAGCGCGCCCGCCAGCAGGCTGAGAACGGCCAGCGCCTTCAGCGTGGCCGCCTGCTCCAGCCGCAGCGTGTAGCCGCGGAACAGCGCCTCCAGCTCTGGGCAAGCGAACTCCTCGTCGCACGCCCGGAGCCCGCGCCGGCGGCTTGTCCCGGCCGCCCGCTCGGCGCCCCCGGGCTCGCCCGCGCCGCCTCCGCCGCCGCCTCCGCCGCGCGGCGCCCCCGCCATCTCAGCGCCATGCAGCGGCCGCGGCCGCGGGCGCGCCCCTCGCCGGCCCGGGGCGCCGGGGCGCGGGCGGCGGCGCCGGGGCGGGCGGGCGGCGGGCGGCGAGGCGCCGGGGCGCGGGGCGCGGGGCGGGCGGAGTTGGGGCGCCGGCTGCCCCGCGCGCGCGCCCGGAGCGCGTCCCCTCCCGCCCGCCGCGCCTGCGCACTGGAGCCCGCCCGCGCCCCGACCGTGGTCCTCGGCGGCGACCGCGCTGCGACAGCCGAGCCCCGGGAGCCGCGAACCTGGGCGCGCACAGCCCGCGCCCCAACTCCGCGTCCTGCGTTCCCGCCCGCCGGAGGAGCCGCGTGACCTCGAGTACCTTCCTTGTCCCCTCCGAGCCTCAGTTTCCCCACCGTGCACAGTGGAACCCACCCTCTTGGCGTCACCTGGGGAGTCGAAAATACTGAAATCCTGCGAAATTCCCTGTTGCGGGGCAGTTAATCTTGGAAAATATGTGCCTTCCCCCACTCAATAAAACCAGGCCACTAGATTTGAGAGGGGCCCGCGTCTGACTGCGAACCCAGGGCCCTCGCCCCTACGAGACGGAGAATCGACGTCCAAGAATCCCCGGGGTCAGGAGGAAGGTGGAGGCCTGGGGCGTACGTCCCTTCCATGCGCATGAGGGACCCCCCGCCCCTCGGCAATTCTTCCCTAAGCTCTAGGGTCGCGGAGACCCTGTGGGCGGGTGCGGGCTGCGGGAGCTGTGCTGGGGAGGCGGCGGTGGTGAAGTCCAAGAAACAAAGTCCTGGGAGTCGGCCCGAGGGATTCCTCCTGGGTACTGAACTGAACCAGGATGGGCTCCTGGCAGTGCTGTGTCCCGGGAAGAAGGTGTGAGGCTGTAGGTGCAGAAATGGGGCAAGAGATGAAAGGAAAAGGGGCGCTGCTGTTTGCCTTAACGATTAGCTGGATACCCGAGAGAGAGCGAAACGTTTTCTTCTAGCAGGACAATTGGGAGGGAAGGACGCTGGCCCATGGGGGTTAAAACCCGCGAGTCGAATTCCACTGCTTACATTCATTCACTATGAGGGAGACAACTTTGTGCTGGTGCTTCAAGTACATGATGTCATTTGGTGCTCAGACGGCCCCTGGGCTGCCTGCATCCCCCTTACAGTGAGGATCTCTCATGATCAGCTCCCTCCAGGAGGCCTAGAGAGGAGTAGCCACTGCAAGAACCCCTGCCTCCTCCGTTATCCCGGCTGCTTCTCGTCCCCTCAATATGGATAGACCAGGAACTGGGATCCCATGAAATAATGGAGACCAGGAGGCTAGGCCCCCTGCAGAAGGCCCCACTCCCAGAAACCAGGATTTAAGGGATCTCGCCCAGGCATTGGTCTATTTTAGAAATGCCCCAGGGATTCCATTAACTCTCAGGGATTCCACGTGTTGTTATACGGAACAAAGGTTAGAATTTGAGGCATTTCCATTTTATCTGGAATTGGTATCAGGTTGAACCATACAAAATTGCCGTTTTTGTAAAAGGGCCAAAGTTGTCACATGTCAGCTCTTTCATATGCTTCAACTTAATAGTTGCAGATGATGACACCTCTAGGCTTTGTCTAGAGTAGGGGCACTTTCCCATCCCATGTCCCCAGTAGCTCACACCAAAGGCCCCCAGCAGACACTTGATGACAGCTGGTCCCTCCTCCTGGAATAGCATCCCCAACAGAACATCCTTTCTGAAACCTTTCTGGCTCCTTCTGGCACAGCTCGTTGCTTTCTCCCCAGTCCCAGTCTTCCGTGAAAATTCATACCCACCACTCTGTAGCCTCATTTTCTGTTCATTTGCCTTCCTCCCCTCTTTGAGCTGAAGCCCTCAGAGGGCAGCACTGGCTCTGAAAAGATGGCATGGCCCAACCTCTGTCACTGACTTGAGAAAGCACCTTCTTCTATCCACTAGTCCCCTGCTTATCCCCAAATAGGAGCAAAGTCTGCAAGATTTTTCTTTTCAAGTGTTAAGATTGAAGTGAAGATTTTCTTGTTAACTGGTGTGGTATATTTTTGGATCCTAACAATTTATTAAAGAAAAGCTGAATAATATCCAAAAAGGATCAAACTACATGAAAATGAAAAAGTATGATAAAGTTAATCTGGGTGCAAAGTTTACAAATAAATGGCACCTTCTTTTACCTGTTTTGGCTCTCAACTTTGTCCTCACTCAAAAAATGACATTCAGACAGGTGCAGTGGCTCATGCCTGTAATCTCCGCACTTTGGGAGGCCAAGGCAGGGGGATCACTTGAGTCCAGGAACATGAGAGCAGCCTGAGCAACATAAGGAAGCCTCATCTCAACAAAAATTTAAAAATTAGCTGAAAGTGATGGTACATATCTTTAGTCCCAGCGGCAAATGAGTTTTAAGGGAGGCTAAAGTGGGAGGATTACTTGAGCCCAGGAGTTTGAGGCTGCAGTGAACCATGATCTTACACTCCAGCCTGGGTGACTTCTCTTTTAATAAGAGTCTGTCTCTTTAAGAAAAAAAAGAAAATCATTGGCAAGATTGGCAGCAACTGCTTTCAAACGAGGTTATAAGGATTCAGATTAGGCTTTGGACGGAAAGAGGTTCAGTCATAGGTGCAGTACCCTTTGCTTACTGTCACACATGCTTGTCCTAATATGAAGTCCTAATAAAGTATCCAGGGATACATGGTGTGGTGTGGTTTACATGTCATTCTCATGTCTGTAGTTCTCATTGATGCTCCATGGCATCTTGGAAGGCAGATTTTATCACCCTCATTTTGTTGATGAAGAAGCAGAGACCTAGACATGCTCTGGAGCTGGCCCCAAGGCACAGAGAGGACCAGATTCTGGTGGGAATCTGGGGGTCCTCCAACTCGTGTTGTTAAACCCTGGGAGGGGTAAGAATTGAAAATTGTTATTGTCAGTGGTGTGGACTTGAGCTGTGAATATGTTAATACTGTCTCCACATTTCCCAGGTTGGAAGAAGAAGGCCTTCAGATGGGCAGTTTGCACCAGGCATAACAGGGAAATTATCTGAGATACGACAAAGTGATTGCAAGATGTCCTCTTAGTGGGTGTCAAAAGTTGAATTGTGGTCCCCTCTGCCCACCATTTATATGCTGAAGTCCTAATCCCTGCCTCATAATGTGGCCTTATCTGGAAATAAGGTCATTGCCGATGTAATTAGTTAAGATGAGGCTATATTGGAGTAGTGTGGGCCTCTCCTCCAATATGACTGGTGTCTTATAAAAAATGTGGACACACAGACACACAGGGAGAACGCCAAGTGAAAATTGGATTGATGCTGCCACAAGCCAAGGAACTACCAGAAGCCAGGAGAGATGGTCCCCTGGAACCTTCAGAGCAACCAGCCCTGCCGACACTTTGATCTCGGACTTCCAGCCTCCAGAACTTCAAGACCATAAATGTCTGTTGTGTAAACCCACCCAGTCTGCAGTGGGTTTGTATGGTAGCCCAAGCCAAAAAATACACCTAACATATAGTCTACCCTGGCTAAGGTTTCGTGTTGCACTGGGTAAATAAAGAACAACAGCCAAGGGCGGGGGAGGGGGGTGCTGTGAGGCCCACAATGAGCGATTCTGCTCTTCGGGGGAGCACCTGCCTCCTTCATCAGAGGCCAGCAAATAGCAGGGCACCATCATCCGCGACATTGTCTCTGCACATCTGGGAGAATGGGCATGCAATTACTTCCATATAGCCACAGATACACTTCTTCTCAATAAAAACAAACTCGTTGGATAATTTGAGCCTGCTTGTTCACATGGTGGGGGCTCTAGTTCTTTCCCTCTCTCTCCCAATATGGGAGGCCGGTGCCTTATTCAAGACATGACTGCAATGCTTCTTTTTTTTTTACCTTTTTTTTTTTAGATTCAGGGGGGTGCACGTGCAGGTTTGTTACATGGGTATATTTCATGATGCTGAGGTTTGGGGTACAGATCCTATCTCCCAAGTAATAAGCATAGTGCCCAATAGGTAGTTTTCCAGTCTATGTCCCCCTCCCTCCCTGTCTAGCAGTCCTCAGTGTCTATGGTTCTCATCCTTTTGTCCATGTATATTCAATGTTTAGCTCCCACCTATAAGTAAGAACATGTGGTATTTGGTTTTCTGTGCAGTGCTTCTTGCTACAATAACACCACTGGGTGTGGCTTTTCACCATTTACAAATCTCTCTAGTCTACCTTTGCATTGGAGCCCCATAACTGTTGAAGGTCCTGGTCTTTGTAGAAACTAAATGAATTGCCCAGATCATGGGGGTGGTGCAGGGTGGGCCCATCCTGGAGCCTCAGCCCATCTGACCCAGTTCATAGCCACCACAGGGGAAACTACATGATATCATGGCTAAAAGAGTGTGGACCCCTGAGGTGGGTTGTTGGGCTAACATGTCAACACCACCCCTCCCAGCTGTGACTTTTAGCAAGTTACTCAACCTCTCTGTGCTTCTCCTCTTCTGTAGTTTGGGAACTTAGCACCTGGCCCCCAGGGTTATGGTCGGAAGAGAGGCCCGCATGCACACAGAGCCTACACTTTATACACACAAAGTATAAAGCAGAGCAACCAGCCCTGTCAACAATTTTTCCTCTAACAATTCAGTGTTCTGGGTAGACAGAAGTGGGTGAGTGCCATTCAAACTCTTAGAGCAAAATATATCCATTTAGGCATCTGGACAGCAGCCATGACAGCCAGGGAAGCCAGCTAACCAGCTTCTGTCCTGGGAGAGCTCATTGATTTCCACTGACTTTGGTCAGACGTTTGGCTTCCAGATGAGTGTGTATCGTACTCCACTCATGCTTTGTCTTTTGGGACAAATTTCCCTTGTGAATTTGTAAAAGAGAGAGCAGCCTCTATATAGTCGATTGACTCTGAGCCACTTGTGGAAATGAGGCTGTTTAGGAAAGAGGTTGCTGATTTGTGTCTATAGGATAGTCAGTAAAGTTAATTTTGTCACAGCAATTTCTAGGTAATCAAATGATTCACACAACAGGCTCAAAACAGTGAAACACTGGAAACCAGCTGACATCAGTGGGGCTCAGCCCAGACAGATCAGACCCTAAGATGCAGCCTCCTCCCCAACTCTCCCCTTCATAGGGGCAGCTCCCAACTCCTGACTTCATCTGATGCAAGACACAGTGTGGGACCCAGCCCCCCTGAGTATTTCCTCTTGGAGCATGTGGGGACAAATGAAGGGGTCTTTAATTCCCTTGCAGATGGCAACTAGAAACCATGGCATGTATATCTGTTTAGGACTCTTCCAGTCAAAAAGTGACAGAAAACCCCAACGCAAACTCAAACTACCTTAATCCAAAACTATGACTGTGTTGGCTGTCATAATAGAAGGGCCAGCAATGGCAGAATCACGTCTACACTCAGCAGGGAACAGCTGAGCTCAGTCAGACCCACCGCTCTGGGGTCTGGGGAGGGCCACTGGGTGGTGACTCCCGCTACTGGCCCATGTCACCCTGCCCGGCCTGGCCAGGCTACATGACCACGGTGGGGGTTGCTGGTCACCCATTTCCTCCAGTCCTAGAACGTGGGAGGGAGGGCACCACCCAGACAGCTGGAACCCAGTGGAAGGGTCCTAGAGCTAAAGGCAGGAGCTACAACTGGATAAAGGGGCTGGAGGGTGAGTCAGCAGCAGCCTGTGTGCACAAGGGCGGCAAGATCTGATCTCACCAATTTGGCCACTCCAAGCATCACTGTTCTGCACTGTGTGGCATTCCCTTGCATCATGGGAAGCAGACTGAGTGAGAGGACTGAGTGAGGCTTCAGAGCCGGCTTTGCCATTCACCTCCATGTGACTGTGGGTAATGCTCGTGGGAGGATTACCCTGGAGGTCTCATTGTCCTCAATGCCATGCCAGGGTCTCAGGCTGGACTAAGGGACATCAGGAGTCAGATAAACATGATTGTGTGTCCTGCCTTGCAGGGAGAACTGGTTGGCAGGAGGAGGTTTATGTATAATCATTGTCACTTATAATACAGTATTGAGCAGAGTAGGTGGGGTTCACTCTATCAGGAACCCTGGCTAGGTGGGAGAGGCAGATACTAACCCAATAATCCTAAATATGTGACCATAAATATACCCGGTGCTTCTAGAGAAAGGAGCCAGAAGAGCATGGCTCTGGCATGGCTTGGGTGTACCCCAACATGCAGAAAAGGGGTCATGATGGTGAGGTGGTGGCTGGTCAGCATCTGGCCCTCACACGACTCTCTGAGAAGACTGGATGAGGAGGCTATTGCCAAGGTCGTAACGTGGGAGGTGGGGGGTGGGGGCTGCACCAGGGTAAGGCGGTGCAAATAGAGGGAATGCAGCAATGGATTTAGGAGATAACAGTGCATGAGGAGCTGCAAGTTGTCAAAGCCATGCTGGGTTATGTGAGAGTGCCCAGCCCCAAAAAGGAAGGGCTAGAGGCAGCAGCAGGGAGACCTGTATTCCCAGAGGTGCAGGATGTGGTACCCTGACACTGGGTGGGCAGAAGCTGCTCTCCCCTCCTACACACAGCTGAAGTCCCTGTGAAGTTTCTGTGTTGCACTGCTGAGACAAGAAGTGGTCTCACAGCAGTGGATGTCAGCCATGGGCCAGGGTGGAAGGGTCTGGATGACCCCGGGATGGGGACCATGGTAGATGGCTAGAGGCTGTGCATCAGGCCAGGCCTGAGTGCTGGACATTGGATTGATTACTGTAAATATGATCTCACTCAACCCACAGCTAGAGATGCCTCTGGAAACTCAGGCCCCATATGGCATGAGGGCACTGATCTCTAAGATTCCATGAGTAGCCATTGCTGGCATCCCATGGTCCCTAATCCTGCTGGCTTACAACATGACCTTCTCCCCTGGGGCCAGCAGAGGGTTTTCCCTTGTATTAAGGGAAAACCAGTGTCCCCAACATCTGCAGGAATGGGTGGGGCTTGCATTTCTTTGATGGCCTCTTTCTTCTGTCTTCTCCCACCATACACCTTCCCCTCATTCCTTTATCCTCTAACATTCCTTTATCCTCTAAGAGCAAAGCAAAGCTCTTCTGCACAGCAAACTTCACAGAGGATGAGAGAAAGAAGGAGCACAGCACTGCTCAGGGGAGATATTTTCAAACTGAACATAAGATCCAGATGTCCTAAGACTTCATTTTCCAGGACTCCATTGGCCCCAGTGCACTAGGACCCTGATGTCCCACAAGTCCCTTTGAGACCCTTTCTGTTTCCCCCACCCCATTTCAGGCCTACTGATGCCCCAGCTTCTTTAACTTCCAGCAAAAACTTTAACACCCCGATACTATCCTTATGCAGAGCGCTGAAGCCTGTCTGTTCCATTCTGTCCAAACTATTGGATGGAGACAGCAGGTAATTCCAGCCCACCCCCACACCCACTTGGGTTTTCCCAAGGCAGAACCATCTTCCCTGATGTACGCCGCACACCACTCAAGAGCCCAAAGCAGGTGCATCTTGGTCTTGTTCTTTTTAATTGCAATTTCTTTCTACTAAATTGAAAAGAAATTAGATTTACAGCAGGTATACTAAAGAACTGCAATTCTCCACTCCTGAGAATGAAGGTGAGCTCTCCTATCTGGTGGAAAACATGGCGTGTGGTACATGCTCTGTCCTTGCTATGCTCCCTGGGATGCTGCAAATTAGAAACCATGGCATGTATATTTGTTTAGGACTCCTCCAGTCAAAAAGTGGAGCTGGCTGGGGGGGACATCACCCTCATAGGGGACTTCCTGAGGTCCATCCCTGTCCATGTTCTATCTGGCTTTCGATCAAGGATGTCAGCCTTGAGTGTGGATTCTTGGGACAGGTTTTTGCTTGTCCCAGATGGACTTGGGAATGACTGCTGACTTTATAAATAGTGCCCGGTCTTTGCCACATATCCTGTTTGGGTGTGTTTTCAATGGACAGCAATTCTTGGCCGGCATGACCAGGATGCCCAAAGGTACTCAGGGAATGTGGCATTGAGAGAAACAGCAGCTGCCCTAGGGTTCTTCCCTGCTGAGCATCACATCACTCAGGAGCATTTGTACAACCAGGCCACAACTTGCCCGCTTTCTTCCAGCACCTCCTGGTTGATTTTGATACATGTTCACACAGCTTTCTCAGGAAGGACACTTTGTGGTGATATCTGGAATCTGCCGGACAAGGGGAGTATATTAGTCAGGGCACCCCAGAGAACCAGAACTAATAGGATGTGTGTATATCTATATATACATACATATATACATATGGAAAAATAGATTTATGTTAAGGAATTGGCTCATGTAATTATGGAAGCTGGTAAGTCTGAAATCTGCAGGGCGAACTAGCAGGCTGGAGACCCAGGGAAGAGCCCATGCTGCAGTTCAAGTCCAATGCCCATCTGTGGGAGAATTCCTTCTTCCTTGGGGAAGGTTGGTCTTTTTGTTCGCTTCAGGCTTTAGCTGATTACATGACGCCTACCCACATTGGGGAGTGCATGCTGCTTCACTCAAAGTCCACTGATTTAAATGTGAATTTCATGCCAAAACATTTTCACAGAAACATCCGGAATAATGTCTGACCACAAATATATCTGGGCCCTGTGACCCAGTCAAGTTGACAATAACATTAACCATCATGGAAAGTTTGGCCAAAGTCAACAGAAGGGAAAAATTATGGATATGGTGACTCTATTTTCGTGAATCAAAATCAAGCCACATCCAGAGACTACCAGTGGTCAAATTGTTTGAAACTGGGAATGTCTTCCCAAATTCAAGACTTGAGGTTTGTGAGGTAAAGGTGAAATTGGCCTGGTCTCCTTCTTTTGAGTGTCTCTGTGAGGGTGGGAAGTGGGAAAGAACCTTCCAGAGAGAGCAGAGTCTCACTGTGGACACAGCCCAATGGAGGGCTGTTGCTTAGCAGAGCCTGCTGAGGGGTAAAGACATTGTGGGGAAGGCTGGGCAGGTGATAAGAAACCATGGACACCCTGAGCCTGCCTCCCTTCTCACCAGCATCCTTACTTTTAAAGAAACAGGGCTGGGGCTTTCCTAGCCCTGGTCCCCATGGTGATCGGCTCAGCATGGTGGACTCTGAACACATGCACACCCATACCAAACTCAGCTCGTGCTCTCCCTGGCCCCTCAAGCTGAGCTGAGATGTGTGCATCTCAAACGGGAGCTGGAGCCAGGGTCTCCCCAGGCAGAGGCCCCCTGAGGGCAGCCTTGTGATAAAGGTGGGTTACTTGCCTCGGACACACTGTGCACAGTTGCGGAGACACAGAGATAGAGGCAGGACCCACCCTGCCCTCCAGGAGCTCGCAGTGCAGGGGTGGAGGTAGGGAGGCGGGAGAGCAAGCAGCACCCAGGGCAGTAAAATCTGACACTGGTGAGGACACTGATATCAGGGCTTGGAGAAGGGGCCACTTCCCACTTGGAAGCACCCGAGAAGGCTGCAGGCAGGATTGGGGGGCCTGCATGCATCCTCAGAATGGGCGGAGTCCCCTGGCCAAATAAGGATGGCAGAAAGGAATTCTCCAAATCCCCAGTGACTTTCAGGGTCAGCAACGCTCTTGGTAACAGAAACTGGGGTTGTCTTTCTGCTGTGTTACGTGTCCTTCTCCCAGGTGGATCACCCACAACTAGGACAAAAGGCAACAGGAATGGGGAGGGCTCAGGTGCTTTCCCCAAGCTGGCTGCCTGGACTTGGTTATTTATGGTAACACTGGGGACCTAAGCTGATGAGCACTAAATGGATTTGTGTAAGCCATCCTGGGGGCTGAAGATGGAGGGGAGGCCAGGAGGGCCGGACAGTCAGGCCTACCCTGAAATGCACTGGGAAAATATTCAAAATAGGGTCTGGCTCGGGAGAGCGGAGTGTGGCGGAAAGTCGGCTCTGACAGCTGCGTCTGAAAGGCCGGAGGAGCTTCAGCCTGAGGATTTGCACTAAAAATAGAATCGCTGGCTTGTGGGTAGAGAATTTGACCCAATTAGAGATTACCAGTTTCAGGAATTACTGGAAAAGAAATCTCATTAGATAGGTTAAATATAGGAGCCAGAAGCTTAAAAGGCCATTTGGGATTAAAAGGAAAACCAAAACCTCAGAGAGATTTTAAAATAAATGTTGCATCTCCTTTAAGGGTAGGGGACTTAGACTGTATAAATGCAGCGGCTGCACTGAAGGGACCTGAGAGATGAGCCGTGAGGTTCATGGAGAGGGCCAGCGGCTCGGCAGACCGCTCAGCAGAGCCTCACTGCTGTCCCTGGACCTGTGCCCAGCGTGGTCCCTGCTGGCCGCTTTTGGGGTTCTGGCTAAGCTGGCCCTTCTCATGCTAAAGAGCCAGGAAAGGGTGGCAGCTCCAATCACATTGAAGGTTCGTGACAACGCCCATGTCAGCATGTGGCCCACCCAATCCATTCTGGATCCTTTGCATCTCCATACACCACCTAACCCCAGCCAGGAACCCAGCAGCCACACTCCACGCCTCCCTCTCCTCCCCACACCAAATCTGTCACCAAGTCCTATAGATGTATCCTGAAATAGCTTCCTCCTGTGCGTCTCTGCCCCTTGCCCACCGCTGCTGCCTTCATTCAGGTCTTTGCCAATTCCTGCCAGGACTACTAGAGCTGCCACCAGTTGCCCTCTGTCTCCAGCCTCCTCTCCCTCCGCCGCTCAGTCACCAGCACATCTTTCCTAAAATGTAGAGCGGGTCTTACCCATTTCTTGCTCTAAAAAAATTGCTGACTTCCTAGTGCCTCAAAGCATCCCCTAGGGTGTGTTTTTACAGCACTCAAGTCCTGAGGAAAATCCTAAAAAAAGAAATGCTGTGCTTGAATGCATTGGAGGAATGCTACAGCCAGGAAACCCACTTATGGGAATCCTGGTGGAATCCTGACAGTGCTGTCTCAGCCCTGGGCACTCCCTCCCCCAGCACACCTGCCTTCCAGTCACCTGCATCCCCCACTGGGGACTCTTGATCTGTTCCTTGCCTTCTCTATATGTACCTTGCTGTTCTCCATGGGAGACTGGGCCCCCTCCGAATCATTTGTCCTCCTTGCAAAGTATATAGGAAAATACCATTATTTTTCCCAACTGTGTATTTACACTCAACACAGAATACTTCTGGTTATCAAAATGTATGAGTTTTTTCCGCACCACCAGCTGGGATGGAACAATTCAACTCAATTCTGACACTATCTAGCTGGAGTTGGCCTCAGACCCCACAAGTTAAGGTCTTGGTCCCATAGACTGCCACTACTTCAGGCACCAATCTCAAGTAATAGGCCCCCAGGTCACCCACACCTTCCATACAACTTGATTACAAATTGGAGGTTCTCACAACCCCTCACAACCCCCATCTCAGTTTCCATCATTTGCTAGAGTGGTTCACAGAGCCCAGGAAAACATTGTATTTATTAAGTTACCAGTTTATTACAAAAGATATGTGAAAGGATACAAATGAACAGCCAGATGAAGAGACCTGAAGGGTGAGATTCGGAAGGGTTCTGAGCACAGGAGCTTCTGTCTCTGAAAAGTTTTGGGGAGTGCCATCCTCTCAGCACCTGGATGTGTTCTTGTTCACCAGTACACGAGCTCTCTGAACTCTCTCCTTTTGGAGGTTTTATTATGTAACCAAGATTGATTACACAGTTGGCCATTGGTGATCAACCCAACCATCAGCCCCTCTCCCCTCCCCAGAATTCAAAGGTAGAGCTGAAAGTTGGAACTGGTTCCCCTGGCAACCAGTCCCCATCCTGAAGCTATGCAGGTGTCCCCAGCCACCAGTAATCTCATCAGAATACAAAGACACTTACCACTTCAGAGATTCCAAGTGTTCTAGGAACTGTGTGTCAGGAACCATGCATGCGTGGACAGAGACCAAATATATAGATTTCTGTGGGGCGCAGTGGCTTACGCCTGTAATTCCAGCACTTTGGGGGTCCAAGGCAGATGGATCATCTGAGGTCAGGAGTTTGAGACCAGCCTTGTCAACATGTTGAAACCCTGTCTCTACTAAAAGTACAAAAATTAGCCAGGCATTGTGGTGCACACCTGTAATCCCAGCTACTAGGGAGGCTGAGGCAGGAGAATTGCTTGAACCCGGGAGGCGGAGGTTGCAATAAGCTGAGATTGCGCCACTGCACTCCAGCCTGGGTGACAGAGCTAGACTCTGTCTGAAAAAAAATACATATATATATATATTTCTTATTAATATTCACACATACTTTTACCATTGCATTTGCCAGAAAGCTTTCACTTGCAACTCAAAGGAGTAGAAGCCCAGAGCACTGGGGTTGGCTCATGCAAACCTTTGCCAAGCCCTGACAAACTTCTCCTGACAAACTCTCTGTCTTTTCTTTTACCAGCTTTTCTTCTGGTGCTTTACACAGGCAGGGGGTAACTGGTTAGTTATCGCTCCTTAATTAACATTCACAGGGAGAAACTGCAAGAGTCAAAATTCTACTGAAGTCATCACGAGAGAATTAAAACTCCAAGGAGATGCCACTACATGTGTACCCAGGAGAATGGCTCAACTCAGAAGTGCTGACAAGGGTGCAGTGATATGGTTTGGATATTTGACTCCTCCAAATCTCATGTTGAAATGTAATCCCATGTTGGAAGTGGGGCCTGGTGGGAGGTGTTTTTGTCATGGGGGCGGATCCTTCATTGTTTGGTGCTTTCCATGTGATGGTGAAAAATTTCTCATGAGATCTGGTTGTTTGAAAGTGTGTGGCACCCTCCCCCATTCCTCACTCTTGCTCCACCTCTTACCATGTGATGGTCTCTGCTCCTACTTCACCTTGCATCTGAGTAAAAGCTCCCTGAGGGCTCCCCAGAAGCAGATGCCAGCACCATTCTTCCTGTAAAGCCTGTAAAACCATGAGCCAAATTACCCAGCATGGGTATTTCTTTATAGCAATGCAAGAATGGCCTGACACATGCAGCAACATCAGATCATGCTGGCTCTTGGCTACTGGGGTGGGAGAGACATGGCCCCAAAACCCCAGCCTCCTGTGCCCCTGGCCCTGGGCCACACACCTGTGCCCTTGAGCATGCCAAGCAGGCCTTAGAGATGCTCCTGGGTGCTGTACCTTAGTTTTAGAGGGAGTTACTTGGAGGGGGCATTCACTTTATGAAAATCTGCCAAGCTCAGTATCTACCAATGCACACTCTGCAGGTTTATTATTTGCCCTTGACCTTGTCAAGCTAAAATAATCAAAAGGGCCAGAATCCCATTTTAAAGATTTCTTGAAGCAAAAAGCTGGGGATGGCCACACCAGGACACACAAACTCCAGAGAAATGGGGTCAGTGCTCCCTAGTTAAAGGCAACATTATTGCTTATATAGGAAGAAGATGAAGAAATTTTACAGCATTACAACATTTTCTATACAAGGCTGGTTTATGAGTTACAACAAACTGTTAGTTATAGTTTGGCTTTTTTTTTCCCGTGTGGTTTGTTTTCTTTCTAGCTGGTTTTCATTTTATTTCCAATTTAAGAGATCGTATTTAGCATTCTTTTTTTTTTTTTTTTTTGAGACGGAGTCTCGCTCTGTCACCCAGGCTGGAGTGCCATGGTGCGATCTCGGCTCACTGCAAGCTCTGCCTCCCAGATTCAAGCAATTCTCCTGCCTCAGCCTCCCAAGTAGCTGGGATTATGGGCATATGCCACCACACCTGGCTAATTTTTTTGTATTTTTAGTAGAGATGGGGTTTCACCATATTGGCCAGGCTGGTCTCGAATTCCTGACCTTGTGATCCACCTGACTCGACCTCCCAAAGTGCTGGGATTACAGGCGTGAGCCACTGCACCTGGCCTTTTTAAAAAAAAATTTTTTTTTAAATCAATGTTGACCGGGTTGACCTTGAACGTGTAGCCTTACCTACCCCAAGTGCCAGGGTAACCAGCCTGAGCCACCACAGCTCCCTTAGCATTCTACCTTAACGAAATGTGATAGCCAAGAAGTTTTGGGTGAAAAAGGTAAGAGAGAGGTGAATTTACAATGAAAATCAGCAGCAGAGAGAAAAGGGGTATTCCTGGTGCCCTTTGGCCATTTACAATGTTTTACAAAACAATGCAGCTAATAGAAAGATTTAACTTTGTAATCAGAGGAACAAAAGTTTGCAGCTGCCTAGGTTACAGCTGTCTGTTACATGACTCAGGCCCCATAATAAAAATAATTTAGAGTTTTAGTAGCTTGAATTTTGAATTACTTACTTTCACAGTCTCTTTCTGCTCAACTGTCCAGGTGAGACCCTAATCTCTAGGTCTCAACATTTTCATCTGTAAAAGGGAGGGTGACTCTCAAATGAAGTGATTAATTGACCTTTGTGGAAGTGCTGAGAGACTGGGGAGTGAAGGAAGCCAGATTGTCACAGCCAGGGCCTTCTGAGGAGAGGATCAGCCACTGAGGGGGATGGGAGATAGGAGGAGGAGAGGGTCAGCCCCAGGAGTGGTAACAGTTGGGGAGGGGAAGAGGAGAGCATCAGCCCCACTGGGGTGAGGGGGCAAGAGAGTGGGTGAGGGGAAGAAGAGAAGATGAGCCCCACTGCAGGGAAGTGGGCATGGGGAGAAGTGTAATTGCCTGATGGATTCTTCCTGCCTGCTGCTCAGATAAAATCAATTCACTGAGACAGTGGTATTGCAGTAGAGAAAAGGTTTAATAATCACAGGTATAGCCAAACAGAAGGGTGGGAGTAATTACTCAAATCAGCCTCCTGGAGAACTTAGAGGCTAGGGATTTTATGGATAATTTGGTGGGCAGGGGGTTAGGGAATGGGTGCGGCTGATTGGTTGGGGATGAAATCATAAGGGTGTAGAAAACCTGTCCTTGTGTGCTAAGCCAGCCTCTGGGTGGGGGTCACAGGACCAGTTGAGTCATGAGTCATGGGTTCAGGTAGAGTCAGTTGGCCACTATAATGCAAAAGTCTGAAAAACATCTCAAAAGACCAATCTTAGTTTCTATAAGAGCAGTTAGGAGAGTCACCAATCTTGTGACCACTGGCCACATGACTCCTGAGCAGCAAAGGATGATGGAAAAGCAAGCTGGAAAACAATGGCTGGTTATCATTTAACTCTGCCTACATTTTAGCTGAATTCAGGCCCCTCCCATAATCCTAATCCTGTGGCCTTCCATTAGTCTTACAAAGGTAGTTTCAGTCCCCAAACAAAAGGGGGTCAGTTTTAGACAGAAACTATTATCATCCTTGTTTCAAAGTTAAACCATAAACTAAATTCCTCCCGTGGTTAGCTTGGCCTATGCCCAGGAGTGAGTGAGGAGAGCCAGCCTGTGAGGCTAGATGCAAGGTGGAGTCATCCATGCTAGCCTTCTCTCACTGCCATAATCTGCAAAGGCAGTTTCAGCAGGAGAGGGTTGGCCCCACTGTTGGGGGCGGAGGGTGCAGGAGGGTGCTTCTTCCACTCCTCCTTTCTTCCTTCCTGATGTCTGGTAGAAAATGACAACTGGAGCCACCACTTTGGACCCAGGAATGGAATTCCATGATGTAGGTGGATGAGCCTGCCCTAGACCACCCACTCCCATTTGGATGATTACATGTAAGGGGAAATAAAACCTTCTATTTTATACAAAAAGGCATGAGGACTGTTCCAGAATAAAAGAAACATACTGATCACCAGTTGCAATCCAAGAATATTGATTGGATCCTAGTTTATATAAGCAAGCCCATAATAGAGCTTTTGGGGAGCAGTGATGGAAATGTGAACATGGCCTGGTCTTGAACGATATTAGAGAATGACTAAGTGGCCAGTGGACTTAATTTTCTTAAGATTGATAATGATACAGGGAGGATGAACTAATGTCCTTATTTTTAGGCAATGCATACTGAAGTGCTCAGGGATGAAGTTTCACTGTGTCTATAACTTTCATGGAATTGGTTCAGTCAATGAAAACTCTTTCCACTTTTTGGTATGTTTGAAAGTTTTTGGCCAGGCATGCTGGCTCAAGCTGTAATCCCAGCACTTTGAGAGGCCCAGGCGGGCCAATCACCTGAGGTCAGGAGTCCAAGACTAGCCTGGACAACATGAGGAAACCTCATCTCTACTAAAAATACAAAAATTAGCTGGGCATGGTGGCATGCACCTGTAATTCCAGCTACTCGGGAGGCAGGAGAATCTCTTGAACCCGGGAGGTGGAGGTTGAGGTGAGCCGAGATCACACCACTGCACTCCAGCCTGGGCAATGGAGCAAGACTCTGTCAAAAAAAAAAAAAAGGTTTTCATGTCAAAGGTTAAGAAAGGGAAGAGGGAGGGAAGAAAGGAAAGACTCTGCCTAGAGAATCAGATCAGAAGTACCCTTGGCTATCAGTAGAAGCCTAAATACTCTCTGTGGGAAAGCATCCAAAATTTATGCCCCCAGTACTCCACAGATTAAGATAAACAAACTAGAGATCATCAAAGATATAAGGGAACAAACTACTGACAGTGACAGCCAGCAGAAAAGCAAATGATAAATTTAGATCTTCAAAGACCCCAGATGTTGTAATTATCAGATAGCGAATAATAAGATAATGGTGACGCCGGGCGCATTGGGTCACACCTGTAATCCCAGCACTTTGGGAGGCCAAGGCGGGCAGATCACCTGAGGTCAGGAGTTCAAGACCAGCCTAGTCAACATGGTAAAACCCCTCTCTACTAAAAATGCAAAAATTAGCTGGGCGTGGTGGCGGGTGCCTGTAATCCCAGCTACTTTGGAGGCTGAGGTGGGAGAATGGCTTGAACCCGGGAGATGGAGGTTGCAGTGAGCTGAGATCACGCCATTGCACTCCAACCTGGGCGACAGAGCGTGACTCTGTCTCAAAAAAAAAGATAATGGTGAATCACATTTTAAGGAACTAAAGGTGTAGTGACAAAAGTGAGCCACCAATAGAGAATGCAGTAAACAAGAGATCATAAGAACAGCCAGAAGAGAAAGACTTGTCACCTATGCAACTGCAACAGGTGAACTGACAACAAACTTTTTGACAGCAACAAAGAGAAGTAATAAAACATGGATTATAATTTCAAAGAACTGAGAAAACAATACCTCTCAACCTAGAATTGTGCAATTTGCAGAATAAATGATGTAAAAGATAATAAAGACATTCCAAGAAAATCAAAGACCAAAAGAATTGCACCAAAATATTGCACTACAATAATGAAACTTCTAAAGAAGTACTCCAGGAGGAAAATAAAATGAACCCAGAAAGATGATCTGTATTGTACAGTGAACTAAAAGATAAATACCCAGGGCTACAAACAAAATTAAGCAATATATTATTTGCAAGAGCTCTACAGATAATAATGTACACACGCTGTAGGTCAAGAAACAGGAAAGCAATGCAAATTCTGGTCAAAGAATGCTGGCTGGCAATATTAGTATAAGGCAAAATCAACTTTAATAATAAAAGCATTAAGAATACAGAAATTCACAACATAATGACCAAAGCTTCAATTTGTCACGAAGATATAATAATTCTAAACTTTCACGCTAAGAGTGAACTCCATGTATATAAAGTAAGAATTGTTAGAATTACAAGGAGAAATTGACAAACCTATCATTAGAGTGGTATATTTCAATCCACCTCTCTCAATTACTAATGGATAAAGCTGACAAAAAATTAATAGATAATGGAGATTTGAACAACACTGTTAACAAATTTGCTTTATTTATTGTGCATCAAGAGCTGTGTTGTACACAATTAGAGAATACAGATTCTTCCAAGCACATATGCAACATTTACAAAAATGTAATACTAACTCACAAAGTAAACCTCAAAAGTCTCAAAGACTCGGATTCCTACAGACCAGTTATCTGGTCACAATAAAATTAAAATGTATTTTGTTAAAAAAAATTGCTGAATCCCATTACTGGGTATACACCCAAAGGATTATAAGTCATTCTACCATAAAGACACATGCTCACATATGTTTATTGCACTACTGTTCACAATAGCAAAGTCTTGGAACCAACCCAAATGCCCATCAATGATAGACTGGATAAAGAAAATGTGGCACATATACACCATGTAATACTATGCAGCCATAAAAAAAGGATGAGTTCCTGTCCTTTGCAGGGACATGGATGAAACTGGAAGCCATCATTCTCAGCAAAGTAACACAAGAAGAGAAAACCAAACACCGCATGTTCTCACTCATTAAGTGGGAGTTGAACAATGAGAACACATGGAACCAGGGAGGGGAACATCACACACTGGGGCCTGTCGGGGGGTGGGGGGCTGGGGGAGGGATAGCATTAGGAGAAATACCTAATGTAGATGACAAGTTGATGGGTGCAGCAAACCAACACAGCACATGTATAGCTATGTAACAAACCTGCACGTTGTGAACATGCACCCCAGAACTTAGTGTATAAAAAAAAAATTGCTGAAATGTTCCTACATATGTAGAATTTTTAAACACATTTCTAAATAAATCATGACTCAAAATGGCATAACAAAAAAATAACAAATCCTTAACACTGAGCAAAAATAAATAAAAAATATCAAAACTTAAAAGATGCAATGGAAACAGTACTTAATAAGAAATTTATAGCTTCCAATAGTTAAATAGGAAGAAAGAAGGCTAAAAATAAAAAAGGTAAGAACCCAACTTCAGAGGTTAAAGAACTATAGAATAAATTTAAATGTCATATGAGAACCATGTTAGTAAAGAAAAGTCTGAAATTAATTAAATAGAAAACAAGTAAACAAATTTTCCTTTAGCTTTATTGAGGTATAATGGTCAATTAAAAATTGTATCTATTTTACATGTACATGTTTTGATATATATACATAGTGAAATGATTGCCACAATCAAGCTAATTGATATATCCATCCCCTCATATAGTCACCATTTTTGTGTGTACAGTGAGAACACAAGATCTGCTCTCCTAGCAAATTTCAAGTATACAATACATTATTATTAACTACAGTCACCATGCTGTACACGAGATCCCCAGAACTTATTCCTCCTACACAATGGAAACTTTGTACCCTTTGACTGACATTGTCCCATTTCCCCCTCCCCTCAGTCCCTGGAAACCATTCTACTCTCTGCATCTATAAGTTCAACATTTTTGGATTCCACATATAAGTGAGATCACTCAATATTTGTCTTTCTGCCTGCCTTATCTCATATAAGATAATGTTCTCCAGGTTCACCCATGTTGCTGCAAATGACAGCATTTCCTTCTTTTTATGGCTGAATAGTATTCGATTGTGTACATATGCGACATTTGCTTTATCCATTCTTCTCTTGATGGACAGTTAGGTTGGTTCCATATCTACCGTGAATGATTTCATGTTATTGTGAATGATACTCCAGTAAACACAGGAGTGCAGATAACTCTTTGAGATACTGATTTCATTTCCTTTGGCTATATACTCAGAGGTGAAATTGCTGGATCACATGGCAATTCTATAGTTAGCTTTTTCAGGAACCATAATGGCTGTGCCAATTTACATTCCCACCAACAGCATACAAGGGTTCCCTTTTCTCCACATCCTCGCCGGCACTTGTTATCTTTTGTCTGTTTGATAACGGTCACCCTAACAAGCATGTGGTTGTATTTCATCGTGGTGTTCATTTGCATTTCCCTGATGATTCGTGATGTTGAGCATGTTTTCATATACCTGTTAGCTATTTGTATATCTTATTTTGAAAAGTGTCTATTCAGATACATTTTCCATTTTATAATTGGCTTGTTTTTCTTTTGTTTTGTTTTTGCTGTTGAGTTGTATGAGTTCCTTATATATTTTGATATTAAACCCTTATTGGATATGTAATTTGCAAATATTTTCTCCCAATTCATGGGTTGCCTTTTAATTTTGTTGATTGTTTCACTTGCTGACCAGAAATTTTTTAGTTTGAGGTAGTCCCATTTTTTATTTTGGCTTTTATTGCCTGTGCTTTTGGTGTCAAATAAAAAAAAAAATCATTGCCAAGACCAATGTCAAGAAACTTTTCCTCTTTGTTTTCTTCTAGTAGTTTTATGATTTCAGGTTTTGTGTTTAAGTCTTTAATCCATTTTGAGTTGATATGTGTGTATGGTGTAAGAGAAGGGTCCAGTTTCACTCTTTTGCTTGTGGATATTCAGTTCTTTGGCACCATTTATTAAACAGACTGTCCTTTACTCATTGTGTATCTTGACACCTTGTCAAAAATTTGTTGACTGTATATTCATGGGTTTATTTCTGGGTTTCCTATTCTGTTACGTTGGTCTATATGTCTTATTTGTGCCATTACTATGCTTTAAAAAAAAAAGTCTATTGTAGCTTCAGGGTTACATGCGCAGGTTTGTTACATAGGTAAACTGTGTGTCACGGCGGTTTGGTGTACAGATTATTTTGCCACCCAGGTAATAAGCATAGTAACTGATAGGCAATTTTTCTATCCTCACCCTCCTACCACCTTCTACCCTCAAGTAGGCCACAGTCTCTTGTTCCCTTCTTTGTTCCCATGTGTGTTCAATGTTTAGTTCCCACTTACAAGTGAGAAGACACAGTATTTGGTTTTCTGTTCCTGCATTTACTCACATAGGATAATGGCCTCCAGCTCCAACCATGTCCCTGCAAAGGACATGATCTCATTCTTTTTTATGGCTCTGGCTCCATAGTATTCCATGTATATGTGTACCACATTTTCTTTATCCAGTCCATTGATGGGCATTTAGGTTGATTCCATGTCTGCTATTGTGAATAGCGCTGTGATAAACATATACATATGTATGTCTTTATGGTAGAATGATTTACATTCCTTTGGGTATATACCCAGTAATGGGATTGCTGGGTCAAATCATAATTCTGTTTTAAGTTCTTTGAGAAATTGCTGAGCTGCTTTCTACAATGGCTGAACTAATTTACATTCCCGCCAGCAGTGTATAAGCACTCCCTTTTCTCTACAACCTCACCAGCATCTGTTATTTTTTTAATTTTATAATAGCCATTCTGACTGGTGTGAGACAGTATCTCATTGTGGTTTTGATTTGCATTTCTCCAATGATTAGTGATGTTGAGTGTTTTTTCATATGCTTTTTTACCATGGGTATGTCTTCTTTTGAAAAGTGTCTGTTTTCATCCTTTGCCCACTTTTTAATGGGTTGTTTGTTGTTTGCTAATTTAAGTTCCTTATGTATTCTGGATATTAGGCCTTTGTTGGATTCAGAGTTTGCAAATATTTTCTCCCATTCTGCAGTTGTTTGTTGATAGTTTCTTTTGTTGTGCAGAAGCTCTTTAGTTTAATTAAGTCTCATTTGCCAATTTTTGTTTTTGTTGCAGTTGCTTTTGGCATCTTCATTATGAAATCTTTTTGAGAATAGTATTTTGTAGGTTGCCCTCCAGGGTTTTTATACCTTTAGGTTTTATATTTAAGTCTTTAATCCATCTTGAGTTGATTTTTGTATGGTATAAGAAAGGTGTGGTCCAGTCTGAATCTTCTGCATATAGTTAGCCAGTTATCCCAGCCCCATTTATTGAATAAGGAGTCCTTTCCCCACTGCTTGTTTTGTCAATTTTGTTAAAGATTAGGTGGTTGTAGCTGGGTGGCATTATTTCTGGACTCTCTATTCTGTTTCATTGGTCTACATGTCTGTTTCTGTACTAGTACCATGTTATTTTGGTAACTTTAGTCTTGTAGTATTGTTTGAAGTTCAGTCATGTGATGCCTCCAGCTTTGTTCTTTTTGCTTAGGATTGCCTTGGCTATTTGGGCTCTTTTTTGGTTCCACATGAATTTTAAAATAGTTTCTTTCTAATTCTGTGAAGAATGCCATTGGACTAGCAAGGACAGCCAGTCCAAGTCTCAAAACTGAAGAACTTGGAGTCCGATGTTTGAGGGCAGGAAGCATCCAGCATGGGAGAAAGATGTAGGCTGGGATGCTAGGCCACTCTTGCCTTTTCACATTTTTCTGCCTGCTTTATATTTGCTGACAGCTGATTAGATTGTGCCCATCAGATTAAGAGTGGGTCTGCCTTCCCCAGCCCACTGACTCAAATGTTAATCTCCTTTGGCAACACCCTCATAGACATACCCAGGATCAATACTTTGCATCCTTCAATCTAGTCAAGTTGACACTAAGTATTAACCATCGCAAGTCCACCCCTTGTCAACTTAAACCCATACACATCTCCTGAGATCATACATAATCTTCAAATAAAGACAATAATAAGGTCATAATTATGGCTAACATAATACAACTATCCTTTGTACAACCAGAAATGCACCATCCCCAACCCAAATACTATTAATATAAGGTTAACAATACTTAAATACTAATATGAAGTCAATAAATCTTATGTCACATGATAAAGGAAAAGGAAATAAAATGAAGATATTTTATTAGCACAAGTGTTTACATGCACAAATATGTTTTTAACAAAAGAAGGAGGAAATACTCATGACAGTTACAGTTCTCATTTCTGCAGCAGGTCACATAGTCGTAGCTGGTATTGATGACTACCTTCTTCTATTACCCATTCTATATTCCCTTTGCCTTCAGCAAGCACCTCAGCAGGTTGTGTTTTTTTCCTGGTGGAGTGACCCAAACCTTCATTCCTGAAGGGTCTGGACCATTTGGGGTCCCGCCTGGATTGGGCTGTTGTAGTTTCCCATTGACCTTAACCACAGGGCATGGTAATACTAAGAGCCACCCTAATGGATCTCCTGTATTCCGTGCATACTCTTCCTTACCTCTGTTATGGAGTAGTAGAGTGATTTCATCTTGATAGCCCAGGTCAATCACCCCAGCCAACACTGTAAGTCTCTTCTTAGCCTGTTGACTTAAAGGTAGGAGGAGCCCACAGTGGCCAGGTGACAATCTTTACTTCCAGTTTAATGGAATCATTGTTGTGTCTCCTGGTGTTAGCGTTCTTCCCTCTGGAACTAAGACCTCTAGGCCAGCAGAAGGTAATGTCTCAGGAACATGAAGCAAAAATTTTGCTAGTGTATCACTAGGGGTGATGGTGAGTGGTGCCACTTCCACTTCCACCACTTGATTCCTGGACCCGTGAATCCTAGCTATGGGAAAAACAGTGCCATATATTGGACACTGATTCAGAACATACATAGCCTTCTGGAGAACTTTGCCCTAGCCCTGCAAAGTGTTGTCACCTAGTTGGTGTTGTAATTGTGACTTCAAAAGGCCATTCCACTATTCTATCAATCCAGCTGCTCAGGATGTTGGGGAACATGGTAAGACAAGTGAATTTCATGAGCATGAGCCCACTGCCTCACTGCTTTAGCTGTAACGTGAGTGCCTTGGTCAGAGGTAATGCTGTGTGGAATACCATGATGGTGGATAAGGCATTCCATGAGTCCACAGATGGTAGTCTTGGCAGAAGTATTGCATGCAGAATAGGTAAACCCATATCTGGAGTAAGTGCCTATTCCAGTGAGGACAAACCTCTGCCCTTTCCATGATGGAAGAGGTCCAATATAATCAACCTGCCACCAGGTAGCTTGATGATCACCCCGAGGAATGGTGCCATATTGAGGACTCAGTGTTGGTCTCTGCTGCTGGCAAATTGGGCACTCAGCAGTGGCCATAGCCAGGTCAGCCTTGGTGAGTGGAAATCCATGTTGTTGAGCCCATGCGCAACCTCCATCCCTGCCACCATGGCCACTTTGTTCATGGGCCCATTGGGCAATGAAGAGGTGGCTGGGGAAAGAGGATGAGTGGTGTCCACAGAATGGGTCATCCTCTCTACTTGATTATTAAAATCCTCCTCTGCTGAGGTCACCCATTGCTGAGCACTCACATGGGATACAAATATCTTCACAGTTTTTGACCACTCAGAGAGGTCCATCTATATACCTCCTCCCCAAATTTCTTTGTCACCAATTTTCCAATCATGCTTCTTCCAAGTCCCTGACCATCCAGCCAAACCATTGGCTACAGCCCATGAATCAGTATATAATCGCACATCTGGCCATTTCTCCTTCCATGCAAAGTGCACAGTCAGGCGCACTGCTCGAAGTTCTCCCCACTGGAAAGTTTTCCCTTCACTGCTGTCCTTCAGGAATGTCCTAGAAAGGGGCTGTAGTGCTACAGCTGTCTGCTTTTGGGTGGTGCCTGCATATTGTGCAGAACCATCTGTGAACAATGCCCTAGTCTTCTCTTCCTCTGTCAACTGATCATAGGGAACTCCCCATGAGGCCATTGGTGCAGGCTGGGGAAGAGAAGGCAGGGTGGCAGGAGTGGAGAACATGGGCATTTGAGCCACTTCCTCATGTAACTTATTTGTGCCTTCAGGACACGCTTGAGCCCAGTCACACATATGCCACTTCCATTTTATGATGGAATGCTGCTTTGCATGACCCACTTTATGGCTAGATGGGTCAAAAAGCACCCAGTTCATGATAGGCAATTGAGGTCGCGTGGTGACTTAATGACCCACGGTCAAACGATCAGTTTCCACCAAAGCCCAGTAACAGGCCAAGAGCTGTCTCTCAAAAGGAGAGTAGTTATCTGCAGAAGATGGCAGGGCTTTGCTCCAAAATCCTAGAGTCCTCTGCTGTGATTCACCTATGGGGGCCTGCCAAAGACTCCAAACAGCATCCCTATCTGCCACTGATACCTCAAGCACCATTGGACCTGCTGTGTCATATGGCCCAAATGGCAGAGCAGCTTGCACAACAGCCTGGACCTGTTGCAGAGCCTTCCCTTGTTCTTGACCCCACTCAAAACTGGCAGCCTTTCAGGTTACTTGATAAATGGGCCGGAGTAACACACCCGAATGAGAAATGTGTTGCCTCCAAAAATGCAAATAGACCCACTAGGTATTGTGCCTCTTTCTTGGTTGTAGGAGGGGCCAAATGCACCAACTTATCCTTTACCTTAGAAGGAATATCTCAACAGGTCCCACACCACTGGACCCCTAGAAATTTTACTGAGGTAGCAGGTGCCTGGATTTTAGTTGGATTTATTTCCCATCCTCTGCCACACAAATGTCTCATCAATAAGTCCAGTGTGTTTGCTACTTCTTGCTCACTGGATCCAACCAGCATAATGTCATCAATGCAATGGACCAGTGTGATATCATGCAGAAGCAAAAAGTTACCAAGGTCTCTCTGAATAAGACTATGACACAAAGCTGGAGAGTTGATATACCCCTGAGGTAGGACAGTAAAGGTATATTGCTGGCCTTGCCAGCTGAAGGCAAATTGCTTCTGGAGGGCCTTATGGACAGGAATGGAGAAAAAGGCATTTCTTAATAAACGTGCTTTCACTTTATGGACTCATCCTGAATTCTTTTTTGTGAGAGGTCCAAGAACCCTCTCTTGGGGTTTGAATTGGGAGCTCTTTCCGGTAACCTCTATTCGACATAGTACTGAAAGTCTTTGCCAGAGTAACCATGCAAGATAAAGAAATAAAAGGCATCTAAATAGAAAGAGAGGAAGTCAAACTATCTCTGTTTGTAGATGATATGATTCTATATTGAGAAAACCCCATAAGCTCCTAGATCTGATGAAACAACTTCAGCAAAGTTTCAAGATACAAAATCAATGTACAAAAATGAGTAGCATTTCTATACACCAACAGTGTCCAAGTTGAGTCATGGGTATTTCCCTCTTTTGTTAAAAACATGTTTGTGCATGTACACAGTTGTACTAAGAAAATATCTTCATTTTATTCCCTTTATCATACAACATAAGATTTATTGGCTTCATATCAGCATTTAAGCATCGTTAACCTTACGTAATAGTATTTGAGCTGGGGATTGATGCATTTCTGGTTGTGTGAAGGATAGTTGTGATAGTTGTATTATGTTAGGCATAATTATGACCTTATTATTGTTTTTATTTGAAGATTATATATGACCTCAGGAGATGTGTATGGGTTCAAGTTGACAAGGGGTGGACTTGTGATGGTTAATACTGAGTGTCAACTTGATTGGATTGAAGGATGCAAAGTATTGATCCTGGGTGTGTCTGTGAGGGTGTTGCCAAAGGAGATTAACATTTGAGTCAGTGGGCTGGGGAAGGCAGACCCACCCTTAATCTGATGGGCACAATCTAATCAGCTGCCAGTGAATATAAAGCAAGCAAAAAAATATGAAAAGGTGAGACTGGCCTAGCCTCCCAGCCTACATCTTTCTCCCATGCTGAATGCTTCCTGTTCTCAAACATCAGACTCCAGGTTCTTCAGTTTTGAGACTCGGACTGGCCCTGCTTGCTCCTCAGGCTTGCAGACAGCCTACTGTGGAACTTTGGGATCATGTAAGTTAATACTTAATAAACTCCCCTTCATATAGATATATCTATCCTATCTGTTCTGTCCGTCTAGGGAACCCTAACTAATACAGATTTTGGTACCAGGAGTGGTTCTAGAGGAACAGAATATTAAGGATAGAGTTCTTTCATTGATTTTGGGGTTTCTGGAGTTGGCTGCTTAATATGATTAGACCAAAAAATGTTAAGGACTCTAATAGTATGGAGAACACTGATAGTTCTTGACATGAACTGTTCGGAGGCTTATGCAAAATAAATGCATTTGACACTCCTGATTCATCGCTTGTGAGAGGCAAGGAGTTTAGTGACTTTATACATAATACCTTTGACCACATGTGGAGAACCAAGGAACATAATGAAGCTGGTTGGTTGCTTCTAAGTTCAGTGGACAAAGTGATGAAAGAAAATGATGAACTCAGCCGGGTGCAGTGGCTCACACCTGTAATCCCAGCACTTTGGGAGGCTGAGGTGGGCAGATCACGAGGTCAGGAGCTTGAGACCAGCCTGGCCAATATGATGAAACCCGTCTCTACTAAAAATACAAAAAAATTAGCTGGGTGTGGTGGCACATGCCTGTAGTCCCAGCAACTCGGGAGGCTGAGACGGAAGAATTGCAAGAACCCGGGAGGCAGAGGTTGCAGTGAGCCGAGATCGCACCACTGCACTCCAGCCTCAAAAAAAAAAAAAAAGAAAGAAAGAAAGAAAAGAAAGAAAGAAAGAAAGAAAGAGAGAAAGAAAGAAAGAAAATGATGACCTCAGGGATTCTATCTCCTGGCTTCAGAAGCAGATACTGAGCCTCAAATCTGCTAAGATTGCCCTGAGTGAGAGTCTTATCTCCTGTAGAGAAAGAGCTGAAATTGTAGAAAAACAGACATAAGCTCTTATCATGTGAGTGGCTGACCTGCAACGAAAGGTGCATGCACAGCCTCGCCAGGCATCTACTGTTTAAGTGAGGGCATTGATTGGAAAATAATGGGACCCTGCAACTTGGAATGAGGAGGACCCTGAAGAAGCTGGGGACATTGAGTCTGATGAACCGTTTTTACCAGAAGAAACAGCTTCCCCATCCCCAGTAGTGGCTACATCCCCTCCCCGACCCATGCTGCCATCAGCCTTTTCACCTTTGTCTGAGGAGATAAACTCTCCCCTGCCTGAGGTAACAGTGATGGCCTCCCCTGAGTCAGTTGCCAGGCAAAATAATGTTGATTCTCCTTAGAAGCCACCCCCAACACCCCTGCTTGCTTCTAGACTTATAACTAAAGTCCTGGTAGGCCCCTAGAGGTGAGGTTGAGAGTGTTACTCATGAAGAGGTATGCTACACTCAAAAAGAACTGCTTGAGTTCTCTAATTTATATAAACAGAAATCCAGAGAACAGGAATGGGAAGGGTACAGGATAATGGTAGAAGGAACATAGAGTTGGATCAGGCTGAATTTATTGATTTGGGTTCACTTAGTAGGGACTCTGCATTTAATGTTGCAGCTTAGGGAGTTAAAAAAGGTTCTAATAGTTTATTTGCTTGGTTAGCTGAAATGTGGATGAGAAGATGGCCCACTGTGAGTGAACTGGAAATGCCTTATCTCCCTTGGTTTAATGTAGAGGAAGGGATCCAAAGGCTTAGGGAGATTGGGATGGTGGAGTGGATTAGTCACTTTAGTCCTACTCATCACAACTGGGAGGGTCCAGAAGATATACCCTTGACCAATGCTTTACAAAATAGATTTGTGAGGGCAGCACCTGCATCTTTGAAGAGGCCTGTAATTGCTCTTCTCTGTATGTCAGAGTGGGAACTGCAGTCACTCAACTACAAAATTTAAATACGATGGGAATAATTAGATCCCAATGTGGCAAGAGCCAAGTGGTGGCACTCAACTGTCAAAGGTAAGGTAGGCATAGCTACCGTAACGGACAGAAAAGACAAAGCAGCAATCAGAATAGTCTGACTTGTGTAGAGCTCCGGCTTTGGCTAATTAATCATGGTGTCCCCAGAAGTGAAATTGATAGGAAGTTTATTGCATTCCCACTTAATTTATATAAGCAGAAAATTTAGGTTGAATGGACAAAAGACTACTCTGAATTATAAAAACAGAGAACCATGGCTCCTCAATCAATTTCCAGACTTGAGCCAGTTTACAGACTCAGAACCCATTGAATGAAGGGAAGGCTGAGTCCCCTTGAGGAAGGACCCCGCTACATTACCAACAATTTATGGCTTGTATCTTTCTCCCATCCTTCCCCAAGAAGACCTCCAGCCTTTTACCAAGGTAACTATACATTGGGGAAAGGGAAATGGTCAGACATCTCGGGGACTACTGGACAGTGGCTCTGAGCTGATGTTGATTCCAGGGGACCCAAAATGTAATTGTCCTCCAGTTAAAGTAGGGACTTACGGAGGTCAGGTAATTAATGAGTTTTAGCTCAGTTCTGACTTATAGTGGGCCCAGTGGGTCTCCAGACTCATCCTGGGTCATTTTCCCAGTGCCAGAATGCCTAATTGGCATAGAAATACTTAGCAGCTGGCAGAACCCCCACATTGGCTCCCTGACTGGTAGTGTGAGGTCTACTATGGTGGTAAGGCCAAATGGAAGCCATTAGAGCTGCCTTTACCTAGAAAAATAGCAAACTAATTATGCCTAACATAATACAACTATCACAACTATCCTTCACACAACCAGAAATGAATCAATCCCCAGCTCAAATACTATTAGATAAGGTTAAGGACACTTAAATGCTGATATGAAGTCAATAAATCTTATGTTGTATGATAAAGGGAATAAAATGAAGATATTTTCTTAGTACAACTGTGTACATGCACAAACATGTTTTTAACAAAAGAGGGAAATATCCATGACTCAACTTGGACTCTGTTGGTATATAGAAATGCTACTCATTTTTGTACATTGATTTTGTATCTTGAAACTTTGCTGAAGTTGTTTCATCAGATCTAGGAGCTTATGGGGTTTTCTCAATATAGAATCATATCATCTACAAACAGAGATAGTTTGACTTCCTCTCTTTCTATTTAGATGCCTTTTATTTCTTTATCTTGCATGGTTACTCTAGCAAAGACTTTCAGTACTATGTCGAATAGAGGTTACCGGAAAGAGCTCCCAATTCAAACCCCAAGAGAGGGTTCTTGGACCTCTCACAAAAAAGAATTCAGGATGAGTCCATAAAGTGAAAGCACATTTATTAAGAAAGTAAAGGAATAAAGAATGGCTATTCCATAAGCAGAGTCACCCCGAGGGCTGCTGATTGCCTATTTTTTATGGTTATTTATTAATTATATGCTAAATAAGGGGTGGATTATTTATGAGTTTTCCAGGAAATGCCTGGGCAATTCCTGGAACTGAGGGTTGGTTTCTCCCCTTTTTAGACCATGTAGGGTAACTTCCTGATCTTTTCATGACATTTGTAAACTGTCATGGTGCCGGTGGGAGTGACTTTTTGCATACTAATGTATTATAATTAACTTATAATAAGCAGTGAGGATGACCAGAGGTCACTTTCATCTCCGTTTTGGTTTTGGTGGGCTTTGGCCAGCTTCTTTACCACAGCCTGTTTTATCAGCAAGATCTTTATGACCTGTTTCTTGTGCCAACCGCCTATCTAATCCTGTGACTTAGAATGCCTAACCTCCTGGGAATGCAGCCCAGTAGGTCTCAGCCTTATTTTACCCAGCCTCTATTCAAGATGGAGTTGCTCTGGTTCAAACCCCTCGGACAGGCTGAGCCATCACTCAGCCAAAACCCTGTGGAAGGTCACTAATAACAGACTGGGCTGGGGCTGGATGGGATAATATGCAATGTCAGACCCCAGGATTCAGTGATGTTCTGATTCAAAATCTGGGCAAATCTAGTTTCTTAGCGAACTGACAGGTTGGCATGACCCTGTTTTTACAGACAAAAAAAACCGAGCTGCAGAAAAGTTTAGGTTGTCATTCACAGACTGAACCTGTTCTGTGAAGGTCTCAAGAGAGCCTTAAACTATTTTTGTATGTGTGTATTATGTATGTTTGTGTACATGTGTGTACATGTGAATGTGTATATGTATTATGCATGTGTATGTTATGCGGGTGTATGTGTTTACGTATGAAAGTGTATTATATATGTCTGTATATGTGTGTATGTATTATATGAGTGTATAGTATGTTGGTATGTATTTTGGGAATCAAAGAACCAAGAATATTACCCCAATTTTTTTGCTGTAATTCAGAGTACTTTTCAAATGTGAGCCAGCATCAGAATCATCTCACCTACAGGACATGCAAAAAATTGAATTGCTCCCTACGCCCTCGCAAGGTTTCTCTTTTAGTCGGTCTGCGGTGGAGCCAGAGAATATGCATTTTAAATGATTTCCCAGATGATATGATGCCAGGTACCCCATTTTAAGAACCCCCACTATATTTGTTATAAACCTTCTGCCTAAAGAGCCTATATCTTATCCATTTCCTCACTCTGTTTAAAAGATTAGAAGGACTAAAATCTAATTGAAAAGCTGGGAAAATACTTTTAAATAGTTAAAATTTGCATTTTCTATTATCTGAACAGGAATAAAAATTAGCAATTCTATTTGACAGACATAATCTGTTCTATTTATAACTATGTAATTATACAAGCAATAACTCTTCCTATTAAAATTCCCAGTGGTATATGTGTTTACTCTCATTCTGAGCAGGTCAACTGGGATTAAGCCGTCCTGACCCAATCCACACACACACAACCACCAACGAACAGAGGACTCATAATTCATGTCACTAAATTGATTTAAAAGCTGGAGAAAGGACTTTAATGTTTACCTAAATGCTTTGCATAACCCCAAAGAGTCACGTTGGTGATTTAAATGAGTTTTATATTATAGAGCTACAGGATGAGTAGAGTTTCCATGGGAGAAGTACTCATTCTCCCCACTCTTTCTAGCTCACATATTTATATGGGTGAAAATGTAGAGCTTTTGGTGCATCAAGAGTCTTAAAATTATTAATGATATAGACAGGCTTTTATGAACTAATGTTAAATGGAAAAAGAAAATTGTACACTCAGTATGATTCTAAGCAAGTTAAAATATCCAGTGTACAGAAGATATGGCTTCCTATATAGATGTTCATGTTTTCTCTAATAAGTAAAAATCATAGTCACTGCCACTCAGAGCCTGCACTACATGCCAAGCCCTGCTCTAAGCATTTTCCGTATTATAGCTCATGCTGTCTTCATGGTGTTCCTGGAGGTAGGTGCATGTAGGGACACTGAGTCACAGAGCTGTAGGTAACTTGCCCAAGGTCCCGCAGTGGTAGCCCAGGCCCCACATTCTTGCTGTCACCAGCCTCTTTTTAATGTGGCTAACTGTAAAGATGCAAGTATGCTGGCCAGGTGTGGGGGCTCACGCCTGTAATCTCCATGGGGACTTTTCTCTGAGACAGGTAACAGAGGCAGGAAAGGCCTTCTTAGCCTCTTGGCCCAAGGACAGGGGATCCTTCACACCAGAACAGCACTGTGCAGGTGGTTACCTGCCCCCAGGAGACCCACACTCGGTTTTGGGATGGAGTAGCCTTAGCTCCACTTTGTGGGTCTGTAAGTTGAGGTCCAAAGAAACGGATATTGCCAAGGCCACACAGTGAGAAACCTGTGTTCTGATGCAAAGCTGCCATCGACGCACCCATGCTCTCATGTAGGTTCCGATGGATACATGCAAGCACATACATGCACACACGCCCAAACAGGCATACACACACACATGGTCTGGCAATCATAAGGAGGAGGACTCTTGTGAAGCCATATCCCCTCCTGATGGGTCTCCCCTGTCAAACGCACTCCCGCATCCCCAAGAGGCAACCCACTCCACTGTACCTTGGCAGTCTCCACTAGGTCTCAAATCTTTGCTCCAATATTTCTGTTCACAGTTGGTGGTGGCTGCTCTGGCCTTTGGGGTTCTTAGAGCCAGGGCCTTTTGTCCCCAGTTTTCTCCTGGGCTCTTGTGCACCTGTGGGGTGCACAGAAGGGCTGCTTCCTTGCTGATGTGGTACATTGTTTATCTTCTGCCTTCATTCCTATGAGAGGGGCTGTGGGGCTCTTCATCTTCATGGAGCCAGGTCCCGGCTACATCTGAGCCCTCCAGCAGCCTGGGTACTATCCTTTGGCCTTGGCTCAGGAGGCTTCTGGGATGGCTGGACTCAGATGGCTTCTGGTAAGACTCCTCATCTCTAAGGTTATGTTGTCAGCACAAATGAAGAAGGGGGTTCCTGGTGCTTCCTGGAGCAGGAAGGAGCATGATTTTGGGGGCTCCTAGTTGAACCCGCTTTCCAGGTTATTTACCAGTTATTGACATGTGGCCCTTGGTGAGTTCCATCGTGAGATGGGCCTTAGTTTCTCCACCTGTAAAGAGAGGGTTGATATACTATTATAGGATTAAAAGGAACTGCCTGTGTAATGCACCTAACAGGGCATGTATAGTCACAGCCCCTCCCGCCTGCTGATGCATCCGCTGCCTGAACATTCTCCAGGGGCTTAGGTTAACTGCATTATATATCTTTTAAATGAACTTTTCTGATTCTAAAATAGGAAACTAACACACAGTGCAGAAAATATTTTTTTAAAAATAGAGAACTATAAGAACATCAACAATGATACCCTCTTTTAATTTGAACTAATTTACTAATGAGACAGATATTTCTCTATCTACTTCTTACCCTTTAGTTTTTTTTTTGTTTTATGTAAGAATGTTTGCTGTGTTTTGTCTTTTGCCAAGACATGGTGTTTTAAAGGTGAATTTCAACAGAACTTTATGTATCTTAAGGATAGTAACATTTTATTTGTTGTTAAGATTGCAAATAATTTTCTGGTTTGTTATTTACATTTTAATTTTACTTGGTCTTTACTTTTAAAAAGATATTTACCATTTACCATAAAATTTATATTTACCATAAAATTCATCATTCGAAAGTATATAATTCAGTGATTTTTAGTATATTTACAAGATTTTGCAATCACCACTAATTCCATACTATTTTCATCACCCCAAAAAGAAACTCTGTACCCATTAGCAGTCATTCTCTGTTCTCCCCAGCCCCCAGGTCCTGGCAACCAGTAATCTGCTGTCTGTCTATGGATTTTTCTGTTCTGGACATTCATATAAGTTGAATTATATGTTCTGTGGTCTTTTGCGTCTGGTTTCTTTCATTTAGCATATGATTTTCAAAGTTTGTCTGGCTTGTAGCAAGTGAGGGTATTTCATTACTTTTTCTGCCTGAATAATATTCCATCATATGGATATAACACATTTTATTTATCCTTCCATCAGTTTATGGGCATTTGGATTACTTCCACTTTCTGGCTATTGTGATTAATGCTTTTATGAACATGTGTATACAACTTTCTGCCTGAACTTATGTTTTTGATTCTTGTGAGCACATACCCAGGAGTGGAATGGCTGGGTCCTCTGGCAACTGTATATTTAATATTTTCAGCAACAGCCAAAGTGTTTTCGAAAGTGGGTTCACTATTTCACATTCCCACCAGCAGTATATAGGGGTTTCAATTTTCCATATTCCCACCAACACTTGTCATTGTCTTTTTTATTATAGCCATCCCAGTAGGTGTGAAATCTTATCTCATTGTGCTTTTTATTTGAGTTTTCCTAATCACTAATGATAATGAGCATCTTTTCATGTGCCTAGTGGCCATTTGCATACATTATTTGGAAAATTGTTAATTAAAATCCTTTTTTAGTCCAGATGTGGTGGCTCATGGTTGTAATCCCAGCACTTCGGGAGTTTGAGGTGGGTGGATTACTCAAGCCAGGAGTTTGAGGCCAGCCTGGACAATGTGGAGAAACCCCATCCTACAAAAAATACAGAAATTAGCCAGTCTCGTAATCCAATCTCAAAATAAATAAATAAATAGATAAAAATAAAAAATACAAACAATGCTGTATTCTGTTAATTTTTAAAAAAATCCTTTTTAGCTGGGTTGTTTAAATTGTTGAGTTGTAAGAGCTCTTTGTATATTTTGGATACTAGACAATTATCAGATATATGATTTGCAAATAATTTCTCCCATTCTGTGGACTTTCATTTTCTTAATAATGTCCTTTGTGGCACAAAAGTTTTAAATTTTGATGTAGTTCAAATTACATATTTGTTCTTTGGTAATTTGTGCTTTAGGTGGCATAAATAAGAAACTGTTGTCTAATTCAAGGTCACAAAGACTTACATCTGTATTTTCTTCTTAAAGCTTTATAGTTTTAGCTCTTACATGTAGGTGTTTGATCCATTTGAATTAATATTTGTGTATGGTGTAAGGTAAGGCTCAAAATTCATTCTTTTTCATGTGGATATTCAGTTGTTCCAGTGTCATTTATTGAAAAGACTATTCTTTCCCCTACTGAACTACCTTGACACCCTTGTTGAAATCGATTAACCATAACCATGTGGGTCTATTTCTGGACTCTCAGCTCTATCCCATTGATGTATATATGTGTCCTTATGCCAGTGCCATACTGGCCTTATTATCACAGGTTTGTAGTAACTTTTTGAAATCTGGAACTATAAGTCTTGTAACTTTGTTTCTCTTTTTAAGGTGTTAGGGCTATTTTGGATCCTTGTATTATTGTATAAACTTTCAGGTAAGTTTGTTGATTTCTCCATTGGAATTTTGCTAGGGACTGCATCAAATCTGTAGATAATTCAGAGTATTGGCATTTTAACAATAATATGACTTCCAACTCATGAACACAGAATGCCTTCCCATTCCCATTTATTTACATTGATTTTGTATATTGATTTTATATCCTACAAATGTGCTCATCTTGTTATTAGCTCTATTAGTTTGTGTGTGTGTGTGTCTATGTGTGTGTTTCTTTCTTAGGATTTTCTACATACAAGATCATAGTATCTACAAACAAAAAGTATGAAGAGTATAGTTTTACTTTTTTCTTTCTAATTTCAATGCATTTTATTTCTTTTATTGCTCAATTTCCCTGGCTAAAACTTCCAGTACAATGTTGAATAGAAGTGATAAGAGCACACGTTTTTGTTTTATTTCTGACCTTAGAGGAAAGCATTCATTGTTTCACCATTACATGTGACATTAGCTGTGGGTTTTTTCTTAGATGTCCTTTATCATATTGAGGAAGTTTCCTTTTATTCCTAGTTTGTTAAGTGCTTTATTATGAAAGGGTGTTGTATTTGGTTAAATGTTTTTTCTGTAATTATGAAATGATCATGTGTTTTTCTCTTGTGTTCTGTTAATGTGGTATATTATATTGCTTGATTTTCATATGTTGAACCATCCTTGCATTCCCGGGATAAATCCCACTTGGTCACGGTGCATCATCCTTTTTATAAGCTGTTAAATTAAGTTTGCTGGTATTTTGCTGAGGATTTTGCATCTTATTCCTAAGGAATATTGGTCTCTAGTTTTCTTTTTTCTGTCTGGTTTTGGTATCAGTGTAATAGTGGCCCATATAATAAATTAGAAATTGTTTTATCCTCTTCTATGTTTAGAAAAGCTCGCAATGTATGTGTGTTAATTTTTCCTTAAACATTCAATAGAATTCACCAGTGAAACCATCTGGCACCAGGCTTTTGTTTGTTGGAAGTTTTTTGATTACTAATTCCATTACTTTATTTGTTATAGATTTATTTAGATTTTCTTTTTCTTTTTGAGTCAATTTGTGTGTTTCTAGGAACTTGTTCATTTCATCCAGCTTAACTAATTTATTGGCCTGCAATTCTTGATTTTCATAAATTAAGTCTTTTTCTTCGTCATTGTAGCTAAAGGTTTGTCAGTTTGTTTATCTTTTCAAAGAACCAAATTTCAGTTTTAGTGATTCTATGTTTTTCTATTCTCTATTTCATTCAAATATTTATTATTTCCTTCCTTCTTCTTGCTCTGCATTTAGTTTGCTCTTCTTTTCTAGTTTATTAAGGTGGAATATTAGGGTGACGATTAATTTTATATATCAACTATCAACTTGGCTAGGCCACAGTACCCAGATAATTTGGTAAAACATTATTTTACATGTTTTTGCAAACATATTTTTTAGATGAGATTAACACTTAAATCCATAGGCCTTGAGTAAAGCACATTATCCTCCATAATGTAAGTGTGCCTCATCCAATCAGTTGAAGACCTTTAGGGGCAATTTAAAAAGCTGACCTCCCCCAAGAAGGAGAAATTCTGCCACCTTTGGATTTGAACTTCAATATCAACTCTTCCCTGGGTCCACCCTGCTGGTCCACCCTGGTCCACCCTGCAGATTTTGGACTTGCCAGCTCCCACAATCATGAGAGTTAATTGGATTAAATACATTTCTCTCTTTCTTTCTTTCTTTCTCCCTCTCTGTATGTATGTTTGTGTGCTTATGTGTATATGTACACACACACACACACACACACACACACACACATATACATATGCATATACATATATATACACACATCCTATTGGTTCTATTTCTCTGGAGAACCCTGAATGATACAGTTTGTTTATTAATTTTTTTAAGTATAGGCATTTACAGGTAGAGATTTCCCTCTAAGCAATGATTTCACAACATCCCATCAGTTTTGATATGTTGGATTTTCATTTTTATTCATGTCAAAGTATTTTCTAACTTCTCTTGTGATTTTTTTTACCTATTGTTTATTTAGGAATATGTCTAAATTTACACATATTTGTGAATTTCTCAAATTTCTTTCTCAGGTCAATTTCTAATTTTATTCCATTCTGGTCAGAAAACATATTTTGACCTCAATCCTTTAAAAATTATTGACAACTGTTTTACAGCTTAATATATGGTCTAGTCTAGAGATCATTTTATGTGCATATGAGAAGAATGTGTATTTTGCTCTTGTTGGATAAAGTGTCTTTACTTTTTAAGTAGCCAAATATGCACCTTCCTTTTTAATTTATTTTACCATTTTTATAACTAGAAATCTTTACCCATGGTGAGAATATGTAAATGTTTACCTCCGTGAATTTATCTTTTAACAATGACTTAATTGAAATATAGGTATATTTTCTCAGTGGGGCACCAAAGAACCCCCAAATACCTCCCAAGAATAAGAGTCCACATTAAACATCCACCAAACATGTCAAAGCCTAAAAAAGAAGCCAATGTGGTGACTACTCAATCTTCAGTAAGTTATTTAATGGATAATTAATCTCTTTCTTTTACTATGTCTTTGTATGTAGCAAGGTGAGGGAATTGTTTTGGAAGTTGTTAGACAGACATTATTAAAATTGGGGGTATAGCTTGTTTATTAGTTGTCTGGAGCCGTAGTAACAGTAACAAAGTATTGCAATCTGGGTGGCTTAAAAACAGAAAGTTGTCTCACAGTCCTGGATGCTAGAAGTCCAAGATCAAGTTGTTGGCAGGGCTGGTTCCTTTTGAGGTCATGAGGGAGCATATGTCCCAGGCCTCTCTCCAGCTTCTGATAGTCCATTGGCTTGTGACAACATCACTCCAATCCTCACACAACATTCTTCCCATGTGCACTTGCGTCCATATTTTCCCTTTTAATATGGACACCAATCATATTTGATTAGGGGCCCACCCTGATTGTGTATAACTAGTTAAGTATAAATTAATTACATCTGCAATAACCCTACTTTCAAATAAAGTCACATTATGAGGTACTGGAAATTAGGATATCAACATGTGAATTTGAGGGGTACACAATTTAGCTCATAACAGCTTGAATACTTTAGGAAAATGTGTAGACAGTAAGAATATGGATTGATTAATTTTTACTTATATAAACCCATGTAACCACCACTCAAATCAAGATAGCGAACATTCCCAGCACTCCAGCTGGCTCCCTCACATCCCTCCAGTTAATTCTTTCCCCAAAATAACCACTACTTTAGAGAGACTTTATTTTAAAAACCAAAGATCTATTTTTATTTTCCAATGTCTGTTTGAAACGATCTCACCAGGGCCCTGCATTCTCCCATTGCCCAGTCTTTCCTAAGCAAAACGTCCACTCCCAAGTCTGTCTGTTCTGTGACTAACGCCATAAGAGATATCAATGTTTTCAAGTCAATCAGGGGCTATTCTACCTGGATTCCCTGCTGGCACTGAGGCACTGTTCAAGTATCAGTCTTCATCTGGTGAATGTCTGGGTTAATAGAAAAGCCAAATTAACTGACACAGTGTTCCAGAGCCAATGCTTCCTATTACATTTCCCTCTGTACACCACCTCCAAGGACATTTCCAGTGACCAGGTAATGGGGCTGTTTTAAGAATGTGAGAGAATTTACTCCCATTTATCCTGAAGTATTTACTCATATTGGGCTCACACTATCATTTTTAATGCTTTTTGTTGTTGTTGTTCTCCAGTCTGTTTATTCTTGCTTTTTATAGATCTTCATAGCTGAATCATCCAAAACATAGAAAGAAATTCAGCAGCTATGATAGCAAATCTCTTGCCACCTCTTGAAGGGTCCTCAACTGTGCTCTGTGATCCACTGATGTGTCTAAAGACACTTCATCTGGTTAACTCAAAAGCTTCTCAAACTCGGTCAGCAAAATTTAAATCCCTGTGTGTCTCCCCTAAACTGTACAGTTTTGTTATAATTTGTTGTGTTGTGTTGTGTTGTGTTGTGTTTTGTCTTAGTCTAGTAAATCACTCCTCCACCTACTCAGTTACCCAAGAAAAAATCCTGGAAATTATGTTAATTGTTTCTCTTTTCCTAAATTCACTCATATACCTAACTATAGTACTCCATCTATATGACCTGCTGGTTCCCCCACTTCCAGGTGCAGACCCAAAAGGGAAATCATGCTCTGGGTTCCACCTGTCCTTTTGGCTTAACCTCCTCACTGACCACTACCCCCACCCCACTCTCCACCTGAGAAAGTCTCGGCTTATAAACTTCACCTTAGGGAGTTCTACATGGATGATCCCCTCCCCTAGATAAGTGGGCCCCATCCTCTGAGCCCAACTCACAGACACCCAGACTCTATTCCCAGAGTAGCTCCCGTTCAGTGGTCAAGAGTGTGGGCCATGCGGCTGTGCTGCCTGGCTCAAGACCCCTTCAACCCTTGTAGCCAAATGACCCTAAACAAGTCGATTGACTGTTCTGAGCCTTGACTTCTTGTCTTAGTCCATTTTGTGCTGCTGTAACAGAATACCACAGACTGGGTTTACTTAGAAAGAACAGAGGTTTATTTCTTATAGTTCTGGAGTCTGGGAAGTCCAAGTTTGAGGGGCAGCATATAATAAGGGCCTTCTTGCTGTGTTATAACATAGCAGAAAGCATCATATAGCAACAGAAAGCAAGAGATGAAACAGCCTCAAGCCCTTTTATAATCAGTGGACTCCCCATGACCAAAACACTTCCCACTGGGCCCCGTCTCCCAACACTGCTGCAATGAGGATTAAGTTTTCAACACTGGCTTTTGGGGGGACACATTTAAACCATAGCACTGCTACATCTGTAAAATGGGGTCATAATAGCCTACCTCAAAGGATCTTTATGAGGAATGATGTTTTCCTACACTAGAACAGCACCAGCAAATGGTTACTTAGAACAGCACTAGCAAATGGTCACTGCTCAATAGATAATAGTTGTTAATATTCTGTTACATCTTTCTATTAAACTGTTAACTATGGTGGAGCATCCTCCATTTAAATATCTTCATTTCCCATGAGGCTGTGACTTCTCTAAGAATAAGAACTGCTCTCTACCATCCCTCTAGGCAAAGATCCAAGACAAGGAAGGCATCCCTCTTGACCAGAAGAGGTTGATCTTTGCTGGGACACAGCTGGAAGATAGATGCACCCTGTCTGACTACAATATCCAGAAAGAGTCCACTCTGCAGTTGGTCCTGCACTTGAGGGGAGGTGTCTGAGTTTTTCCTTTCTTTTAAGCTTTCAAGAAGTCTCATTGCACTCAGTGCCTGATGCATTGTCAGCAAGAAGTAACCATAAAAGACTCCCCTATATTAATTCCATTATTCATATAAGATGGTTGAGTGAGCTAATTTTTTTTGCTTTGAATCTTGTAAACTGTAGATAAGAATGAAACAATGTGTGTGCTTGGCCTCACCCATCTTTCCACTGGACAGTCAAATGACGTGTGACTGTGTTGGCTCTGCAAGCTCCCATACCCCTAGCTGGACCAGAGAATCAGGCAGAAGTCATTTGGAGTCTAAGGATTGCTGCTTTGAATAAATGATCCACTAACTGCAGTGTTGATCTTCGTCTGAAGCTCGAGGCTGTAACTACAGATGGAAATTCTGATCGTTGCATTTGGAAGCCCAGCTCCAGCCCTATTCTGACATTCTTAGCTCCAAGACCCTGACTGGGGCTGTAATTTAGGCCTTGGGAGCCTCCGCTGAAAATGGGGTCACAAAATCTCGCCTCATTGAGGTAGGGCTTTGTAAGCAATTCATAAATATAATACAGAATTAGAATTCTTACTTAAAAGGAAAAACATTTAAGCTATAAAACATGGCCCTGACTTAGCCAGATGCATAAAATAGACTCGGGAACAATGATAAAGGGACTTTGTCCTTAAAGCTGGCCCTAAATTCCCTATGAAAAGATGTCTAAGGTTTTACTGAATGAATTGGAGAAGACCAGCAATGTTCCTTGAAGCTTTTCCTGTGTCTGTATGAGCCCTTGTAGTCCCCTGAAAGTTACCTGTCATGCTGACCCAGCAGCTCCTGTAGCTGATAGCCCCTGACCCTGAAGCCACCAGGCCTTGGTCCATTGTGGTCAGGAGATTCGCCCTGAACAAAATTTTCCTTACCCAAAACAGAGCCCCACCTTCTGCATGCCCCCCATTCTCACCTCCACCCCTGGAGCTAATTTTGCCTTAAAGAGTCAAACAGAACAAGGTGACTTGTCTTCTACCTGGCAAACTTTCCAGTGTTGGCCTGGGACAGCCGGAGCTCAAGGAGCAGCAGTGAGAGCGAGAGGAAGCCTCTGTGGTTTTTCTCCTGCCCCAAGTCCTCTCTCTCTCTTAGGCACACTCCTTCTCTTTTCTACCCTACCCTCTTTTTTGAGGGTAGAGCAAATTCCCATTTTGCGGAAATGTTCCCATTGGTAGTGCCCCTGTAGAAAGTACCTGATGGCAAGGCCCCTGCTATGGCTGCCCCACAGGGCCAAGCATGGTGTCACCTCTTCACCTTCACCAGAAGCAGAGCCTAATATTGCATTTGGGGTTCTAGTCCCAGCATCTAGTCCCAGCAGGCCATATTCATGTTCATAATCAGCTATATATGGGCTCATTCTATTTAATACAAAAAATAGTGACTGCCGGCATCCATCATGACTCAGAACTGAAGAAGCTTGGAGCTTAAAGATGGTGAAAGATGGGTTGCCTGTCTTTATGAGATATAGCTAAGCAGAAGTTTGCAAAATGTTTAAGACTGAGTCTGGCTTCCCTGAAAAGGTGACATTCAATTTGGGTTTTGAAGAATGAGTAGGAGTTTTTCCACTGAAAAGGGGCATTTTATGTGGAAGTGAATGTGAATATTTTGCTAGGGGAAAAAAAACAGAAGTATATGATTAAATAGAACATGGTAGAAATACCATAGCCTTTGGGAGTCAGCAGTTACTCTTTTTTTTTTTTTTTTTTGAGACAGAGTCTTCGTCTGTTGCCCAGTCTGGAGTGCAGTTACTTTTTTGAATTCTCTTTGAATTCTCAGTTAATCTCTTTGCTACTATACTCCCAAGCTGTAGAACAGGGAAATGATACTTCTTAACAGAGTAGATTTTTCACTGAATTAATACATATAAAATTTTAACTGTAAATTCTTATAAAGCCATTAGTTTAATAATGTGTTATGAGACATTCTGGATTCTAGTTCCTCTCACTGATAACACTTCTTTCTCCTTTGGAAACAGGCTTCTGACCATCAATTGGTTACTTCATTAATCAATTCATTCATTCCCCATTTTCTGATTTCTCCTATGTTAGCTTTTGGGATGCAAAGGTAAATGAGACTCAGTTCCTGGCCTCAGGGAGCTGCCAATCTAGCAAGGTTGTAAGTGTGAACAGACCATACCCATGTGAGCTAGCATGGCTTTGCATGATGAGCTTCTTAGCCAGTAGGTACCTGAGCCTTGTTCTGGGGTTGGTGAGATCCCCATTGAACTGTTGGAGTCTGTGGGTCTACTGGGGTGGGAGACTTTGGGCATCTGGGAGAGTTGAAAGCTAAAAATTGGTCTAATCAATAATAAATTCACTTTAGTAGCATTTATTGAGTAGGTGAGAAAATAGTATTTCATGTAGACTGGAATCATTAATAGGCAGCCAGAGGGAAAAAGTGACATTCTCTCTCTCTCTCTCAATCTCTCTCTCTCTCTCTCTCTCTCACACACACACACACACACACACACACATACACACACACACACTTAAATGACAATTATGGACTACCATGAATATAATGGAGATAACCTAGGCATCTAATAATCCTTTCTAAAGCAGGATTTGGTGCCTTAGCTTGTCTCTCTTCTCTATTATTATCTTAGTAAGGAAGGAGGGATGCATGCTTGCCTCCCATAGCAATACAAATGCCCTCTAACCTTAGTATTATAAAACAAGAGTGGTAGGCTAAAGATGGAGTTTAAGTCAATATCTGATCTGCCTCTTAGAAGCTGTGCGAGTTTTGGCAGCTCACTGAGGCTGGTACTTGGCCTTCCTACATCACTAGGTTGCCATGAAAAGTAAATCTGTTTCAGTTGAGATCTTCTGGTTGTAAGTTACAAGAAGCAACTCAAATTAAGTTGAGTAAAAAACAAAAGGGTAAAGGATTTCATTATCAGTTTCAAGGATATCTCATAGAAACCAAGAGCAAACGAGGAGCCAAGGTGCAGAAAGGAGCCACCTGGGGCACGGATGGCACCTGGGGGCCCACCCCAATTCAATGTGAGGAAGTTTCTAAGCTAATAGCCTATAACTAACTGTACATTACAGTCCACACCCTGACTGCACTTGTGAACACTCATACCTAACCTAACTACCTTACCTCTAACTGTGATTGAGTCCACCTTTCCATAATGAGAATCAGTCCAAGGTCACATCCACAGACAAAGCCCTACAGTCATTGCTCTGTGCCCTCTCTCTCTCTCTCTCTTTTTTTTTTTTTTTTTTTTTTTTTTGAAGTCTTGCTCTGTCACCCAGGCTGCAGTGGAATGGCTGCGATCTTGGCTCACTGCAGCCTCCACCTCCTGGGTTCAAGAGATTCTCATGCCTCAGCTTCCTAAGTAGCTGGGATTATAGGCACCCGCCACCTCGCCCGGCTAATTTTTTTTTTGTATTTTTAGTGGAGACGGGGTTTCACCGTGTTAGCCAGGATGGTCTCGATCTCCTGACCTCGTGATCCGCCCGCCTCGGCCTCCCAAAGTGTAAACAACACACTTCTAAAGTAATAATAGTCCAAAGAAAAAGTCTCAAGGGATATAAAAGCATATATGGAACTGAGTGAAAATAAAAAAAACCAACGTATCCATACCAACGGGACCCAGGGAAAACAGTGCTGAAAGAGAACTTCATAGCACTACACACATATTGATAAAGAGGAAAGTCTCAAATCAAGCACCTAAACTCCCACCTCAAGGAAAAGAAAAATAAATAAAGCCAAAGAAAGCAGAGAAGGGAAACTAGAAAAGAAAACAAGAGAAATTAATGAAATTAAAACCAGAAAAATAAGAGAGAAAATCAATGAAACAAAATTGGTTCTTTGAATAATTAGTAAAATTAACAAACCTCTAGGAAGACGGATGAAAACGGAAGACACAAATTATCCAAATTCGGAATGAAACAGAGGAGATCACCACAGATCTTGCAGCCTTCAATAAGAAAAGTAATATGTACTACACAGTACTATACATATGAATTTAAAAATGTAAATGAGGTGGATCTCAAAAACCAGAAACTACACAACCTATGCATTATAAAATAGATAATTTGGATAGCCCTGTAGCTATCAAGAAAATTGAAACTGTAATATAAAACTTCCCCGCAGAAGACATTTCCAGGCCCAGATAGTTTCATTGGAGAATTTTTCTAAATATTTAAAGAATTATCACCGATTTTACACAACCTTTTAAAGAAAATAGAAGAGGAATGAACTCTTTTCAGTTAATTTTATGAGGACAGAATTAACCTGATACCAAAACCAGATAATGACAGTCCCTTCCCCCCAAAAAACTAATAAATAAATAAATAAACGAATATCCCTCATGCATGTAGATGCAAAAAATCCTCAACAAAATATTACCAAACAGAACTCAGCAATATATTAAAAATATATACCTTATGACCAAGTGGAATTTAATCCAGATTGCCAACGATAGGTCAATATTTAAAAACTCAATCAATATAATCACCATATTAATAGGCTATTGAATAAAATCAAAAGATCATATTAATTAATGCAGAAAAAAGCATTTGACACCACTACTAGTTTCTATAAAACCTAAAAAAAAAACAGACTACAGAGGAACTTTTTTTTTTTTTTGAGGTGCAGTCTCGCTCTGTCGCCCAGGCTGGAGTGCAGTGGCACAATCTCAGCTCACTGCAAGCTCCACCTCCCAGGTTCAAGCCATTCTCCTGCCTCAGCTTCCTGAGTAGCTGGGACTACAGGCAACCGCCACCATGCCTGGCTTAATTTTTTTGTGTGTTTTTAGTAGAGACAGGGTTTCACTGTGTTAGCCAGGATGGTCTTGATCCCCTGACCTCATGATCCGCCTGCCTCAGCTTCCCAAACTGCTGGGATTAGAGGCACAGAGGAACTTTATCAACTTTTAAAAAATTTTCTCAACTTGATAAGGAAGGATTTATTTTAAAAAAAAAAGCCTAAAACTAACATTATACTTACTATGAAACAGTGAATGCTTTTCCGTTAAGGCCAGAACCGAAGATGAACCAAAGGTGTCTGCTCTCATCCCTTGTAGTCAACAAAGTGCTAGAGGTTCTACCTGGAGCAATAGGGTAAAAATGGCAAATGAAAAGCATGAAAATCAGAAAGCGAAAATAAAACTATCTCTATTCGCAGATGACATGATTGTCTATGTGGAAAATCCCAAGAATCTATGAAAAAACTTAGAAATTAATAAGTGATTTTAGTAACATGATAGAACACAATATCAACATGCAAAATCAATTGTACTTCTTTATGCTAGCAATGAACACATAGAAACCAGTTAAAAATACAATGCCCACTTATAATTGTTTTAAAATAAAATAGGTATGTATAAATGTAACAAAACATGTACAAAGCTTTTATGTTGAAAACTATAAAATTCTGGTGGAAGAAATTAAAGAAAACCTAAACAAATCAAGAGACATGCAATGTTTTGTATCGGAGAACTCAATATAGTAAAGATGTTACTCCTCCCCCAAGTGATATACAGGTTTAATGTAATTCTATCAAAATCTCAGCAAGACTTTCTAGATATGGACAAGATTATTCTAAAATTTACGCAGAAAGGCAAAAGGAACCAAAATAGATAAAACAATTTTGATAAAGAAAAATAAAGCATGAGGAATCACTCTTCCTGCTTTTAAGACTTATATAGCTACAGTAGTGAAGATGGTGTGGTCTTGGCAGAGAGACAGACACATAGATCTATGGATCAGAATAGAGAACCCAGAAATAGACCTACTCAAGTAGAGCCAACTAATTTTTGAGAAAGATGTAAAACCAATCGAGTGGAAGAAGGATAGTATTTTCGACAAATGCAGCTAAAGTAATTGTACACCCACAGGCAAAAAGATAAACCCTGACCTAAGTCTCACACTTTACACTCTATAAAATTAACACAATATGGATCCAGACTTAAATGCAAAATGTAAAACTATAAACCTTTTAGTAGAAAATCTTTAGGACCTATAGTTTGTTACAGAATTCTCAGACTTGACACTAAAAACACAATTCATTACAGAAAAATGATAAATTTAACTTAATAAAAATTAAAAACCTTAATTCTGTAGAAGACTCTGTCAGATGGATTAAAAGGTTATAAGCTGTGTAAAAAAAATGCAACCACGTATCTGACAGAAACTAGTATCTAGAACATATAAAAAAACTCTTAAAACTCAAGAGTAGAAAATGGACAAAAGATATGAAGAGGTAGGAAATCATGGAAGAGGATACTCCAAGGGTAAATAGGCACATATAAAGATGTTTGACATCTCTAGACACTAGAGGAAATGCAAATCAAAACCACAAGGAGATGTTGCTTTACACCTATTGGGATGGCTAAAATAAAAAATAATGATGATAACAGATGTTGACAAGGACGCAGACTGGATCTCTCATGACGCTGATAGGAAGGTAAAATAATAACAGCTACTCTGAAAAACAGTTTGGTAGTTTCTTTAAAAACTAAACATGCACTTAAAATACAACCCAGCAATCACACTCCTGGGTATTTATCCCAGAGAAATAAAAACTTAAGTTGACCCAAAAACCTGTACATGAATATCAGCTTTATTTGTAATAGCCAAACCCTGGAGACAACCAAAATGTCTTTCAACAGGTGACCAGTAAAATTAAATGTGGTTCATCTATTCCATGGAATATTACTCAGTAGTGAAAAAGTATGAAATAGTTTGGCAAGATCTTAGGGACATTGTGCTGAGTGAAAAAGCAACCCCAAAGATCACATTCTTCTATAATATATAATTACAGTGTATAATTATGTTACATATATATAATTCTCAAAATGACAAAATTATAGGGATCGGGAACAGATTAGTGGTTACCAAGGCTTAGGGAAGGTTGTGGGAAGGAGAGAGTAGCTGTGACTGTTAAAGGGATAGCACAGAAAGATCATCCCCATAATGGAATATTTCTATAATTTGATTGTGGTGACATTTACATGGACCTATACACGTGATATAGTGATACAGAACTATATGCACATGCGTTGTACCAATGTCAACTTCCTGGTTTTGATATTGCTCTACAGTCAGGTAGGATGCAACCAGGGAAACCAGCTGAAGGGTACAGGAGACCTCCCTGTACTATTTTTGCAACTTCTTGTCCATCCACAATTATTTCAAAGTAAAAAGTTTTTTAAAACCCAATACTGTACAACTTTTAAAAATAAAAGTATACTACTGGCTTCTGCAGCATGTGGATGTGTCTCAGAAGATTATATTGAGCAAAAGAAGTCAGGCATAAAGAGCACCTGCTGTATGCTTACATTACTGAGAACTCAAAGAACAATCACTACTAATCGATGGTGATATAAATCAAACAGCAGTTACCTTGGTTTTGGAGAGATGAAGGAACATGAATGAGACATAAAAAATAAAAATGTTCCATAGCTCTTCACTTGGGCTCTGATACAGTAGTACAGGGTATGTAGGTAAAAAGAATTAGTGAACTGTACACCTAAGACAAATGTGTGTATTCATTACATTAAAAATAAAAAGAAAGGAAAAATTCTTGTCTTGTTTTGTTAATTTCTTAACTGCCAGGACTGGACCTTCCCTGAGGGGCAGGTCATTCTTCCTACCCACCTGGAGCCATTTTTCTCTCTTCTAGGTCTTGATCTCAGTCCACAAATAGGGCAGAGGAACGGCTTTTTTATCTCTTCCCTTCTAGAATGTTCCCATGCTCCTATACAGTATTTCTGTGCTAATCATTTGTATTGCTATTTTTGAATCAAAAGCTTCACGATATTTGTCTAGACCAATGAATCTCAAATGTGGTTCCCCGCATCAGCAACATCTAGGAACTTGTTAGATATGCAGATCCTGGGCCACACCCCAGACCAACAGGAACAGGAAGTCTAAGGGTGGGCCCAGCAATCTGTTTTTTAACAGGCCCTCCAGGCCGTTCTGTGGTATACTGGGAAGGCCTCTGACCTCAAATCACTGTTGCAGATTGGGTCCCCAGGAAGCCAACTCTGAGGCAGGGTCAGCAATGGGAGGTGCTTTGCAGTGGCTTAGAAGTTGGGAGCCCCTTAGCATCTCCAGGTATTCCAGTGTGTGACCCTTCTAGTCACCAGGATCACCCATTTCCAGGTGCCTGCTGGAGCTTCATCTGCAGGAAAGGGTGAGCAGGGAGTTTGAAACTTTATCAGGGAACATTCTTAGATCTAGACATTGGCAGACCTTGTTTGATGGCTCTGCTTCCTCTGACTTCCTTCAATTGAGCAGCTTTGCCCTTGAGCTGGTTGGTGTCTTCTCCATTATGCTTTACTGAAGGCTGCAGGAAGAAACCAGCGCATTTTGCTGTCAAAGTGGCCTGAGTCCTTACTTTACCACCTTGTGGTAGAGGCTGAGAGCTTGTCAGGCTGTCCAGGAGGAATTCATAGGTCTCTCTACCTCTCTTAAGGTCTAGACTGTAGCCCCGGTCCTGAGAATGATTTCTGGCTTGGTTAAGAATTTTTTGGGCCAGGCACAATGGCTCATGCCTATAATCCCAACACTTTGGGAGGCTGAGTTGGGAGGATCACTTGAGCCCAGGAGTTCAAGACCAGCCTGGGGAATATATCAAGACCTCATCTCTTCAAAAAATAAAACAAATTAGCCAAGTGTGGTGGCACACACCTGTAGTCCCAGCTACCCAGAAGGCTGAGGCAGGAGAATAGTTTGAGCCCAAGAGGTTCAAGGCTGCAGCGAGCCATGATCACACCACTGCACTCCAGTGTAGACGACAGAGCAAGACCTTGTCTCCAAAAAGAATTTTTTTGGAAAGTTCTAAGTTATAGAATCCAATTTAAACAGGCTTAGGAGCAAAAGTGTTGAGGGCAGAAGTTATAGAGAGAGTGGGGTTTCTCAAGGAACTCAGGAGGAGACACTCAGCAACGCACTGGGGATGGACTGTAACCAGCAAGAAGAGGCAGCCAGAGCCCAAGGGACCTTCTTCCTCATTTCCATCTCTCAGTCCTTTTTCCCTTTGCACATGTGTTTCGCTCTTTTCTTTCTGCAACCCATATTTTTCTCTGCTTCTCAGGGTTTATGAAAGGTCTAAAGAAGACCACTCAGCCAAGAGTTTATATTTCTTTTAGGTTTACTGCAGTATCACTGTCTGGCTGCTGTAGACTCCCTGTCTCTTTCTCTACTCCCAGCAGAAACAATGAGATTGTACTTTTGGTCAGGTGCCACCCCTCCAAGTTATCCAACCAACTGCAGCTGGGATTGGGGTCAGGAAGCAAAATCTCTGGGGGTCCATCTTTCAGGATGATGAGGCAATTCTTAAAGAATTGGGGCAGGGCAGACAACCCACTCTTTACTGCCATATCCTGTAAAGATGCATGCAAATGTGCTTGGAGAGTTTTATGGCTCTCTAGTGCAATGTTTTCTTCTCATTAGAAATGATAGACTCAATTTTCTTCACTGGATCTCTGTGATGTCTAATTCATTTTGAAAGGGAAAGCAAAATTATTTAATTTTCAGGGGTTTCAGTGTGAAGGGTAAATTAAATAATAACATGGAGCACGTCATTTCTAGTCATTCTTTTGCCTTCGCCCCTCTCCCAGAAACCACTTTTCTTTTCCAGTCATTAGAGATTATTTCAAATTATCTTAAGAAGAAAAATGCTGCTCTAACAACTATAAATGGCTTATATTGTCGCTTTCAACCTTTTAAAAGATGTTATATTTTGCAAAAATTAAATTGCATCAGACTCAGAACCTCTGGGAACTGAGCAGGCAGACTCCTCCAATTAAGCCTCCTTCCCACATCTGCTGCAATATTTTGCCAATAAGTCATTCCAATCCAAATATAGTTCTGATTCTCGCAGCACTTTCTGTAGCAATTAAGTGTGTATTTTTTAACATCCCCATGTTGTATTTGGCACTTACTTCCCGCTGGCCTCCGCTCTGTGACCACCTGCAGTCTAATTCTGGCCTCCCCCTGCACTCTCCTCGGGCTCTAACATGGTTGCCTGCTTACCCTTGCCTTGCTTTGCAAATCTACAGCAAACAAAGAAAATCAGTGGCTTCTGTTCTTGGCCACCTGGGAGATAAAGCAATCATTCTCCGTACCCCATCTCCACTCATAAGGAGGGGAGTCACTACCTCTTTCCTAGACCTCCTTCTGTGGCCTCACACTAAATGTTCATCTGCCTACTCCAGAGCTCTGCCTAGAAAATGATGTCCATGGTGAGTTACACCTGCCAGGGGTTCTCAGTATCCTGCAAACGCTAGCTCAGTTTCTCCTCACAACATTCCAGGGAATGTTATCACTACCAGGTGCTGGTGCAGGTTGGGTGGCCCCTGAAGCTGCTTCTGAGATGGGGACTCATGTGCCAGTTGCTTTTGGCAGGGGGGAGATAACCTGGGGAGAAGAAAGGCAAGCAGGAGGGAGCAAGGGACCCATGCAACACCCCCAGGGCACCAGGGCCCCACAGGAAGCTAAAATCCACATGTCCCCATGGAGGTGTGTCACTTGGGCTGAGGGAACAGGTTGTCATCCCTGTATCAGTCAGTCACTGGATGTGGCATAGCATGGGACCACCACTGCCTCTGGCAAGCAGATGGCTGGGGCTAAGGTCATGCAGTGGGTGAGAAGAGAACCAGGTTTAACCTCACACTGTGGCTCTATATGCTCCCCTGGTGTCCCCTGCTACTTGTCCCACTCCTGCCACTACCCCCCTGAGCTATCAGACCATGTTTCCATGCTGCGGATGCACCTTCATCTCCCTTTCTCCACAAATCCTAACCAAATCCTATTGGGTTACACTTCCTGGACACGCTACCACCCACCATCCTGCCTCTTGCTCTGGTGTCATGGTCTCACCTTGCACACTCATCAACTCTCATCTGGACTAAGCAAATGACCCCCAAACACCCAGCCCTGCTTTGAGTTTCTCCCCTCCCTCCCTGCTGCTTCGTACCAGGTATCCTGAACTGCAGCTCAAAGCTCTGATTAGGCTTCTTCCCAGAAAAGTCCAGGGACTCCAACTGCCTAGACCTGTGAGCAAAACCCAGCTCCCTGGTCCGCTCTCTAACTTCATCCATCACTGATGCCATTCCTAAGCATGGGCCTTATGGGCAATCCACTGTTCAGATGCCTCTTCCCACAGCTCCCTCCCCATGGAGAGTGCCTGTTATCCACCCTGCTGGCCTCTTCTCTAGAATATCACTCAGAGGCTACAAGTCAGGAGAAGAGGCCATTGCAGAGGAAGCTCAGGCCTTGGAAATATTGCAGTGCATCCCAGGGTAGCTGGAATAGGAAAAAGAGATGGAGTTATAAAAAGAAGAAAATTATTCAGAAGGGAGAAGAGAAAAACACACTATAATAATTGACAGATAAATGCAACAACCTGCCTTTCATTACCTTGCTACACTCATTTTACCTTAGTTAAATGGGTTAAGGAATCTAAGATCAAATTTCTAAGAAAAGGTGAAGTATTGACTAATATTTCTTACCTATTACAGGGGTTGGACAGTGTCTCCCCAAAATTTATGTCCACTCAGTACCTCAGAACATGAACTAATTTGGAAATCAAGTCTTTGCAGACATAATTAGTTAAGGACCAGTATAAGGACTGGTGTCCTTATAAGAGGTGGGAAATTTGGACTCAGGCACACAGGGAGGAGGAGACCATGTGACGACAGAGGCAGAGGTTGGAGCGATGCAGCCACAAGCCAAGAAACACTTGGAGCCATCAGAAGCTGAAAGAGGCAAGAAAGATCCTCCCCTAGAGCCTCTGGAGAAAGCACTGTCCTGCCCAGACCTTGATTCCAGACTTTGGCCTCCAGATTTGTGAGAGAGTTAATTTCTGTTGTTCTAAGCCACTAAGTCTGTGGAAATTTGCTATGGCAGCCCTAGCAAACTCATACATCTGCATATCAAGAATTGCCATAAGACAAATAATGCATGAGCATTGACTCAAAATAGGCTAGGCCCAGGTCTAGATTTGACAAAACATCTCACGAGACACATAGCAGCCCCACATAAGACGTCTTAGCTTTAAAAGAGGCACTGCAGGCATGCTGAAGATGGCACCCCACACAAGGCAGGCAGCTTTGAAGAACTCAGGGTATCTGGAGTGGAGGTCCAGACTCCTCCAGTGTCAGGGACTTGGCCAGTGCCAGCCATGGAGGCTGAACTGGCGTCAGCCACACCCTGCATCCCTTGCACACCCTTATTCTGGGCATGCGTTGTGTCATTGGATGAATATTTGTGTTCCTCTCCTTCAAAATCCATACATTGAAGCTCCAGTTCCCACTGTGATGGCATTGGGAGATGGGACCTTTGAGAGGTGACCAGCTGTAAATGAGGACATGAGGATGGAATATTTATGGGTTAGCATTCCTATGAGAAAAGGAAAAGACACCAGAGCTTGCTCTCTCCACCATGTGGACACAGCGAGAAGGCGGCTGTCTGCAAGCCAGAAAGAGAGCCCTCCCCAGGAATCGAATCTGCCCACACCTTGATCTGGGATCCATCCTCCAGAACTGTTAGAAGTAAACATCTGTTGGTTAAGCCCCCCAGTCTGTGGTGTTTTGTTCTGACAGCCCAAACAAACTGAGACACACCACAGTCCTCCTGGAGGTCTCAACCAAATGGCATCCTGGGCAGAGCAGCTGCAGCCAATTGTCAGGCTCTCATGAGGGGCAGTGCAATGGGTGCACTTGATTCAGCACTCCATGGCAAACCTCTCACATCCAGCATAACCTTCTGTATTGTAGACAGCAATGTTCTAGGAAAGGACATGCAGTTAGTTACGCATGGTCTGGAGCAAGCATTCATACCAACTGTTGGCATTTTCCTTGCACTATGAATTTTCTAACTTTTTTTTCTTTTGTGGTTATTTCTGAAACAAGCCTGACTTTATCCACTCTAAAGATAGTTAAAAAAGAAATAAATTGCGATGATGGCTAGTATTGCTTATTACCTTTTGAAGTGTTAAGAATATGTAAATTAGGTTGATGATATTGCAATCATTTTTATGAATGGACTTCTCAATTACCTTCTCTACAGATTTTCATATAAATTGTTCTTTTGGTATTGAAACTTCTCTAAAGAAAAATGTACATTTTGGGATTATTCTACATGTCCTCTTAGTAACAAATAGACTTACCAGGTTTAAGTACAAAATTTTGTCCTAATGATTTTTTAAAAATTATTATTGTAAATATAACAGTTCTTCTTCTGTTCCTATTCACATCTCATTTTGCCTTCTCCTTCTCCTCTCCCAAGACAGGAAAAATTATTTTATCTTTCAAAGAGGAAGAATGTTAGAATTATTTTCCATTTACCTGTGTTTCACTTAAAAAAAAAAAAATAGGGTCAGGTGCACTGGCTCACTCCTTTAATCCCAGTATTTTGAGAGGCTCAGATGGAAGAATCACTTGAGCCCAGGAGTTCAAGGCCAGCCTGGGAAACATAGCAAGACCCCTATCTCTACGAAAAATGAAAACCAAAAATTCTCCAGGCATGGTGGTATATGCCTGTAGTCCCAGTTACTCAGGAGGCTAACGTGGAAAAATCACTTGAGCCCAGGAAGCCAAGACTGCAGTGAGCTGTGATTGTATCACTGCACTCCAGCCTGGGTGACAGAGAGAGATCCTATCTCAAAAAAAATAATAAATTAAATAAATAATATATAAGTAAAATCAAACTCAATATCTATTTTTAATTTTCAAAAACGTTCTTGAACTAATAGTAGAAGAAAAGCATTGCTTAACATAATAAATAATCCATTTCAAATGAGCATCTAACATTTTCCTTCATAGTGACTGACACATTGGAGACATTTTTATTAAAATCAGCAATAAGATAAGAATATTTGCTACCACTAATAAATTTTGAACTTTCCCTGGGCATTCTAACTAATGCAGTATAAAAACAGGGGTGGGGTGAAGTAGAAACATTGTAAAGGAGGAATCAAAAATTTTACAAATGATATGAGGCTAACTTAGAAAATGCTTGCTTTGGGTTTATTTTGCTCTTTTTTTTCTACTTTCCTAATGTGGAAGATTAGGCAGGGCCTCATTCTGTCACCCAGGCTAGAGTGCAGTGATACAATCATGGCTCACTGCAACCTCAAACTCCTGGGCTCATGCAATCCTCCCACCTTAGCCTCCCAGGTAGCTGGGGCTACAGGGGTGCACCACCATACACAGTTAATTTTTTTATTTGTGATCCTTCTGCTTCAGCCTCCCAAAGTGCTAGGGTTACATGTGTGAGCTAACACCATCTGAGTTCTTTTTTTAATATAATCATTTAATCATATAAATTTCCCTCCAAGCACTGATTTAGCTGCCTCCTACAAATTTTAATGTTTTAATTTTTGGTCAGTTTAAAATATTTTCCTGTTTCCTTTGAGACTTTCTCTTTGACTAATGGATGATTTAGAAGTACATTGTTTAATTTCCAAGTATTTGGAGACTTTCCTCTTTTATTTCTGTTTTTTATTTCTAGTTTAATATCATTATATACAGAAAACATTCTTTGTATGATTTCAATTCTCTTAAATTCATTAAGGTTCAATTTTGACCCAGGATATGATTTTTTGTGGTGAATGTTTCATGGACACTGGAAAAGATGATGTATTCTTCTATTTTGTTTTTCTGTTTTGTTTTCTTTTTCTTTTTCTTTTTTTGAGACTGGGTCTCACTCTTGTCATCTCCACTGAAGAGCAGTGGCATGATCATAGCTCACTGCAGCCTCAAACTCCTGGGCTCAAACAATCCTCCCACCTTAGCCTCCCAAGCAGCTGAGATTACAGGTATAAGCCACTGCACTCAGCTCCTATTCTGTTTTGTAACAGAGTGTTTTATATATCAATTAGATGCCATTGGTTGATTATGTTGTTCAATTCTTTTATATTGCTGATTTTCTATTTGTTTTATAAGTTACTGAGACAGGAAGGTTGGAATCTCCAGCTGTAATTGTGAGGTTATTTATTTCTCATTTTTCTCCATATATTTTTAATTTCTGTAATTTTTTAAAATGCATGCTCATTTAGGATTGCTATGTTTTCTTGGTAAATTTACCCTTTTTTATCACTATGTAATGCCACTCTTTGTCTTCAGTAATATGTTTGCTCTGTCTGAAAATAATATAGCCACTACATTTTTCCTAATTGAAGTTTTTATATGATATTCTTTCCAGCCTTCCACTTCAGACTTAAATATACCATAGTATTTGAAGTCAGTTCCTTCCAGACAGCAGACAGTTAGGTCACTTTAAAAAATTCATTCTGACATTCTCTGTCAACTTAATTGCTGTGTTTAGGCCACTTACATTTAATGTAATTATTGCTAGGTTTGAATTTAATTCTACTTTTTATTTCTTGTTTTATGTTTGTTTCTTGTGTTTTCATCCTTCTGTTTCCCTTTTCCTCCTTATGTAGATTATTTAAACTTTTTTTTTTGAGACAGGGTCTCATTCTTGCCCAAGCTGGAGTTCAGTGGCATGATCATAGCTCACTACAGCCTCAACTTCCTGAGCTCAAGTGATTCTACCACTTTAGCCTCTCGAGTAGCTGGGACTACAGGTGAGTGTCACCATGCTCAGCTAATTTTTTGTTTTTTAAGTAGAGACTGGGTTTTGCCATGTTGCCCAGGCTGGTCTCAAACTCCTGGGCTCAAACAATCTGCCTGCCTCAGCCTCCGAAAGTGCTGGGATTATAGTCATGAACCACCATGCCCAGCTTATTTGAACGTTTTTAATAATCCATTATCTGCTGTGGTTTTGATTATATCTGTTTGTGTATTTTTGTAGCAATTGTTTTTAGGATTACAATATGCATATTTAACTTTTCCCAGTTCACTTAGAATCCACATTTTACTACTTCATTTGGAATACAGAATCTTTATCATGATAGAAACCTGTTTGTCTTCCCCCTGTATATTGTTGTCTTATAAATTACATCTACACACTTTGACAACCCCATCTAGCAATGTTATAATTTTTGATCTTCATTGTCAATACATTTTAATGGATTCAAGAGAAAAATAAGCTATTATATTGACCCAGATATAAACGATTTATGTTGCTCTTCCTCCTTTTTTTTTTTTTTTTTTTTGAGACAGGGTCTTGTTCTGGGTCCAGTCACCCAGGGTGGATTGCAGTGGCACAATCTTGGCTCCCTGCAGCCTTGACCTCCCAGGTTCAAGCGATCCTCTCACTGCTGACTCCTAAGTAGTTGGGACTATAGTCATGTGCCACCACACCTGGCTAATTTTTGCATTTTTTGTAGAGGTGGGGTTTTGCCACTTTGCCAGGCTGGTCTTGAACTGCTAAACTCAAGCAATCCACCTGCTTTGGCCTCCCAAAGTATAGGCGTGAGCCACCATGCCTGGTCCCTCCATTTCTGATGTTTTATTTCCCTCTAGTAACTTTCCCGCTCTTTGTAAATAACTTTCTTTGGCAATTCTACTAGAATGGGTCTGTTGGCATGTAGCTCTCTTAGATTCCCTTCATTAGAGAGTGTCTTTATTTCACTTTCGTTCCTGAAGGATATTCTCTTTTTAGATGCAGAATTATGGATTGACTGTTCTTTTCTTTCAAAACTGTTTTTCCAACTTATTTCTGGTCTCCATGATTTTGGTGGGAATCTATATCATTTAAACCATTGTTTTCCTGTAGGTACTGCATCATTTTTCAACAAGTGTTTTCAGAAATTTTTTGTCTTTAGTGTCTCTATGATATGTCTTTGCTGTGTTTCTGTGGGCTTATTTTGTTTGCAGTTTGCTTTACTTAAATCTGTAGGTTGAGATCTTTTACCATATTTTAAATGTTTACAGCTATTATATATTCAAATACATTTTCTGCAACACCCTCTTTCTTCTCCCCTACTGGGAACACCAAGACACAAATGTTAGACCTTGTAGCATTATCCCACAGGTCACTGAGGTTCTGGTACTATCTTCTTTTTCAGTCTTTTTTCTCTATGGTGTTAGAAATTGACTCCTCTCTCATTTCTACTCTGCTATCGAGGGCATTTTTTTTATTTTTGTTACTGTATTTTTCAGGTTTACAATTCCCATTCAGTTCTCCTTTTTATGTTTTATTACTTTTCCGAGATTTTCTATCCTTCCATGTGTTTCAAGATTGCTTATTGTTACTTCTTAGAGCATTTTAATAGTAGCAGTTTTCAACTCTGTTTGATAATACCAAAAATTGATTTTTGTAGCAATGTCATTTTGGCATTGGCTTCTATTGATTGTCTTTTCATACACAAATTGATATGTTTCTGGTTCTTTGTGTGCAGAGTAATTTTGGAGTGTATCCTGAACATGTGGAATTAGGTTAGGTTCAGGCCACAAGTTCCAACTTGCTTCAGTAAGTAATGGTGTTGGCGTCAGTTACATTTTCAAAGCTTCTGTGGTGCTATTTAGATCTGTCCCACCTGTGTGCCATCCACTGGCCAGGCTAGGTTCTGGGCACTGGTTTATCCCATATTTCAGGTCTCAGAATCTTCAGCATGTTGTTTAGAGTCAGGTCCATGTATGCACAGCATGGGAGTAAACACAGGAGTTCACAAAATTCACAAACAATTTTATGGATCCCTACCTATTTGTGAACTCCCTGGTACTTTCTGATTCCCTGTTGATATCACTTTGGAACCTGGTGCTATGGTTACTCTGCTCTGCCACGCACTTCTTATGACATCTCGGGTCAAGTGGTGGAAGGCCAAAGAGAGAAGAGGTAGCAGGAGTTTGCCCCACTCTCTTGGGACACCAGCTCCTCTTATTTGGGAGGGAGTTTTCTTTCTGTAGGGTTTTAAACACCTGGGAACCCTGTTGCTCTTGCTGTCACCATAGCTGCTGCTATGGTGGTTGTCCTTCCTACCACTTCTGACACTGGAAGATTGACTGGGGTTGGAGCACGGGAGAATAGAAAAAAGGAAAGGAAAATGGTAGAAAGATTTCACCCACTCTTTCTGAGTGTTACAGTCTCCTTTTCCATTCTTCAAGTCGGAGTTAGAGGGCTTCTCCTGAAGGTCTCCCTGCTCATGTCAGTGCCCACTTCTGGTGTTTGGGCTGCCTTGAATTTAGCTTGGGGATAGCAAGGAAGAAAATAGAACAGGAACCTATCACTGGTTTAGTGGTACTTCAAATTCTCATCTACTTCCCTATCCATCTGCTATTATTTGCTTTACAGGGTTCTTGTCACTGCTCCATGCACTCTGTCCAGGATTCCAGCTGCATTCAGTGGAAGAGACAACCAGAGTATGCTTCCTCCACTTACCTATAACTGGAACACAACTTTTTTTTCATTATTTTTACATTTGAATCTTTATCCCTATGAAATCTGTAGTGATGTTGTAAGACATGGATTCCAACTGTATAATATGGCTAGCCCATGTTCCAACACAATTTACTATACAGTTTATCTTTTCCCACATGCTGTTCCTTGGATTAATTTCACATGTAAGTTTAATCAATTCAAAGAAAATGACACTGAGATTTTTTAAGTTGTTAGCAAGGTCGTCTAAAAGTTTGCTAGGAAAACAATAAGTAATTGAGTTGACCAATGAAATTTTTTAGAAAGAGGAGTGATGGTATGTGGGGTGGGTTGCCTTCCATAATATATAAAGATATAATCATTTAATCAATGAATGGATGGGCTACTAGTGTGATCACAGACAGATCAAAGAAGCAGAAGAGAAAATAGAACAGAGAAGATCTAAATATACACCTACCTTCCAAAGCACAAAGGAAAAGGCAGTATGTGTTTATGTGTGGCAGTGTGGTGGTACTGGGAAGATTTTATTTGTGTGTTGGCAAGGAAGTTCCAAAAATGACAAGGAAAGTGACCTAAGAAGCCAAACATACCTGTATATGCTCAGCATTAAAGTACAGTGATATGGATACACATGATTAATAATCTGCAAGACACAGAATTGGGCTAGCAAAGAAACAAAGAAATTGGGGCTGGGCCAGGTCCTCTAGAAGACCACACCTACTTGGATTACTCTCTGTTAAAGACAGCCATTTGTCCTCCAAATCCAAAATCTCTGCCAGAGGTTGAGGGTAGATGAATGTGTCTTTGCTCAAACAAGAGGAAATTCAAAATAAGATTGATAACCAGGGACAGGAAAACTGCTTTCCCCAGTTGAAGTGTCAAGAAGGGGTGGGGTGGGACATGTTTAATAACAACATGGGAAAGATAAGCACAGAAAATTAACAAGACAATCAATTGCTAATCAAAAATCAAAACACAAAAATCCTCACTATTTTCTGCTTTTTATGGAGACCCCTTCTACATTTGACTCTTGTGAAAATTACCTCCAAGAAACTGCTGGCTGCATTCCAGGGCTTTAATCACATTAAAATGTAATCTCATGCATTCTTCCTTAGGGATTGTAAAAAAAAGAGACAAAGAAACCAGAGAACAAAGAAAACCTTTCAACATTGAGTATAGTGGATAAATCATTTCGTGTTTATGGAATTCAGGTAGGTTGTCGATGTAAGGAACACTTAAAAATTAAATGTGCGGTATGGAATCGTAAACCCTCTTGAGAATGAAATGAAATAAAATTAAGTTGAAAATATGTAGAACCATGTCTTCAATATTATATTATCTCTAAGTGATGTAAGCTAATATAAGCCATGTCTGTAAGTCCACTTAGCAAACATGAGACTTCGTAAATGTCAGGTCATAGTTTCTTAGACGCAGATGACTATGCTAAATGCAGGAGTAGCCCTACAGCCTGCTAGCTGGACAGTCACCAAACTTGGCTTAAATTCCTGTCCTGGGGAGACACCATCTCACCAGGGGTCATCCATTGTAGAGAGGATTTATTTATTGGGAAGTGTTCGTACAGTTTCACCAAAATCTGCTTTCCTGTGGCTTCTACGCTTGTGGCCCTAGTTGTACCTGCAGGATGCAGGTAGAACGTCTGTTCCAGGTCTCCCTGCAGACCGTCTGCTGTCTAAGGACGCTCTCCTAAGAGTGTTGCTGGTGCCTTGGGCCTGTCCTCACAGGGTAGGGTTTACCAACCTTTCAGGATCTCAGTGACTTTCTGATGGCCCCTGTCTCTCTCTCTCTCTTTTTCTTTTTTTTTTTTTTTTTTTTTTGAAATAGAGTTTTGCTCTTGTTGCCCAGGCTGGAGTGCAATGGCACAATCTGGGCTTACTGCAACCTCCGCCTCCCGGGTTCAAGCGATTCTCCTGCCTCAGCCTCCTGAGTAGCTGAGTATGCCACCATGCCTGGCTAATTTTTTTGTGTTTTTAGTAGAGAGGGGGTTTCGTCATATTGGTCAGGCTGGTCTCGAACTCCTGACCTCAGGTGATCCACCCACCTCAGCGTCCCAAAGTGCCGGGATTACAAGCGTGAGCCACCACACCTGGCACCCTGTCTCTCTTAAGGAGGAGGAACAACACCATCAGCAGCAGAATAGTGACATCTAGCATCTCATGGTGTGGTAAGGGCAAATTCTGTTCTGCATAGGTCATATCTGTTGTGTTCAGGCCATATAATGGTCTATGAGAATATTAGTCAGCCCTGGATGCTGCAACAAACACCATAGACTGACTGACTTCAACAGAAATTTCTTTTCTCACAGTTCCAGAGGCTGGGAGTCTGAGATTAAGGTGTTGGCAGGGCTGGCTCCTTCGGAGGCCTCTCTCCTTGGCTTGTAGATGGCCGCCTTCTTGCTGTATCCTCACGTCTTCCCTCTGTACATGTCTGTGTCCTAATTTCCTCTTGCTATAAGGACACCAGTTATATTGGGTTAGGGTCAACCCTGAATAACTAATTTTAGCTTAATCATCTCTTTAAAGAACCTGTCCACAAATATGGTTACATTCTGAGGTCCTGGGGTCTATTCTGAAGTCCACGTCAGCATGTGGATTTGGGGGAGACACAGTTCAGGCCCTAATAATGAGGTGGACTTTTGTTATCTTCATTTTATGTGTGCAGAGCACGACGGTGGGTCATGTCTCCATTTCCTAGAGGGTTTTCTTCTATTAAGGCAATTTAAATCTTTGCAAACTATTTCACACAGTTTTGATTAAGATAGTGGCCTGCTAAAACTTCCTCCTACAAATTGATGTCAATCTGCCCTTCCCACCTGTCAAACTGGGACAGTTGATTTTTCAAAAGCATCATGTAGAAAGGAAGGAAGGAAAGGAGGGAGGAAGAGGATCAAAATGAAGGGAAGGAAAAAAATGAGTGCAATTGATTTATTTACACTTTACCTTTTTTTTTTTTTTTTTTTTTTTTACTTTACCTCTTTCTTAAATTGCATTAAAATCTCAAATATATCTGATCCCTTCTTCCCAGCAAAGAGATTCAGGAACACTGAATTTCCTGAGCGGCAGGAGTGTCTTGTCTTTTTTTTCTCCAGAAAGAGTCTCGTTCTATTGCCCAGGCTGGAGTGCAGTGGCACAATCTCAGCTCACTGCAACCTCCACCTTCCAGGTTCAAGCGATTCTCCCACCTCAGCTTCCCAAGTAGCTGGGACTACAGGTGCATGCCACCACGCCTGGCGAATTTTTGTATTTTTAGTAGAGACAGGGTTTCACCATGTTGGCCAGACTGGTCTCGAACTCCTGACCTCGTGATCCGCCCACCTCAGCCTCCCAAAGTGCTGGGATTACAGGCATGAGCCACTGCGCCCAGCCTCAGGAATGTCTTGTCTTTGTTGTGTTGATGAGGTGATGCTTGGTGGCCCCTATGTAGCTTCAGGATGGAGCTGGTGGCCAGAAAAACCAAGCTCATGACTGGAGGGTTGAAACTTTCACCTTCAATCCATCTCCAGGGAGGGGAGGGGGCTAGACACCAAATTTAATCACATGGGCAGTGATTTAACCAAGCTTGCCTGTGTCATGGAGCATGGATAAAAACTGAACACCAGGCTCAGAGAGCTTCCTGATTGGTGAACTCATGGATATACCAGGAGGGCAAGGCACCCCAACTCTGTGGAGACAGAAGTTCCTGTGCTTGGGACCCTCCTTGACCCTGCCTACAACCTCTCCATCTTGCTTTTCATCTATATCCTTTATAATAAAATGGTAATGGAAAATAAGCACGTCTCACCATTCTGTGAGTCATTCTAGCAAATTCGCAAACCTAATAGTTGTTGTGGGAACTTATGAATTTGCAGTGAGCAAAGTAGAAGCGGGACTCCACTTGTGACTGGTATCTGAACTGGGGCAGTCTTCTTGGAGATTTTACCCTTTAACCTGTGAGGGCTGCACTAACTCCAGGTGTTTGGTGTCAGACTTGAATTGAATCATCGGACACTGGCTGGTGTGGGAGAATCGGTGTTGGAACACACAAGCAGCACATGCTGCTGAGCAAAAAGGCATAATGATTGCTCAGGGGATACAATGTCTGTCCTAACAGCTGTTAAGAAAGACCAGAGCTGGATGGTAGCTGAAGCGGCAAAAACAGATTTTATTCAGAAATGATTGCAATAGGGGAAAAGAAACCTCAGCATAGAACTGGGCTCAACTCTGAATACAGTAAGGACAAGTAGGAACCTATACCCAAAGAGCAGGTTGCAAGGGTCAGTGGATGGAAAATCACAAGAGGAAACATCAGGGTAGTGGGGATCTGGCTAAACTGACCTAGCAGGATTCTTGCAGAAGACAGCCAGGGTGGTGAGACATCACGTGGGGGATGGTGGAGGATAAGGAACCTGACCAGATTGCAAGGTTGGGAGGATTCTCTCTAAACTAGCTTATTAAAGATTCTTGCTAAAACCAGACCTGGCAGGGACAAAAGCCCAAGGACAAGGCCTAGTGGAGAAGTGGGCTCATAGGAGCCTAATGCCTGGTCAAGCAGGGTCTTTGTCACAGCAAAGGTTTCTTCTTGGGATTGACACAGTATTGGGAGCATTAAATGAGGTAGCACAGAGAATTACAAATATGTCTCTGTGTGTGTCTGCCAGTAGACACATCTCTATCACTCAGTAATCCAGACATTTCTGAAAACATGAAAAATTTGGGGACTGGAGTAAGCAAGCATATCTCCAGGCCCCTCCATAGGGAAGATTCTATGAGAGGGTTTATTTAAAGAAAGAAAGCATCCGATGTGACTGGAGATGCCAGAGTGGAAAGTGGGGCCTGGAACCCGAGGCCCAGGCTTCTTGACCCGCTTGCAGACATCTGGGATGCTCAGAGCTGGAAGGAGCTGAGGGGTTTGTTCCCCAAATAGATGGGGTTGGTAGCACTGATTAGAATAAACACTTACAAGAGCATCTTGATTAGATAAGCCCCCAGCTGGCTTTTGCCATAGTCATTCACCTTAGAAAACAAAACACTCACTAAAAATAGTTCTCTCCTAGAACTCAAGAGGCAAATAGCTTTTGGAGACAGGTTTTCTGGAGATTCAGTAAAATCACTGCTGGGCTCTATCCAATTTGATGAAAATTCACTGAGTTTCTCCTTGGGACTGGCACCTTGTGAAGCCATAGTAGAGTGGGAGGTGGGTCTGATTCCGACGGACACCTGACCTTCAAAGGGGCCCCCAGTTTATAAGGGAAGTGGGAAAGAAGCAGGGCATTGCTGCACCAAGCAGGCTTCAGCCCTTTTCTGTCCAGGCTAGTGGCCACAGCAGTGAGCACACCTCTCCCCACAGCCCTTCCAACATATAGACAAACTGACTCAGCCTGGGGCCAAAGGAGGAGAGGTGGCCAAGTGCAGACCTCCCGCCTGATGCTAGATTGTATCCCCTCCCACTCCGAGGCAGGAGCGTCCTTAACCTCACCTCTTTCAGATGTTTGACACACATATTTTCTCCACTTAGCTTAAACAGGGCACTTTGTCCTCCAGGCTCTGGACAGAGATGAATGGGGTGCCTTGCTTTTATCTCAACAGTGGGGCAGCACAGGGCGGTGAGCTATTAAAAGAGCAAAGCTCCAAGGCTCTCATGAAGAACTACTTCAGGAACCCTGGATGTGCTGTGCAAGTTGAGGTGTTCTCATGCTGCCACTGTGATAGGGAGATGCCCACTAGATGCCCTTGCAGGTGCTTGTTCTCCACGCCCACCTCCCACCCTCACCTGGTCAGCTGTCCCACGGGCCACTCGCCCCTACCTGCTTTTCTCCCACAGCACCCCACTGCGTGTCTCTACCGTACACCTCCTGCCCCGTGTCCAGTCTCCTGGGCGATGGAGATGGTGATGGGCATCTGTGTGCCAGGCCAGACACAGCAATGATGATGGGAGGCTCAGGTCAGAGTCACTCCTAGAAGGCCTAGGTGCATCAGGAGATTACACTGAGGCTGGCTTTCTCCAGTGGGCACCCTAGCCAAATCTGCCCCTGCCTCCTCCCATGGCCCTGGTCCCATCTGCAGAGCCTCTTCCTATGATGATTAGTCAAGCTGTACACCCTCAAGGCTAACCTGGCACCTGAAGCAGGGTTTTGCATTTTCTGAACCTACTTGAGACCTGGGCAGTGTGAGCCTGAGAGACTGCAGACCTGGGCACGCAGCTGTTCACCTGTAGGTCCTGGCAGAGTCTTTGCTACATTTCTCAACTTTGCTGGCTTGACTTCCTCCCAGGCTCTGACGCTGTGATTTAGGGTGTCATGAGCCCACATTCCTTTCTTCTGGAGTGAGGAAGCGCATCTCAGAGAGAGAGAATTCAGGGAGGCCAAGGCCTACAGTCCCACCACTGTCCCTCTATCTCTTAGGGGAGGGCATGCTGATAAGACTCCCTCCCATAACGTCCTCTCCTGTCCTTGGGAGGAGTGCTCCCAGAAACATGTGCTCTGGGTGGTCAGTGTCGTGCCTGCAGCTCCTGTCTGAGTCACCCCTGACCTAGGCCGCCCTTCTGGCTTTGCTGGGGGAAGACACAGAGCAGGTGTTCAGGGAGACCGTTCAGACCTGGTATGAGGCCAAGGCTGCTGGCTGGAGGCTTATTGACCAAACCCAGCCCATGGAAGTAGCATCTAAATTTTGTGGGGTTTTTTGAGCAAGTATTAAACAATTGTGACTTTTTACATGAAAACCTAGATTCTGATTGCTTCTGAAAAATCCTGTTGAATTCTTAATGGCAGCAAGGCTCATTGACCCAGTGCAGCCCACAGTGACCCCCTGACCTGCTCCTCTCATTGTGGTCCAAGCCTGGCCCTGGGGGCCTTGCATGTGCAACCCCTGGGGAAAGGACGTTGTGTAGCTAACTTCCTGGGCTTGTGTGCGTATTTTCCAGTGTTGTCATTAGGATGGAACATATTTCATTTAACACTATGTGAGCTTGAATGATTTATTTAAACATTTAAACCCTCAGACCAAGGGTGTGAGGCCTCCCACTGCTCCCTTGCCTGGGGGCTACAGTAACCAAGTGGGCCTGCTGCTGAGAGCCTGTGCTCAGGCCTGCCCTCAAACCCCTCTGGTGGCCACAGCTTGGCCAGATACCAATATTTCTGGAGATTTAGCCTTACACCAGCAAATGCCAGAGTCAGCCTCAATGGCCCACATGGGGGTGGGGCGGGAGACAATAATGTGTCATTCATTCAGTCAAATCTCTCTTCATTCCTTTTCTACATCACCCACATATAAGCAATGTCTTCATGGAGCTCAGTTTCCTGGGGAAAGATGTAAATTGATACTTGCTCCAGTGTGTAGGGCACAGCCACTGTTCCCTGAGGGGTGCCAAGCAGCCTGACTGGCTGGCCCCGGAAGTGGACAAGCACCTAGGAAATGTACACACTCTTTGATCTTTAACAATACTTATTTTGAAACTGGCTCAATTGTCCCAGAGAACTAATATTGACCCTCCCTGGTCTTAAAACTTGAAACTTACATTTGTCTCATCTGAGTTCCTTCCTCAGGAAACTGATCCTCAGGCAAGGGACTGGAACTCACCAGATCACTGCATCCAGGCCCCTCATTCATCATGATTGCTTCCTTACTCTTTCCTATTCCTGTTTTCCTACCTTACCAACTAAATAAACCCCCAAATTTTAGTCAGTCTGAGAGACTAATTTGAGACTTTACCTTCCATTCTCCCTGGCTGCATTACCCAATTAAAGCCTTCCTCCCTGGCAATACTTGTTGCTTCAGTGATTGGCTTTCTGTGCAGCAAGCAATAAGACCTAGATCAAACCCCTGCATTTTGGTAACACTTTCATTAAATGCCAAATTGGAATGACCAAGATGTGGAACACTGACAACACCAAATGCTGGTGAGGTTGTGGATGAACAGGAATTCTCATCATTGCTGGTGGGAATGTGGGAATGCAAAATGGTACAGCCACCTTGGAGGACAGTTTGGTGGTTTCTTAAAAATGTAAACACATTCTTGCCACACAATCCAGCAATTGTGTTCCTCAGTATTTATCCAAATGGGTTGAAAACTTATGTCCACACAATAACCTGCACAGGGATATTTATAGCAGCTTTATTGATAATTGTGAAAACTTAGAAACAACCAAGATGTCCTTCAGTAGGTGATTCAATAAATAAATGACAGTACATCCAGACCATGCAATACTATTCAGCACTAAAAGAAATGATCTATCAAGCCGTGAAAAGACATGGAGGAACCTTAAATGCATGTTACTAAGTGAAGGAAGTCAATCTGAAAAGGCTGTACATTGGATGATTCCGACTATATAACATTCTGGAAAAGGCAAAATTGTGGAGAGCATAGAAAGATCAGTGGTTACCAAGGGCTAGGGGAAGATAGGGATGAAGAGGTAGAGCAATAGGATTTTTAAGTCAGTGAAGCTACTCAGCATGATGCCATAATGGTGGTTGTATGTCATTATACATTTGTTCAAACCCACAGTATGTACAACATAAAGAATAAACTGTAATTTAAACAAATAATGGACTCCGGGTGATGATGTATTGATGTGGGTTCATTGACTGTAACAAATGTACCATTCTGGTGGGGGATGTTGATAATGGGGGAGGCTGTGCATGTGTTGGGGAAGGGGGCATACAGGAAATCTCTGTATCTTTCTCTCAATTTTGCTATGAATCTTAAACTGCTCTAAAAAAATAAGTCTTAAAAAAATTGAACGTTAGGAAGTAGGCTCAATTCTACCACAAACACTTTCTTAAAATTTCATACAACTTAAAGAAATCCATAGGGTCACTATGGGTACAATCCTTTAAGAATTAGTTCTAAAGCAGTAAGATCACATAAATGGAATTTGAAGATTTAAAAGAATGAATATCTGGGCATTATGCTAGCTTACTGCTAATATTAAAAAACAGTGAATTTAAAAAATACTTCTTTAAGATTGATAATATGTATTTGCAACTAAAAGAACTAGGGGGAAAAAAGAGTGAGAATGCTAATAATGATGTTATGGACAATACCCTGAGCCCTGGTTGCAATAGCAGTACAGGAGCTGTAGTAACATCAACATGAGCTGAGTGTCTGTGAGGCAAGGCCTCAGGTTCTGGCTTTTGGCTTCTTCTGACATTTATTCCTTGCAGAGATTAATCTAGTTCCCACTCTCCAAAGAGTGGACAGAAGCCCAGGGAGCCAGGCATCCAGGGGTCGACTCCTATTAATGAGGGGACAGGCAGCCACAAAAGCTTCCCCAGGGGCTAGCTGCTTGCTGAGCTTGCTGAAGGGGCTAGGCCTGGAGCTCCACACCCTCTGTGAACCCCTGGATGAGCACAGGGGCCTGGCCCCTCTTGAAAAAGGGCTGGGTAAGGCCCAGTACCACAGAAAGAAAGATGAGCCACAGATGTGCAGAAGAGCAGGTGTGGGGATGATGACCAGGGCTGAGTCGGTGTTGGGTGGCAGAGCGGGGGCTTGGCCACCATAGTGGACACAATGGCAGGGCCAGATAAAGGAAGTTTTACAAACTGCAGAAATCAACAAATGTTGGCAATCTGGACCCAAGTCAAGTAGGCTCCAGGCCACAGCATCTGCAGGAGGGGATCCCTGGCTAGGGAGAAGGCAGCTTGAGTCACTTTCCTTGGTATAGGTGGGTGCTTTTGAGGATCATGTGACACAAGTGTGTGTGATTGTGAGGCAGTGGGAGATGGGCCTTGGATGGGGAGGCTGAGCCCTCGACCAGGAAGGGGCTTGAACAGGAAGGGGTGTGGACAAGAAGGGAAACTGGACAGGAAGAGGAACTGGAGAGGTAGGGGAACTGGACAGGAAGAGGAATTGGAGAGGAAGAGGAACTGGAAAAGAACAGGAACTGGACAGGAAAGGGAACTAGACAAGAAGAGGAACTAGAGAGGAAGAGGAAATGGACAGGAAGGGGAACTAGACAGGAAAGGGAAATGGACAGGAAGAGGAACTGGAGAGGAAGGGACACTGGACAGGAAAGGGAACTAGACAAGAAGGGGAACCGGACAGGAAGAGGAACTGGACAGGAAGGGGAGCTGGACAGGAAAGGGAACTAGACAAGATGGGGAACTGGACAGGAAGAGGAACTGGAGAGGAAGAGGAATTGGACAGGAAGGGAAACTGAAACTGGGCAGGAAGGGGAACTGGACAGGAAGAGGAACTGGGCAGGAAGAGGAACTGGACAGGAAGGGCCCTGGACCTGGAAGGGAATGTGCTCTCACAGAGCCCATGCCTCCATGTGGTTGGGGCAGTGCCAGGCAGTGTCTGGGACAGAAAGTCACAGCAGCCTGTATGCTGTCACTTGTGCCAGGCACTGTGCTGCCTTTAGTCTGTGTTTTACCTCACTCCATCCTCCTGACTCCACCTCCAGGAGACAGGACATCCGGGCCTCCTCAACCTGCCACTCCACATAGAAAAGAGTTGGGGGGCCCAGAACCCAAGCCCAGACTCTGGGATTTTACCTGGCCCTGCCATTGTGTCCACTATGGTGGCCAAGCCCCCGCTGTGCCACCCAACATCCACTCAGCCCCACAGTCATCATCTCCACACCTGCTCTTCCTCCCCACTGCACTTTTTAAGTTAAGAAAACGTTTTTTGTTGTTGTTATCATTGAATATTGTGTCTGTTCAGCTTTTCCTTTCTTTTCTCTAGAAACAAAGACAGCCAATATGAGATCTCAGCAGTTCTGTTTTCTTTTCTTTCACCTTCTTTCTCGTCCATTTTGTACTTTTGACATTTTCTTCACCATCTCAAAAAGCCTCCCAGACTTTATTTACATATCACTAATTTTCTTCTCTGAAGAGTGCCTTCTGTGTCTCACTCCATCAATGAGCTTTTAGTGCTGCTCGGTATTATTTATTTCCTCATGCTCCTTCTGTTACATTTTGTCCTCTTTGTTATCTCAAGGTATTTGCTTTGACCCCCTTTTGATCTTTTTTGGTGCCCTTAATTTCCTTAAGAACGCTTAGCATACACTGCTGTGCCCTTCTCACAAGGATGCTGCACATTTGAGTCTCTTACAAGCTGGACTGACCTCCTCCCTCCAAATAGAGACCAACTGTGGACCTCTGCAGTCCCTTCTCTACACACCTCCTTGGATACACCAACTCCTGGGAAGGGATGTGTCCAGCCCCTGGTCTGGCCCCATTTTTAGTGCATCTAGCAGGAATTCCATGGAACATGTGGCATCTGGGCACTTTTCTCTACTTTTGGGGCTGTGAAGTTTCCCCCTGTTTTGTTTTCCCTTGGTTTTTTGTCTGTTTCCAGGGATAGGGATTCAGAAGCTGGTTCTGAAGTACCCTCTCCTTGGCCACAGTTGTTACTGTGTTCCTTTAAGTCCAGTTGTCCCTGGCCCCTGGTTCTTTTTTTTACAACAGACAGGTTGGTAAGAAAGAGTTGGGTTGACAGAAGGTCATGCTCTGGATTGTCACCAGCAGCCACCTGAGCACTGGGAATCCTGGCCCCAGACATGGGCCTTGTTCATGTAATCACCTGGCAGCTTCTTCCTGCCCACTACAGAGATAAAACCGATTCACTGAGACCGTGATATTGCAGTAAAGAAGGAGTTTAGTTATCCTGAGGCTGGCCATGTGGAAGATGGAGTTATTACTCAAATCAATCTCCCTGAAGACTTGGAGGTTACAATTTCTCAAGGATAGTTTAGTGGGCAGGGGTCTAGGGAATGGGTGCTGCTGATTGGTTTGGGATGCAATCATAGTGGTGTGGAAAATGGTCTTCATGTTCTGAGCCTGCCTCTGGGTTGGGGGCTACAGGATGAGCTGAGTCATGAGTCATGAGTCCAGATGGGGTCAGTCTGAAAAACATCTCGAAAGACCAATCCTAGGTTTTACAATGGTGATGTTATCTATAGGAGCAATCAGGGAAATCACATATCTTGTAACCTTTGGCCATGTGACTTCTGAGCAGCAAGAAATTATAGAAACTATGCCTACATTTTAGCAGAGTTCAGGCCCCTCCCATAATCCTGATCTTGTGGCCTTTCACTAGTCTTACAAAAGTGGTTGTGGCCCCCACACAAGGAGGGGAGATCAGTTTTAAGGAGGAGCTATTTTTGCTTTTTGAGATGGAGTCTCGCTCTGTCACCCAGGCTGGAGTGCAATAGTGCAATCTTGACTCACTGCAACCTCCGCCTCCCAGGTTCAAGCGATTCTCCTGCCTCAGCCTCCTGAGTAGCTGGGATTACAGGTGCCTGCCACCAGGCCTGGCTAATTTTTGTATGTTTAGTAGAGACGGGGTTTCACCATGGTAGTCAGGCAAAGTTAAACTGTAAAGTGAATTCCTCCTCCGGTTAGCTTGGCCTATGCCTAGGAGTGAGCGGGGACAGCCAGCCTGTGAGGCTACAAACAAGGTGGAGTCAGCCACGCTAGATTTCTCTCACTGCCATAATCTTTGCAAAAGTGATTTCACTCAGAGTTCATGAGGCTTGGAAGTCTGTGATTCAATAAATCTCAGAACTTGGGATTTTGCTTTAAATACTCCATAAATGACTGAGATTTCCAAATCTGCAAAATTAGCATTAAACTCTTCAGAGACCAAAGTTTCCTTGTAAAATCAGCAATTCTTTTGGCTTCCTTAGAAAAGAATGCCAAAATATCTCCCTTGGTCATATTTTGTTGCATTTCCCCTTTTCAGCACAGCTAAGCACAGAGAGGCTCATACCAGTGAAAAAGTACAAGGTAAAATCTGTCTAGGCAGGTCTGTGTTGGTGGGGCCCAGCGGCGATCCAATTCATCAAATCCCTCCACATTTCGGAGTCAGCATGGCCTGAGCCACATGTTCCATCACTCCAGGGACATGACTAAGCTCCTCATTCCACTGGGTCATCTTCCTTTATTTCTGTACTAGAGTGAGGATTGGGAAGACACAAGTACTGAGCACAGGTCCAGCTTCTGGAATCTGCATATGCTATTTAAGTAAATTATTGTTGTTAACACTGGGGGTAACACTGTTATTCTCAATTCACTGATGACCATGCAACCCTCCACTCTTGTGTGCTTACTGCACACCATGACCCACCCAGCACCCCTTCATGATTTGGGGGAAATACAATTAAGAACAAAATCTCCCAAACCATAAAACCTCTCTGTGAGACAGCCAAGTATAAAGGGGTCACCAGAGAACCTCCAACCAGCCTGCACACTGGGAGGAGTGCACATTGGGGTGGAGGCTCAGGAAGTTTGTGCCATTTGCAGGGGAGAGGAGCCTGGCCTCTCCTGCTCCAGGGTGGACTCCTGCTTTGCTGAGAGTTCCTGTTTCCCTTTTTTTTTTTTCCTTTTTGCCCAATAAATTCCATTTTTCTCACCCGTCAAAGTGTCTGCGAGCCTAATCTTTCATGACTGTGTGACAAGAACCTGGCTTTTAGCTGAACTAAGGAGAAAGTCCTACAACATCCATATAGATAGTAAAGAAAACTGTTTTATTACGGAATAAGCATTGTACCACAATGTGGTGTACATAATATGCAACCTAGCAAAAGATTGGGAAGACAGAGAGAATGCTTGTCCCCTTGTATAGACAGGCAGAGACAACCCACTCTATCTATGTTCTACAGATAAATTGTAAATTGTCCTCCAGTAAGGGGACTTGACAGCACCACTTGTCACACGTAGTTCATACTAAATTTACCTGGTAATTGCAAGGGTAATCTGAGTTAGCAGTTGCTTTTCTAAAAACACAAAACAAAAAAACTCCTATCTTCATGACAGGAGGTATGTTTGCAACTTGGAGCCAGTGCCCACCAATGTTAGCCTCTTACTCTCCCACGGAAACTGGGAGATGAGATGCTATCTCCCTTGGATGCTGACTTTACAAAGAGATGGCTCCCAGGTCTTTGAGAAGGACATCCCTGGGCTGCATTAACAGAAAAACCAAACTGTAAAATATTTTAAAGAGGTTTATTCTGAGTCAGTATGAGTGCTCATGACTTGGACAACACTGTCTCAAGAGGTCCTGAGTAAGTGTGCCTGAGGCAGTTAGTTTACAGCCTGGTTTCATACATTTTAGAGTGACAGGAGTTACAGGCAAAGGCATCAATCAATACATGGAAGGTGTACATTGTTGTTCAACCCGCTAAGGTGGGACAACTCAAAGTGGGGGCTTACAAGACATAGATGGGTTTTAGGAATTCTTTAGTTGACGGTTGAGAGAGTTGAGCTTTGTCTAAAGACTTGAAGTCAATAGAAAGACAGCTTGAGTTAAGATGTGGAAGTTGTGGGGGCCAAGGCCCTTGTTATGTAGATGAAGACTTATAGGCAGCAGGCTTCAAAGAAAATAGATGGTCAATGCCTCTTTTCAGACCTTAAATGTGTCAGACTCTCAGTTAATATAAGATCTGGCTGCATTTATGGAGATTCTCTACAGATGCAAATTTCTCCCACAAAAGACAGTTTTGCAGAGTTGTTTCAAAATATGTCAAAGAAATAAATCTGGGGGTAAAATATTTTTATTTCCCTCAGGGTCTGCTGTCATGTGATGTTATACCAGAATCAGCTTGGAGAGAAAGCAACATTGCACTGGGTTAATTTTTTTTTTTTTTTTTTGAGACATAGTCTTGCTCTGTCACCCAGGCTGGAGTGCAGTGGTGTGATCTTGGTTCACTGCAAGCTCCACCTCCCGGGTTCACATCATTCTCCTGCCTCAGCCTCCTGAGTAGCTGGGACTACAGGCGCCCGCCACCACGCCTGGATAATTTTTGTATTTTTAGTAGAGACAGGGTTTCACCATGTTAGCCAGGATGGTCTCGATCTCCTGACCTCATGATCCGCCCGCCTTGCACTCCCAAAGTGCTGGGATTACAGGAGTGAGCCACCGTGCCCAGCCTGTACTGGGTTAATTTTTAAAACTCATTTAAAAATATTTTACAGTTTATACAGTGTGACTTAACTGTTGCCTTGTGTGGCCTTAGGTCTTAATTATAATTTGTTATTACCACAAAGAGTGTGTTTTGTCAGTCTTACGATCTCTATTTTAACCTTAATGCTAATCAGTTGTGCCTAAACTCCAAAAGGAAGGGAGGAATAATGAGGTGTTACCAATCTCCCTTCCCATCATGGTCTGGAATTTAGTTTTTCAGATTACCCTGGGGTCCCCTTGGCCAAAAGGGGGCCTATTCAGTCGGTTGAGGGCTTAGGATTTATTTTTGGCTCACAGTTGTAAAGCCAGCAAGAGGCTTTTTAGCTTTTAAACAGATTTATCTACATTCACAGTGGCAGAGAAATAATTTATTAAAAGTTTTCCAAAGTAGATACTGTAATGAAAGGGAAGGAGGTGGTATCTCTTCCCTCACTTTTACAGGAGACTATGAATCTTATTTTAAATTTGTATTTGCCCTTACATGGCCCACCAGACTATAAGGCCTTCAGAGTCAGAGTCAGGATGCTGTACCCACAGCATCCAGCCCTGTCCCCAGGGCTTTCTGGGCCCTCAATAAGGCTGTTGGCAGGCTGCTCACTCTGCTGACTTCTGCCCTTTGCTTCTGAAATGACACATGTGAATGGACAATGGACGTAGCAGTTGAGATGTGTCCTGGTGATATGGTTTCGATGTTGTTTTCCTCCAAATCTCATGTTGAAATGTGATTTCCAATGTTAGAGGTGGGACCTGGTGGGAGGTATTGGATCATGGGGGTGGATTTCTCATGAATGGTTTAGCACCCTCCCCTTGATGACGAGTGAGTTCTTCCTCAGTTAGTTCACATGAGATCTGGTTGTTTAAAAGTGTGTGGCACCTCTCCCCTCACTCTCTTGCTCCCTCTCTTGTCACGTGATGTGCCTGCTCCCCCTGAGCCTTCTGCCATGATTGTAAGCTCCCTGAGCCCTCACCAGAAGCCAAGCAGATATTGGTGCCATGCTTGTACAGCCTGCAGAACAGTGAGTCAAATAAACCTCTTTTCTTTATAAATTACCCAGTCTTAGGTATTCCTTTATAGCAATGCAAAAATAGGCTAACACAACAGGTTTTAATACAAGTGTCAAAGATTTTTCATTCTTTTTAGTTCTTTAAAAAATTTCAACTACCTATCCTCAAAGATGCTTTAATTGTATGTTAGGAAATCTTAAAAGAGTGGACCAGCTTACAGATGATTGTTTACTGTTTATACCTTTCTTTTACAGATAAAGAAGGAAAAAATTGAATGAAAAGATACATGGGAAAGGATAATTTCATTTATTCATACCCTTAGTTTCTTCTCATAAAAATGTCAGTGAATGCTTCAGGTGTCATGTTTGTGGTAGTGATAATCAGAGTTATTTTTAGCATCTGTATGTCAGATGCTCTATATTCATTATGAGAAAAGAAAAGAAATTTTATCCGAGAAATGCGAATCCTTTTAAATTATCAGGCCCAGAGAAACATTAAAATGAGACAGCAATCATGTCCTACTTCCCCTTGAGCTATGTTTTCATCTCTTAGAACTGCTTGCTACTGCCACAAGTAGCTACAAATTAATCTAACAATGTCATGCTGGACACTGTAACTCACACTTTTTAGAATAGCAATGTGTAGCCAACCACTAATCAATGTTATTTCTATAAACCAATGAGAATTCTTGGCAAACAACTTTGTATCAGTCCACTCCCTGACCCCCTTTTTTGCCTTTACAAATCCACTTGTAAGTACTGCTAATTGGAGTGTATGTCCAGGGCAACTTGAGTCTATGCTCTTGGGTTGCAGTCCTTAAGCTTGGCCCCAGTAAACTCTGTACTTATATTGTTTGCCTCAGTTTCTTCCTTTAGGTTAACATATCGTTAGTGTTCATTTCCTCCACAATTCTAAGAAAGCAGGGATTATTTTATTCCTGACATGGCTGAAGAAACTCAACTTCTGAAAACTCCCTGGGTAGATAATCTGAACAAACCTGCCTGACCCTTGTAGGGAACAAGGGAAAAACTTCTCCTTTACCCTCTGAAGGCTCACTGAAAACTCACAAAAGGCAGAGTAATTGGAGAAAAGGAATATAGATTTTATTAATGTGAGCACAGGGAGAACCACAGAGTGACTGCTCAACTCACCAATGGGGTGCAGAAGCTTACATATCATCTTGAGGTTACAGAAAGAATGGGAGTCCAGAGCACAGGCAAAAACAGGTTATAGTGGTAAATCAGGTTATAATGGCAAAACAGGTAATGGGAGGGAGAGAAGAGGAGGCCTGGCCGCCAAAGGTGGTCTTGTTATGTAGATGAAACCTCACTGGTTGCAGCCTTCGAAGAATAGATGGTACGTTTCTTTCAGATCTGTAAGGGGTCAAACTCTTAGTTAGTCTTTCCTAGATCTGGACAAGGGAAGACCTAGCTGCTTCCTGCAGATGCTCTACAGATATAAATTTCCCCTTCAAAAGACAGCTTTGCAGGGCTACTTCTGTTTGCTGGCTCTGTGACAGCCATCTCAAAATATGTCAAATAAATATATTTTGGGGTAAATATTTTTATATCATTCACCCTCAACTCCAGGCTTCATTGCTATAGGAAAATGTTTGAGCAATGCTCCCACCCCAGCCTCTTGAGTAGCTGGAATTACAGGCTCGAGCCACTATACCTGTGACTTCAGTGGCTTTTTTTAATGACATATAATTTAACATCCTTATGTTAAAAATTGTTTAACTTTTACTGTGTGATCCCTCCCATTGCTTCAAGGCTGAAGAACTTTAGTCTTCCATGAGACTATAATTTTATGTTTTCTGCTAGTTTTTAAAGCCTTATTTTTTTCCCAGGGAATTCTTTTATTTAGCTGACTTTAATTTTAGTGTATGATAGAAGGTACAGAGCCCATTATGCTCCCTCCCAAGATTGAGATCCAATACATATTCATTAAATAATCCTTTCCCTCTCCCTTTTTGAGAAAGTTACCCTAAGTTTCAGACACTGCTGTGTTTTCATTCTTCACCTTTAGTCTAAGTGTCCATACTTTTGCTTATATATTTTAATTCAACAGCACTATCTATAGCACTTGAATTTTTTGATTACTTCTATTTGGTTCCAGAATCTCTGATAATCTTGTGCATATGCTTTGTCTTTTTCTTAGGTTATTTTCTCAAATGTTCATTCACTTTGGAATACTTCTAATACTTTCAAAGATTTGGATTTGCATTAAGCCCACATGGAAAAGCAATTGCATTTAGCAATGTTCCACCTTCTTGTCCCTGAACGTGTCTCCCATCTCTCTCTTCTTGGTTTTCTTTCCCTCCTGACATTTCCCAGAAGGTCCCTGGTTGCTCCCACAGCTCTCATTAATCTCATTCTCATTCACGTTGTGTATTTGTTGTTTCTATTCTCAAGTGAATAGCTTTTCTCATCATTCTCTGACAGGTGTTCCTGGGAAAGTGAGGGCTTTTTATTTGACATATTTGCCATGAAGCTAGTCTTTCTCTAAACTCTCTCACAGTCTAATTGTTTTTCTAGAAACTATGGGAAACACCTGCCCATCACCAACTGTACAAAGGGTTCTGTGACTACACGCTGCCAGGTGCCCTTCTGGGGCTCCCAGAAGCAGAGATGCCCAGAGGAAGCCTGCTGGCCCCGTTCTCTGCGGGAAGGGCCCCGGTCATGCTGCCCACAGGAGCTTGGCTGATGCCTGGGGATGTGGAGTTGGGTAAGAGAGACATTTAGTGGAGCTTTGCAACCACAGTGTCCTTTCCTCCCCTTTCAACATGTTCAGGGAAGACCCCTGTCTAGTCAGCTGTCAGGAGCCATTCCATCATGGCTCACTTAGAAGTCAGGGATCTGAAAGTCTGTCTCATGGTTAAAATTCACGTTTGTCTTAAAATAGTGAGTAGAAGCAAAAAAAAGCTATGACCCACTTCAGCTCCACTGACTCCTAAATTAGGGTAACCTGGCATCTTGTATATACAGGGCATGTCCTGTATTTAATGCTTTGGCCCTGCATCCTGTATTGCTTTGTCAGGATGCCCTAAATGTCCTATATTCAGCTTTCTTTTTTTCCAATAAATTACAAAAATTTGGCAGTTAGAGCTAATTTGCCACCGCAGTAATTGAGGTCTGAATCACTAAATGGCACCACTCACAGAAAGCCGGACCTTCACAACCAAGGTCTGAGTGAGCCTTACAGCCTTGCCTGAGGGTGTGGCTGATGGTGGCTGGTGGGGGAGTGGAGGGAGGTGAGGGAGGGCTAAGAATTAAAAGTATTTATTTTTCATATTCCAGAAAGGAAAAGACTGTTGTTTGGCCAAAGCCCCAAGTCATGAACAAGTCACCATCACTAATCAGCGCTAACTTCAGGTCCGTCCTTGTGCTCTAAAGACCAGCTTCCTAACTGAAACCAGGCTTCTGAAAGGAAGCACAGTGGTGATATCCCAAGCTTCCAACAAACTCCAGTCCTGAAAACTGCTATTTTTTTCTGTCCACCCAGCCCAAGCCCCACGGTCCCCAAAACCCTAGATGAGGTCAGCTTGGCTTCAACCTGGGCGCCCAAGCCCTAAAAAGTGCCCATATTTTTGTATCCAATATCAAGTTCAACTTTTTTTAGTTCATGAGTTCATAATCATTTAATTTCATCTGTTCAAACTCCTGTCTATGATTAGTTATGAGTTCAGACTTGTGAGTAATGGATGTGCCTAAGCAGCTGTGAGGTTATGAAGCTCAATCTTTTTTATTCTATGTTTTATTTATGTATTGAAGTCCCAAAATGCCAAAACACAAGTGTAAATTTTGTGGTAACTTATTTGAACAGTGAACATTTACTAAACAGAAAAAAAAATACTTTGAATCTGTTGGGGCTCAGAAAATGATACCCCCAAATATGGCACTTTAAGATGCTGAACTGAAGAAGCCTCAAGTTCTCGCTGACCTCCCTCCCTGCCCCTACCACCTCTCCCAAAGAAGCTGAAGTTCCTTTATCTGCCTAAAGTCCACAGCCACCATGGAAAACAAATGATTTTTCTTCCCCTCCCTGTTGTCATGTTATTGCAGAAAAGAAGACCAAGATGTGACCATACCTGAAGAGACCTTTTTCAAGATAATGACTGTCCCCAAGGATCATTTAAATACCAAAGAGAACCATTTACAAGTTAATTTCTGTTTCCCATCCAGTCATTCTCCTTAATAATCATTTATTGCAACTCAATAGAATTCCTCTTCTCCCACTCCCATAACCTGTTTTGCCAGGATCCAAGCCTCTACTCTTTCTATAACCTCAAAATTGTATATAAGCTTCTGTACTTCATTGAGATGCTGGGTCTTAATTCTGAAGACACCTGTGTATAGACATTAAATTGTATGCCTTTTGTAAATCAAAAATAAAATTCTAAGCCCCCCAACCAACTGAGCTCTTGGCTCTCGGCTCTCAGCCAAGAGCATTCCAAAGTAAACCCAGAAAACTAGTTCAGGACATGGTGAGAAAGGGGTGTCAAATGTGCCTCATTATACCCTCCTCCCTCTGGAATTCAGGAAGAACTGACCAGCATTAACATTAAAACCAAGATCTTAAGAATGACAGAACAGAAGTGAGGGAGGGGGCAAGATGGCTGGCTAGGAACAGCTGCGGTTGGAGGCTCCCACCAAGAAGAATGAAAACGGCAAGTGAATCCTCACTGGCAACTAAGGTATCCAGGTTCACTCACTGGGACTCACTAGGCAGCTGGCACAACCTACAGAGAGCAAGGAAAAGCAGGGTGGAGCAACAACCCACCCGGGAGCCGCACGGGGCAAAGGGAGGCAGTGAGTGATTGTGCTACCCCACCTGGGAAACCACACTTTTTCCATGGATCTGTGCAACCCGCTAATCAGGAGATCCCTTCATGAGCCCACACCACCAGGGCCTTGGGTCCCAAGCCCAGAGCTGTGGAGATTCTCGGTGGCCACTTGGCTGGAGGCTGCCTAAGACTACCAAGTTCCCGTGGGGAGGGGCGGCTGCCATCACTGCGGCTCCAGTCTGCTGTTTTCCGCCGCTGGTGCTGGGGAGACTGGGCAGTTTGGACCCAGGAGGAATTCCCCACGGCACAGCACAGTGGCTGTGGCAGATCCTGGCCAGACTGCCTCTTTAGGCCAGACCTAGGCCCATCCCCACTCACCGGGCAGGGTCTCCCTATGGGGATTTCAGGAACTCCAGCCAGGAGTTTACAGACAGAAATCTGATCTCCCTGAAATGAAGTCCCTGCCAGGAGGGGCGGCCGTGGTCTCCACAGATCGGTGGACTTAGTATTTTCCCCTGCTAGCTCTGAGGAATCTGGGCAGTTCCAACGAGTGGGATTCCCCCAGCACAGCGCACCCCCTCCACAAAGGGGCAGCCAGAGTGCTTCATCAAGTAGGTCCCTGATCCTGTGCTTCCTGACTGGGTGAGACCCCCAACAGGGGTCACCAGACACCTTTTACAGGAGCATTCTCACTGGCATCAAGTCAGGGCCCTTCTGGAACAGAGCTCCCAGAGGAAGGAGCAGGCAGCCATCTTTACTGTTCTGCAGCCTCCACTGGTGACACCTCTGGGTTCAGGAGGGACTCAGGCAAATAAGGTCTGGAGTGACCCCCAGAAAACTGCAGCAGCCCTATGGAAGAGGGGCCTGACTGTTAAAAGAAAAACAAACAGAAACAACAGCACTATCAACAAAAAAGTCCCCACAAAAACCCCCCAAAAATCGGCAGCCTCAAAGATCGAAGGTGGATAAACTTGTGAAGATGAGAAAGAATCCATGAAAAAAATCTGAAAACTCAAAAAGCCAGAGTGCCCCTTCTCCTCCAAATGATCACAACAACTCTGCAGCAAAGACACAGAACTGGGCTGAGACTGAGATGGATGAGCTGACAGAAGAAGGCTTTAGAAGGTGAATAATAACAGACTTCGCTGAGCTAAAGGAGCATGTTCTAACCCAATGCAAAGTAGCTAAGAACCATGATAAAACATCACAGTAGCTGTTAACCAGAATAACTAGTTTAGAGAGGAACATAAATGACCTTATGGAGCTGAAAAACACAACACGAGAACTTCACAATGCAACCACTAGTATCAATAGCCAAATAGACCAAGCAGAGAAAATAATTTTAGAGCTTAAAGACTATCTTGCTGAAATAAGACACGCAGACAAGATTAGAGAAAAAAAGAATGAAAGGGAATGAACAAAACCTCCAAGAACTATGGGACTATGTAAAAAAAACTGAACCTATGACTGATTGGGGTTTCTGAAAGGGGTGGGGAGACTGGAACCAAGTTAGAAAACACACTTCAGGACATCATCCAAAAGAACTTCCCCAACCTAGCAAGACAGACCAACATTCAAATTCTGGAAATCCAGAGAACAGAGAACCCCAGTAATATACTCCATGAGAATACCAATCCCAAGACACATAATCATCAGATTCTCCGAGGCGGAAATGGAAGAAAAAGTGTTAAGGGCAGCCAGAGAGAAAGGCCTGATCACCTACAAAGGGGAGCCCATCAGACTAACAGCGGATCTCTCAGCAGAAACCCTATAAGCCAGAAGAGATTATGGGCCAATATTCAACATTCATAAAGAAAAGAACTTCCAACTTAGAATTTCATATCTGGCCAAACTAAGCTTTATAGGTGAAGGAGAAATAAAATCCTTTTCAGACAAGCAAATGTTGAGGGAATTCATAACCACCAGGACTGCCTTACAAGAGTTCCTGAAGGAAGCACTAAATATGTAAAGGAAGAACAATTACTACCAGCCATTACAAAAACACACTGAAGTACAGAGACCAATGACACTAGAAACAACTACATCAACAAGTCTGCAAAATAACGAGCTAGCATCATGATGACAGGATCAAATTCACACATGATAATATTAACCTTAAATGTAAATGGGCTAAATGCCTAATTAAAAGACATAAAATGGCAAGCTGGATAGGGTCAAGGCCCATCAGTGTGTTGAATTCAAGAGACCCATCTCATGTGCAAAGACACACATAGGCTCAAAGTAAAGGAATGGAGGCAAGTCTACCAAGCAAATGGAAAGCAGAAAAAAGCGGGGGTTGCAATCCTAGTTTCTGACAAAACAGACTTTAAACCAACAAAGATCAAAAATGACAAAGAAGGGCATAATGGTAAAGGGTTCAATTCAACAAGAAGAGCTAACTATCCTAAATATATATGCACCCAATACAGGAGCACCCAGATGCATAAAGCAAGTTCTTAGAGACCTACAAAGAGACTTAGACTCCCACACAATAATAGCAGGAGACTTTAACATTACACAGTCAATATTAGACAGATCATTAAGACAGAATATTAACAAAGATACTCAGGACTTGAACTCGGCTCTGGATCAAGTGGATCTGATAGATATCTACAGAACTCTCTACCTAAAAACAACAGAATATACATCCTTCTTGGCACCACATGACACTTACTCTAAAATAGATCACATAATTGGAAGTAAAACATGCCTCAGCAAATACAAAAGAACTGAAATCATAACAGTTTTTCAGACCACGGTACAATCAAGTTAGAACTCAAGATTAAGAAACTCACTCAAAACTACACAACTATATGGAAATTGATCAACCTGCTCTTGAATGACTCCTGGGTAAATAAAAAAATTAAGGCAGAAATCGAGAAGTTCTTTGAAACCAATGAGAACAAAGAGACAATGTACCAGAATCTCTGGGGCGCAACTAAAGTAGCATTGAGAGGGAAATTTATAGCACTAAATGCCCACATCAAAGAGCTAGAAAGAACTCAAATTGACATCCTAACATCACAACTAAAAGAACAAGAACAAAGAGCAAACAAACCTCAAAGCTGGCAGGGGACAAGAAATACCCAAAATGAGAGCAGAACTGAAGGAGGTAGAGACACAAAAAACCCTTCAAAAAAGTCAATGAATCTAGGAGCTAGTTTTTTGAAAAAAATTAATAAAATAGATAGACTGCTAGCTGAACTAATAAAGAAGAATCAATTAGACACAATAAAAAATAATAAAGGGGATATCATCACTGATCCCACAGAAATACAAACTACCATTAGAGAATACTATAAACACCTCTATGCAAATAAACTAGAAAATCTAGGAGAAATGGATAAATTCCTGGACACATACACCCTCCCAAGCCTGAACCAGGAAGAAGTTGAATCCCTGAATAGACCAATAACAAGTTCTGAAATCAAGGCAGTAATAAATAGCCTACCAACCAAAAAGAAGCTCAGGACCAGACAGATTTACAGCTGAATTCTACCAGGGGTACAAAGAGGAGGTGGTACCATTTCTTCTCAAAATATTCCAAACAATTGAAAAGGAGGGACTCCTCCCTAACTCATTTTATGAGGCATCCTGATACCAAAACCTGGCAGAGATACAGCAAAAAAAGAAAGTTTCAGGCCAATGTCCCTGATGAACATCCATGCAACAATCCTCAATAAAATACTGTCAAACTGAATCCAGCAGCACATCAAAAAAGCTTGTCCACCATGATCAAGTCAGCTTCATCCCTGGGATGAAGGCTGGTTCAACATACACAAATCAATAAATGTAATTCATCACATAAACAGAACTAAAGACAAAAACCACATGATTATCTCAATAGATGCAGAACAGGCCTCCGATAAAATTCAACACTGCTTCATGTTAAAAACTCTCAATAAACTAGGTACTGATGGAACATACCCTCAAAATAATAAGAACTATTTATGACAAACCAACAGACAAGATCATACTGAATGGGCAAAAACTGGAAGCATTCCTCTTGAAAACTGGAACAAGACAAGGATGCCCTATCTCATCACTCCTATTCAACATAGTATTGGAAGTTCTGCCCAGGGCAATCAGGCAAGAAAAAGAAATAAAGGGCATTCAAATAGGAAGAGAGGAAGTTGAATTGTCTCTCTTTTGCAGATGATGTGATCCTATACCTAGAAAACCCCATCGTCTCAGCCTAAAAGCTTCTTAAGCTGCTAAGCAACTTCAGCGAAGTCTCAGGATACAAAATCAATGTGCAAAAATCACAAGCATTCATATACACCATAATAGACAGGCAGGGAACCAAATCATGAATGAACTTCCATTCACAATTGCTACAAAGGGAATAAAATACCTGGGAGTACAGCTAACAAAGGAAGTGAAGGACCACTTCAAATAGAACTACAAACCACTGATCAAGGAAGTCAGAGAGGACACAAACAAATGGAAAAATATTCCTTGTTCATGGATAGGAAGAATCAATATCATGAAAATGGCTAAATTGCCCAAGTAATTTATAGATTCATTGCTATTCCCATTAAATTACCATTGATCTTCTTCACAGAATTAGAAAAAATTACTTTAAAATTCATATTGAACCAAAACAGAGCCCACATAGCCAAGACAATCCTAAGCAAAAAGAACAAAGCTGGAGGCATCACACTACCCAACTTCAAACTATACTACAAGGCTACAGTAACCAAAACAGCATGGTGCTGGCACAAAAACAGACATATAGACCAATGGAACACAATAGAGAACTCAGAAATAAGACCACACATCTACAACCATCTGATCTTTGACAAACCTGACAAAAACAAGCAATGGGGAATGGATTCCCCATTTAACAAATAGTGCTGGGAGAAGTGGCTAGCCATATGCAGGAAATTGAAACTAGACCCCTTCCTTCTACCTTATACAAAAATTAACTCATGATGGAGTAAAGACTTAAATGTAAAACCCAAAACTATAAAAACGCTATAAGAAAATCTAGGCAATACCATTCAGGGCATAGGCACAGGCAAATATTTCATGAGAAAAACGTCAAAAGCAATTGCAACAAAAGCAAAAATTGACAAATAGGTTCTAATTAAAGAGCTCTACACAGCAAAATAAACTATCTTCAGAGTGAACAGACAACCTACAGAATGGGAGAAAATTCTTGCAATTTATCCATCTGGCATAGGTCTAATATCCAGAATCTACAAAAGAAACTTAAACAAATTTACAAGAAAAATACAAACAACCCGACAAAGGACATGAACAGACACTTCTCAAAAGAAGACATTTATGCAGCCAACAAACATAGGAAAAAAAGCTTGACATCACTGATTTTCAGAGAAATGTATATCAAAACCACAAAGAGATACAATCTCATGCCTTTCAGAATGGCGATTATTAAAAAGTGAAAAAACAACAGATGCTGACAAGGCTGTGAAGAAATAGGAATGCTTTTATACTGTTGGTGGGGATGTAAATTAGTTCAAACATTGTGGAAGACAGTGTGGTGATTCCTCAAAGACCTAGAACCAGAGATAATATTTGACTCAGCAATCCCATTACTGGATATATAACCAAAGGAATATAAATCATTCTATTATAAAGACATATGCACACGTATGTTCATTGCAGCACTATTCACAATAGCAAAGACATAGAATCAACCCAAATGCCCATCAATGATAGACTGGATAAGAAAATGTGGTACATATACACCATGGAATACTATGCAACCATAAGAAAGAATGAGATCATGTTCTTTGCAGGGACGTGGATGAAGCTGCAAGCCATTATCCTCAGCAAACTAACGCAGGAACAGAAAACCAAACATCGCATGTTCTCACGTATAAGTGAGAGCTGAATGATTATAACACATGGACACAGGGAGGGGAACAACACACACTGGGGCCTGGTGTGGAGGATGTGGTGAGCTGGGAGAGAGAGTGTCAGGAAAAATATCTAATCATGCTGGGCTTAATACTTAGGTGATAGATTGATAGGTGGTGCAGCAAACCATCATGACACATGTTTACAAATGTAACAAACCTGCACATCCAGCACATATTCTGGAACTTAAAATAAAACAAAATAATCTAGGTGAAAATATAGGCAAATATTTATCTGTTCTTCAGATAGGAGAACTCCCTGAGATGTAAAGTAATAAAATAAACCAAGATTAAAAAAAAAAAATGAAGGCCAAGGCAGGCAAATCACTTGAGGTCAGGAGTTCAAGATAAGCCTGGCCAACACCGTGAAACCCCGTCTCTACTAAAAATACAAAAATTAGCCGGGCGTGGTGGTGTGCACCTGTATTCCCAGCTACTCAGGAGGCTGAGGCAAGAGAATTGCTGGAATCCGGGAGGCAGAGGTTGCAGTGAGCCAAGATTGCACCACTGCACTCCAGCCTGGAGGACAGAGTGAGACTCGGCCAAAAAAAAAAAAAAGACAAAACAGACTTTGTTGCAATAAGATGCCAAATTCCAACCTGACTGTAGTATAGCATCACATGCAGATAGAAGGCCCTGAAAGAAATCAAAGTATTTTACCCCAAAATATATTTTGACATATTTTTAAATGCCCCTGCAAAGCTGTCTATTGTGGGGAAAATCTACATTCTGTAGAGTCCTGTCCTTCTTTCCAGGTCTTTCCTGATCCAGGAGAGATAATAAGGGTCTGTCACCTTTTAAGGCCTGATGAGAGACATTTGCCATCTACTCTATATAATAATAACCTTGGTCTCCACACACATTTCCCCTTATCCTGGACACTCCTTTCTATTGATTCTAGGTCTTTAGGTAATAATTCAACTCTTTCAACCAATTGCCAATCAGAAAAATCTTAGAATCTACCTATGACCTGTGAGCTCTCCCCAACCCCCTTTCCCCTCCCCACACCCCACTGGCCATTTCAAGTTGTCCTACCTTTCTGGACTGAACCAATTGAACCAATGCATATCTTACATGTATTGATTGATGTCTCATGTCTCTCTAAAACCAAGCTGTCACCTAACCACCTGTGCACATGTTCACAGGACCTCCTAGGGCTATGTCATGGGTCATGGTCCTCACATTTGACTCAGAATAAATCTCTTCAAACATTTTAGAGTTTGACTCCTTTTTGTTGACACTTTTCTCCTATTAATCAATCTACTTCATGTCAGTGATTTTCAGCAAACCTCCAAGGTACCAAGGGCCTTGGCCCCCACAAAACTCTTTGTTCAGGATGCAATTGTTCATTCAATATAGAAAGAGTGGAAAGTCAGCCATAAACTAGCACAGGCAAACAGCTAAACATAAGAGACATGTGATTTCCTCAACTAGTACCGAAGAAAGTGATAAAATAACTTTTTTTTTTTTTTGCTTTACAGGAATTCAAATGAAGAAGACAAAATAATTGCAGAAGTTGTGATGACTTCCACACTGTATATCACCTTCAGTCTTTCAGCTCAAATGACTGCCTTAACATACTGCTGCCAAAAGTATTTTCTGATTCCAACATTGCAAGAAAATTTATAAGTGCCAAAACAGAATCTCCTGCAATAATAAAATACGTAACCACTCCATTTACTATCACAGAGATTATCAAAGCTCCAACTACCTAATCTTTTTACAGCACAGACCCAGAAGCAAAACCAAGTAATCACAATACAGAAACATTAATTCCCTTTGCTCATGCAATATGTTTCTCTTGAAAAACACTTGCTTCTACGGTTGTCCCAAGTAAGATATCTTTCAGAGGAGACATCAATAATATTAGCAGATTTTCGCAGTGATTCTCTTATTGACTTTGTGGTTAATGAAAAAAAGTACTGCTTTTCATGGAAATGATACAAATACACATTTTGCTGGATGTTTGTGTAAAGGTGCAGAAGACAATGTCTATTGAAAGTGGCATAATAAATGATTCTGTGGCAGGGTTGGCTGTCCTGCCCATATTCTGCATAATGCTGCTCAAACAGCAGCTGATGTTCTTTCTATTGACATCAAAGTAATTGTCACAAAATTGTTCTCTAATTTCAGCATTAATACTGTTTGAACTGAGTAATTAAAGGGCTTTGGTAATTTTCTGGGCATTCTGTAGTGCTCAATTCACTCACATTCAAAAACTGTTTTCTCTCTTTAACAAATTCAGTTGAGAGACTCCTCAGTTTATTTGAAGCACTGAAATCATACTCTAATTCTGAAGAAAAGGCACTAAAATTTCTTCTTGACTTTATAAATAATTTACTGAGTGAAACCTACTTATTCCTTGCTCAGAGTTTTCAATATCCCCTTAGCAATAAGATTATGCAAATTGAGAGAAGAGCAAACAGTGTTATTGAAGGACTCTATTGCCTAAAGGAACTTATGAATACATTAAAGAAACCATTAAAGAAATATTTATCCCTTTAAGTATCATGGCTGTTCTTCAAAGGGACAACATTAATTATGAGCAGAAAAGGAAATTCTGGCTCAAAGTGGATAATTATTATGGCATTTGCCATGACTATCTTTGAAATGGATTTCATCCCTTTAAAAATTTCTTTCTTTTACATGAATGTTACTAATACTCTCTCAACCTGGGAACAACAAGAAACATCATGTGTAATGTTAAAGGGAATAAAAATTGACTGTCCTTTTTATTGTTGGTGGTGGGCCACATCTTCAAAAGTTGATGAATGACAGATACAATGGAATCTCTAAGAATGAGAAAGCAAGCTGTACTAAAGAGGTGGTATTATGCACCTCAACAAATCAAACCCCAAGGGCAGTTTTCAGAGTTGCTAACTTTATGCCGGGGTGTGCTCAGTGTGCCAGCTCATAATGCTAATGTTGCACAGTTGTTCTCATTAATGATAGCCAGTGGGCAGAAGAGTGACTAAAGTAACGGAAAATGAGCTATCACTGCAAGGAATTTTTTAAACAAGTTCTACAAACAAGAAATGGCTAAGGAGAACCAAATCATCAAGAAAATGTAATAAAAGAGAGGTATGTAACTTAGATTCTTATGATTTACTTCAGCTAAATGATGAATAATTCTTAGTACAAATATATCCATGCAATATGTTTCTTTTATATCAATGAATATATACATAGCTAATTAGAAAGAACTTAAATGAATATCAATACTTTTATGATCTAAGTCCAGCAGCCCTGCCCTGACAGAACTCACCAATTTCACCTCTCTCCTTACACTGCATTTTCTAGAGCCAAGCATGGCGTTTATATTAAGAAAAAAAAAATAGTAGCCTGAATCTGTTCTTAAGCATGACTGATAATCAAATGAGTTTTACCAATTTCCTAAACTGTGAGCGGAAATTATTCTTAAAGTTTCCAATTTAGGAAAAATTAATAAAAAGTTTGACAGACTGTTCCCTGAGATGTATATGCAGAGTGTCTTACTCAGGTTGGGCTGCTATAACAAAAAATACTATAGACTGAGTGGCTTATACAACTTAATTTCTCACAGTCTACTGGCTGGGAAGTCCAAGATCAAAGTGCTGGTTGATTTGGTTCTTGTTGAGGGCTCTCTTACTGGCTGGCAAACAGCTGCCTTCTTTTTTTTTTTTTTTTTTTTTTTGAGACGGAGTTTCACTCTTGTTGCCCAGGCTGGAGTGCAATGACACCATCTTGGCTCACCGCAGTCTCTGCCTCCCGGGTTCAAGCGATTCTCCTGCCTCAGCCTCTGGAATAGCTGGGATTACAGGCATGCGCCACCACACCCAGCTAATTTTGTATTTTTTTTTGTTGTTTTTAGTAGATACGGGGTTTCTCCACGTTGGTCAGGCTGGTCTCGAACTCCTGACCTCAAGTGATCCACCCGCCTCAGCCTCCCAAAGGGCTAGGATTACAGGCATGAGCCACCACACCCGGCCCTAACAGCTGCCTACTTATTCCGTCCTCACATAGTGGAAAGAAGGTGAGAGAGTTCTCTGGTGTCTCTTTTATGAAAACACAAATTAATCCCATCATGGAGGCTCCACTCTCTTGACCTAATTACCTTCCAAAGGCCCCATCTCTTCTTCCAAATGCCATCACATTGAGGGATTAGGGCTTCAACATATGAATTTTGAGAGGATGTAAATATTCAGTCCATAACACAGAAGTTTTTTCTTCTCTATTTAAAACTCAAGAGTTTCCAAAATATTTTACATACTTATGCATATATATGCACATATATATGTATGTGTGTGTATGTATGTATGTGGATATATGTATATATGTATCTATATATAGTGCGTATATATATGTGTATATATGTGTGTGTTTGTGTATATACATATATTTCAAAAGTTGAATGGTGCACCTGCCTTCTCCTGGTCCTTACCGCTGTGAGAGCCACTTGGCAGAGTCTGGAGGGCACTGAGAGTTGGGCAGAGGTCTGAGCTATGTTCTTGCCTTGAAGGTGATATGATGGCTAGAGCTGCAGGGGCTACTCTGTGGCTTGTGAGAAACAAGCTAAGGGGATTGCTAAGGGAACTGCCCTGACACCACTGAGCTGCTGCGCCAAGCCCCAGACTTCTTGTTTATTTGAGCCACGAGTGCTGCTCTTCTCTTACTCATATCTGAAAATATTGCAGAGCCTAACATCAGGTCATGGGCAACACCAGCGTCTGGAAAAATGGTATGTCCTTGTGTAAGGGATAAAGATAAAAGGTGTGACATAAGTGGCCAAACAGTGGAGACCCTAAAGAGCTCAGGATAAACTCTGCAGGGTGGCTAGGGTCCTGGAAAATGCACACCCTTTTTATTTTAAAAAGCATATTTAGTCTTCAAAGCTAATGATATTTCAAAACATACTTGAAAACATATTTTCTTCAATTTTAAAATCTTAGACTGCTTTGATACTAAAGTAGAAATAAAAACTGAATGAAACTGCATAATCGGGTCTGGAAAGTCAAATATGGAGAATGTGTTCCAGGCAACACTTCAGAATACAAATATTGTGATGCTGTAAATGCAGACTGCAGGACGGTGTGTGTGGTATCTTTTCTATCAATTTGCTGAATTTAATGGGCATATTTTGGCACATCAAGTGAAATAACAAACTTCCTAATTCTTTTTGTGAAAGCCATTCAAGCTGTTAGAGGGAAAATGCTGTTTTATAATCTATAATCAGGGGAACTCCTCCCAGCTTGCACCAGGACTACGAGGCCTAATAATGTAGCTGTAATAAGAAGAAAAGAACACTAAAATTTCTCAGCAGGCTGCAAACGAGCCCCGAGACATCCAGCAAAGGAAGTGCTTCCCGTCGATCCTCTGCAGGGGTGAGCAGGCAGTGGGGAGAGCCACGGCTCCCTCAGGAGGTGACTGAACTGAGCCACTGGTAGTGGCGTGAGGCAATGGCCTTCAGCTGCAGTGCTTTAGTGCTTAACTGACAGAAATCCTATTTTCCTTGTGCAGTGATTCTGAGAAGTGAGTTTGCATGGAGTGATCAGAGATAGTGCTTCCTGCCTCCTTTTCCTCTTTCCTGCCATTCCTCTTGATAACCAAATCAGCTCTGGATGGTGTAGGGGTCAATGAAACAGGTGGCCTTCAGAGCAGGTGTTTGGGACAAGCAGAGCCAGGTGATTCTGGCTTCCACACCCTTCTGGCTATGATACTTGGACATGTTACTGGGCATGTCTGTGCCTTCCTTTCCTCACTTATACTATGGAGATAAAGCGGTGCTGCTGTTGTACAATTGCAGGAAAAATTATGTGACGTCACCCTCAGTATCTGACCTACAATCAGCATCTAGGCGGGCACTCTAAAGATGGCAGCAGATTCTCAGCAGAGTGGTAGTCTACACCCAGGTGAAGATCCCTTCCGTTTTCCTTGCTATTCCTGCTTCTTTGCTCATCACTATCTCACAGAAGCACAGTGACTCCCGCGCCTCCCCCTGTAGGGCAGTTCTCAGGACCGAGGGGCGATCCACGGCTCTCCTACTAGCTCCAGGTGAGCCTTCTGCAAATAGGCCACATGTCTAAGCCGTCACTCTCTGGGGATACTGCAGAATGACTCTCATGTGACAAATTAAGACTAATTCCATTGATGAGGACCCCGCCCTTGATCCTGTCACCTTGACTTATACACTGTGATGCCTGGGGGCAAATCAGCCCTGAGGGGCACCTCATAGTTCTCACAATGCTGAGGGAAAATCATATCTTTGAACCTGTTTTGCACAAAGTGAATAAACGTGAATTGTATTTTCTTGTTCTCTTGGGATGGTCTTGAAATAGCTCAGCAAGTTTGCAGATGATAGTAGCTGGATTGGTTTGGGGGTGACATGGGGATTGGCAAGGGAGGGTGGATATCAGCCCCGGATCTAAAATGATACCTTAACAGTCTTGGGAAAGGGATCCTATTTAACTGAAATAAATGCAAAGTCTTGAGATTTGCTCCCAAAATGTTTCCAACATCACAAATACTAAGTAAGGAGAAACAGAGCAGGAGCCAGCTCAACAGGGATCCCCCTACCAAAATTGGGTTAATTAGGGCATTAGAAAAAATAATGGCTGTCACTGACTAAAACGTGTTCAATTTCTAGAAATCCATGACCCCATATTAATTCTCAAAGAAGACAGCAAAAACAATCTGTCTTAATTGGTGTCTGTTGGAATGAGGTATTAAGTCAGCTCTTTCCTCTGAAAATTCACAATTAGGAGAATGAAGCCCTCGTGCCACCTTTCCAGCAGAATTTATATTTGTGGTTACTGAGTAGGCTTAGCAGATGAGATAAAATTCTTCCCTATGGAGTAAGGTCAGCTAATAAACTGAATTGATAGAGTAAGAAAATCCTCTTTAACATTCCTAGCAAAATAATTGATGTAAGCAAGGCACATCCAGGGATGCTAAGGAGGTTGATGGGATGCTGGATACTCTCAGGGTTCCAGATGCACATCCCATAGATTTCTGGCCAATACCCAGGGGAAACATAATGTTGCAATGGAGGATGCGGTTTGTCAAGTTACCCAGAGAGCTATTTTAGCATATTTTAGCTATTTTAGGCCACCAGGCAATGCATGGCTCCTGATATGATCCATCCCCTATGTGTCCTTGCCTAAATTGCTTGACTAGATCACAGCAGGTCATTGAGGGCCTCGCTTCCAGTTTATAGGCAACGCAGGAGATAGGGAACCAGTTACACACTGCAGCAGGAAGCAGGAATGAGTGGCAACAGTGAGAAGGTGGGACTCGTGAGACAACTGGCCTGGTCTCTTCAACAAGTCAACACAATGAAAAAGAGATGCAGAAGGAAAGGTTAACTAGCTTTAAAGAGCTATGAAAACATACAACCAAAAGTTTTGTCTTTGATTTGCCCAAATCACATTTTAAAAACATCTTGGAGACAACTGGAGACATTTAACTTTCGAATGGGTATTACATAATATTAAGAAACGCTTGCTAATATTTTTAGGTGTGAACAATAGGATTGGGATTACATAGGAAAATTAATTTTTATAGGAGAAAACAAAAGTGGGGTAAAATGCCACATTATGTGTAATTTACTCTAAAATACTTTGGTTAAAAACAATAGCTGTAATAAGTAGGGCAATGTGTTAATGAAATCTAGGTGATGAGTCTATAGATGTTCATTTTCATATTCACTCCACTTTCTGGTGCTTTCTTCTTCTTCTTCTTTTTTTTTTTTTTTTTTGAGACAGAATCTCACTCTGTTGCTCAAGTTGGAGTGCAGTGGCACAATCTCAGCTCACTACAACCTCCGCCTCCGGGGTTCAAGCAATTCTCCTGCCTCAGCCTCCTGCATAGCTGGGATTACAGATGTGAGCCACTGCACCCGGCTACTTTCTTGTATTTCTGAAACATCTCATACTGAACAGTAAAAAAGAGTAAAGAAAAAGATCATGGCTCAACAGTAGCTCATTAACAAAAGATGTGAGAGACTCTGTGAACTGCAAGGCTATAAAAGGTGACTGTGTGGCATGTCCACCAGTGATGCTGTAGCAGCCATGGACACCTCCATGGAAACACAATGCCCAAACCCAGGACAGAGATCATCAAGAGCTGCTCTGCCTTGGAAGACTGGAAGGAACATTGGAGAGCCAGACGACTTAAAGCAGAGGGAGCAGGGGGTGGGGAAGGCTCTGTAAATCAGGTGTTAGGGCAGAAATGGCAAACAGATTTTGTGTGAGTCTCTTCTAAGACTGTCCTTCCAGGCTGGTATGGGAGGGCACTCTGAGAGCCATCATAGGCAACTTCTTTTCCCTTTCTGAAATCCTGGCCTTTATTGGCCCACCAAATCCATTGGGGGAGACATTATGGAGCAGGATTTAAAATTTACACCAAGTGAATTTAAGAAGAAATAAAGAGGGAATTTTTGGATTTACTGTGTAAACTACTGTTATGTGACATGCAAATGGGCCTGAAGGCCAGGCTATTGCCTGAGTGGAGATTCTAGACTGTGAGCCTTTTGCACATCAAGGGCCCAGCCTGGAGGACACATAGGTTTGAGGGAGGAAGACCACAAAGGTAAGTATCATTTTCCCCATCACATCATATCAAGAGCACATACTACTGACATGACTTATCACTCTTGATGTTGACCTTGATCACCTGGCTGAGGTCATGTGTGTCAGGTTTCTCCATTGTAAAGTTCCTCTCCCCACTCTTTCCACGATGTGTATTTTAGAAGAAAGTAACTATTCATTGTCTAGACTTAAGGGTGGCAGTTATGCTCCTCCTCCTTGAGGATTGTAATGGCTAATTTATGTGACAACTTCACTGGGCCATGGAGTACCCAAATATTTGGTCAAATATCACCCTGGATTTGTCTCTCAGGGTGTTTCTGAATGAGATTAGCGTTTGAATTACATTCCAATGTGGGTGGGCCTCATCCAGTCAATTGAATGAATAGAAATAAAAGGGTGACTGTCTCTGATTAAAAGGGAACTCCTGTTCTATGGATTTGGCAAATCCATGGTATTATATATTTACCATTACAGAATCATACAGAATATCTTTATCATCCCAAAGTTACCCTGTGCTTCACCCATTCAACTATCTCCCCTGAATCGCTGGCAACCACTATCTCTATCCACTTTGAGCTGGGACATATGTCTTTTTCTGCCTTTAGACTGGGACTGAGAGATCAGTTTTCCCTGGGTCTTGAGCTTACTAGTCTTCAGACTATTACTTATACTGTCTGTTCTCTTGCATCTCCAGCTTGCTGGCTGCAGATCTTGGGACTTCTCGCTTCTGTAATCATGGAGCCAATTGCCTATAATAAATCTCTTTCAATATGTACACATCCTATTGGTTCTGCTTCTTTGGAGTGTCCTGACTAACACAAGTGAGGACTATCTAAATAAATTATTTGGGATTCTTTTGAGTAAGAAATTTCTCTGTGCTTCCTCATCTATTTATTTATTTGATCATTTATTTATATAAATGTACATACAGGAGTTATACGTGTGTATATATTATGTATGTGTGTTTATACATATACTCATGAATATTTATTTTACACTTTGGGTTATAATTCAATACTATTTTGTTAACTCTGTTGCCCAAGTTGTTCCAGCCTTGGCCACTGGAAGCCCGTTCAGTAGGCTCCTGTGTCCCTTTGACATGCCCCATCATTGTGGTTCCACTGTTGTGGTCATTATTGTTATTGTTGAGCATTTTCTTTCTTCCTGTCACTAGGAGATGCTTCAGGCTCACTTTGTATATTCCCTGCCCCAGCTCTGGAATCAGACATTTCTCTATGGATTCCTAGTTCCTTTTATTCAAGAATGGTATAAAACACAAAATCTAGGCACCAAGTGTGCTCATTGCCACTCAAGTTTCGTTGTATTTAGACTCCCTCAGCTGATCAGCAAGGGAATAAATGTGTGTATATTAACTCATCTATAGACTCGTAACTGTAAATGTTTCTATGTGTGTTGATCTGAATCTAAATTAAGCTATCCATGAGTTCCTAACTCTACTCCAACTCCACATAAACCATTCTAGCCCCTTTCTCTTACTTACCTTTAACCTCCCTTTCCAATCAGCAGTAACAAACTTGGCTACCGACACCCACTCTCTATTTCTTACTTTTTCAATTCCAGTGTATATTTATAGTGGTTTCAAAATTATTAACACATACTCCCGGGGAAGAACTTTATTAACTACAGTCCAATGCTTAATGTGCCATTTCTTTTGCTATTTGTCTTGCAGACTCCACTAATTTCCAAAATTACTTATGTCAGTAACTTTCCCCCACCATTCCCGTCAGTGAGGTTGTTTCCTGCACTTTTAATTCAGTTAGATTATTTTGTTTTAATCTGAATATCTTCCCAGAATCCCCTAACCTCCTAAATGTTTTCTGAAATTTGCATTCATTGATACTGACTGTTGTTCAGACTGTAAAGCTCTATGGGTTTTGACAAATCCATAGTGTCATGTATTCACCATAGCAAAATCATACAAAATAGATTTCTCATCCTAAAAATATCCTATGCTTCACCCATTCAACTCCCTTGTCTCTGAATTTCTGGCAACCATGATCTCTATAGTTTTACCTTTTCTGGAATTTCATATAAATGGGATCATACACTATGTAGCTGTTGCAGGCTGTGGTCTTCTGTGAATTCTTGTATGAATTGCTTATTCACTCAGCAATATGCATTTAAAGCTCCTCTTCATGGCTTGATAGCTGTTTTAGTCCATTTTCACACTGCTATAAATCACACTGGGTAATTTATAAACAAAAGAGTTTTAATTGACTCACAGTTCCACATGGCTGGGGAGGCCTCAGGAAACTTACAATTATGGCAGAAGGGGAAGGGGAAGCAAACTTGGACCTTTTCACATGGTGGCAGGACAGAGTGAGCATGTGCAAGCACAAGAAGAATTACCATTTATATAACCATCAGATCTTGTGAGAATTTACTTACTATCATGAGAACAGCATGGGGGAAATGGCCCCTGTAATCCAATCACCTCCCACTGGGTCTCTCCCTCAACACCTGGGGATTACAATTCAAGATGAGATTTAGGTGGAGACACAAAACCTAACCGTATCAATAGTTCATTCTTTTTTATTGCTGAATAATTTTCAATTGTGTTTAAATACTAGTTTACTAATCCATTCACCTATTGAAGGACATCTTGGTTGCTCCAAGTTTTGGCAATTACCAATAAAACTATAAACATTCATATGCAGGTTTTTGTGTGGACATAAGTTTTCAATTCCTTTGGGTGAATACCTAGAATCATGATTGCTAGATCATAGGGTAAAAGTATATTTAGCTTTGTAAAAAAACCACGTGTCATCCAAAGTGTTTATACCATTTACATTCCCTCTAGCAATAAATGAGAGTTCCTGTTGCTCTATAGCCTCATCAGCAGTTGGTAAGGTGAGTTTATTTGTTTGTTTCACTTTACCATTCTAGCAGATATGTGGTGGCATCACATCGTCACTTTAATTTGCAATGCTTTAATGACAAATGATATTGGGTATAATTTCATATCCTTATTTGCTTCCTACATATCTTCCCTGGTGAGGTGTCTTTTCAGATGTTTTTGCCTTTTTTTTTTTTTTTTTTTTTGAGACAGAGTCTCAAAGGCTGGAGTGCAGTGGCACAATCTTGGCTCACTGCAACTTCCGCCTCCTGGCTTCAAGCGATTCTCCTGCCTCAGCCTCCTGAGTAGTTGGGATTACAGGCAAGCACCACCATGCCCGGCTAATTTTCGTGTTTTTAGTAGAGATAGGGTTTCACCATGTTGATCAGGCTGGTCTCGAACTCCTGACCTCGTGATTCGTCCACCTTGGCCTCCCAAAGTGCTGGGATTACAGGCATGAGCCACCGCACCCAGCCTTTTTGCCTATTTTTAATTGGGTTGTTTGTTTTCTTATTATTGAGTTTTAAGAGGTTTTTGTATGTTTTAGATACAAGTCCTTTATTCTGTACATGACTTAAAAATATTTTCTCCAGGTGTAAAACTTGTTTTCTTAATTCCCTTAACAATATGTTTCACAAAGCAAAAGTTCTGAATTTTTATAAAATTCCTATACACTTACTGAGGGTTAGGAAATTTTCTTCTATTCCTAATTTTTTAGTGTTTATCATGGGTGTTGAATTTTGTTGAATGCTTTCACTGCATCTACTGATATGACCATATGGTTTTCTTCCTAATCTGTTAATATCATGAGTTATACAGATTGGCTTACGAATGCTGAACTAGTCTTGCATTCCTATAGTGAATCCCTCTTGGTCATGATGTGTTATCTTTTCTGTATATCACTGGATTCAGTTTGTGATTTTTTTAAAGGATTTAGAGTCTAAATTCAGAAGAGATATTGATCTTTACTTTTCCTTCCTTATAATGTCTCCACTTGCTTTTGGTATTAGGATAATGCTAGCCTCACAAAATTAGTCAGAAACTGTTGCTCTTTAACCTTATGGGAGAGACTGTGGAGAATTCATGTTATTTCTTCTTTAAATGTTTGGCAAAATTCACCAGTGCAGCCATGTAGCCATGCTGTTTTTTTTTTTTTTGAAAGTTTTTTTTAAATACCAACTCAATTCCCTCAATAGAGACAAAGAGAGTTAGATTATTTTTTCCTTCTGAAGTAAATTTCAGGATCATGCCTTTCAAGAAATTTGTCCATTTCAACTAAAGCATCAAACTGTGGTCATAGAGCCATTAAAGATGTTTTCATATGATCCTTTTAATGGCTATGGGACAAGTAAGGATGATTTCACTTTCATTTCTGGTATTAGTAATTTGTGTGTTCTTTTATTCCTGGTTAGTGTGGCTAGTGGTTTATCAATTTTATTAATATTTTTGAAGAACCACCTTTTGTTTTCATTAATTTTCCCTATTGCATTTGTGTTTTCAATTTCATTGGTTCTGCTCTTGTTTTTCATTTCCTTCCTTCTACTTGCTTTGGGGTTTGTTGTTGTTGATGGTGGTGGTGGTAGTGGTTTTTGCTCTCCATTTTCTAGATTCTTGAAGTAGTAGCACAGATTATTGATCTGAGGAGATTTTTCCTGTTATGTAAGCATGTTGCACTTTAAAAAGTCCCCTGCAAGCATTATTTTAGCTGCATCCTATGTTCATTTATATTTAATTCAAAATATTTTTACATTTCTCTGGAAACTTCTTATTTGATTCATGTGTTACTTAGAAGTTTTTTTTAAAAACAACAACAACAACAAACATAGACTTTATTTTTTAGAGCAGTATTAGGTTCCCAGCAGAATTAAGCATATATCCCCTCCAAACTACCCATTTCTCTGTCCCAACCCCCTCCACCACCAATCAACATCCTGCACCAGAGTGATACACTTGTTGCAATTGATGAACCTATATTGACACATCATCACCCAAAGTCCATAGTTTTCACTAGGGTTCACTCTTGGTGTTGTACATGCTATGGGCTTTGACAAATGTATAATAATGGGAATCCATCATTGCAATATCATATAGCATAATGTCACTGCTCTAAAAAACCTCTGTGCTCCACCTACTCATCTCTCGTTCCCCTGATAGCCCCCCAACCTCTGGCAACCACTGATCTTTTTACTACCCCCATAGTTTTCCTTTTCCAGAATTTCATAGAGTTGTAATCATATAGTATGTAGCCTTTTTATGTTGACTTCTTTCACTTAGTAATATGCATTTAAGTTTCCTCTATGCCTTATTGGCATAGCTATACCTAATGCTTAATGGTTTGATAGCTGATTTTTTTTAGTGCTGAATAAAATTTCACCATCTAGATGTGCCACAGCTTATCCATTAACCTGCTGAAAGACATCTTGGTTATTTTCAAGTTTTCACAATTATCAATAAAGGTACTATAAACATCCATATGCAAGTTTTTGCATAAACATAAGTTCCAATTCCTTTGGGTAAATGCAATTGCTGGATTGTGTAGTAAGTCTTTTGGTTTTGTAGGAAGCTGCTAATCTGTTTTCCATGGTGGTTGTGCCATTTTGCATTCCCACCAGCAATGGGTGGGAGTTCCTCTTGCTCCACATCCTTGGCAGCATTGGGTGTTCTCAGTGTTTTGGACTTTTTTCCATTTTAATATGTGTATAGTGGTATCTCTTTTTAATTTACAATTCCATATGATGTTGAGCATCTTTTCATATGCTTATTTTCCATCTGTATATCTTCTTTGATGAGGTATCTGTTCAGGTTTTTGCCTGTTTTTTAATTGGTTTGTTCATTATCTTGTTGAGTTTTAAGTGTTCTTTGTATACTTTGGATAACAGTACTTTATCAGATATGTCTTTTGCAAATATTTTCTCCCAGTGTATGGCTGCTTTTCTCATTCTTTCAACATTGTCTTATGCATGTCAGAGGTTTTTAATTTTAATGAAGTCCAGCGTACTATTTTCTTTATAAACTGTGCCTCTGGTGCCAAATCTAAAAAGTCATCACCAAACCCAAGATCATCTAGATTTTCTCCTATATTATCTTTTAGGAGTTTTACAGTTTTGTATTTTACATTGAGGTCTATGATCCATTTTGAGTTAACTTTTGTGAATGGTGTAAGATTTGTGTCTTGGTTCATTTTTTTGCACATGGATGTCCAGTTGTTCCACCAGCACTTTTTTCTCCATTGTATTGCATTTGTTCATTTTTCAAAGATCTATTGACTATATTTGTGTGAATCTATCTCTGAGTTCTTTATTCTGGCCCATTGAACTATTTGTCTGTTCTTTCACCAATACCACACTGTCTTGATGTCTGTATCTTCATAGTAAGTCTTTTTTTTTTTATTTTTTATTTTTTTTTTTGAGATGGAGTCTTGCTCTGTTGCCCAGGCTAGAGGGCAGTGCTGCAATCTCGGCTCACTGAAACCTTCACCTCCCAGGCTCAAGAGATTCTCCTGTCTCAGTCTCCCAAATAGCTGCGATTACAGGTGCCTGCCACCATGCCCAGCTAATTTTTTGTATTTTTAGTAGAGACAAGGTTTCGACATGTTGGCCATGCTGGTCTCGAACTCCTGACCTCAGGTGATCTGCCCACCTTGGCCTCCCAAAGTGCTGGGATTACAGGCATAAGCCACCATGTCCAGCCTATAGTAAGTCTTGAAGTTAGATAGTGTTAGTCCTCTGACTTTGTTCTTCTCCTTGGTATTGTGTTTGCTATTCTGGATCTTTTGCCTCTCCAAATGAACTTTATAATAAATTTGTTCATATTCACAAAATAACTTTCTGGTATTTTGATTGAAATTGCATTGAATCTATAGCTTAAGTTGGGAAGAACTGACAGCTTGACACTATTGAATCTTCTTAACCATGAACATGGAATATCTCTCCATTTATGTAATTCTTTTTTATTTCTCTCATCAAGGTTTTATAGCTTTCCCCACATAAATCATGCAGCTATTTTATTAGATTTATGTGTAAGTATTTTATTTTCACGTGCTAATGTAAATAGTGCTGTGTTTTTAATTTCAAATTCAATTTGTCCATTGCTGGTATGTAGGAAAGTGATTAACTTTTGTATATTTATATTGTATTTTGCAAGTTTGATAATATTGTTTAGTTTTTGCTGATTTTTGGGGATTTTTTTGTGTAGAAAATCATGTCATCTGCAAAAAAAAAAAAAAAAGGCAGTTTTATTTCTTCCTTCCTAATCTGTATACTTTCCTCTCCTTGTATGATTGCAATAGCTAGGACTTCCAGTACAATGTTGAAAAGAAGTGGTGAGAAGGTAGGTGGTAGATTTTAAGTGATTTTTTTTTACATCTATTAATATAATCTTGTGATTTTTCTTCTTTATCCTGTTGATGTGGTGAATTACATTAATTGATTTTTAAATGATAAACTAGTCTTGACTACCTGGAATAAATGCCACATGATCATGGTGTATAATTCTTTTTATATGTTGTTTGGTTCAATTTGATAATATTTTATTGAAGATTTTTGCATCTATGTTCATGAAAGATGTTGGTGTATAGTGTTTTCCTTTTCTCTTGTAATGTCTTCATCTTGTTTTAGTATTAGGATAATGTTGGTTTAATATAATGAGTTTGGAAGTAGTCCTTCTGCTTCTATTTTCTGGAAGATATTGTAAAGAATTGTTATAATTTGTTCCTCAAATGTTTGGTAGAGTCGACCAATGAACTTATCTGAGAGAATAATATTTTTAAATCTCTGTATATTTGAAAATTTTTTGAAGCTATCTTTCTGTTATTTATTTACTTCTAGTTTAATTCCTTTGTTTTATGAGAACATACACTGTGTGATTTCTATTCTTTTTAATTGGTTGTATTTTTTTGGCTCAAAATTATCTATCTTTGTGAATGTTGTAAGTGAGTTTGAGGAAAAAATAGTATTCTGTTGTTGGATGGAGACTTCTATAAATTTCAATTAGATCAAGTGAATTGATTGCACTCTGAAGGTGATCTGTATCTATACTGATTTTCTACCTGTTTTGATCTATAAATTACTAATGGAAGGATGCTGAAGCCTCCAACTCTAATCTTGGATTTGTGCATTTCTGTTTTCAGTTCTGTTAGTTTTTGCCATACGTATTTTGACATATTTGATTCATTATTAGGTGCATACACATGTAGCATTTTTGTGGGTTATCAGAAAATCAACCCCTTTTATTATATAATGAATATAACTCTTTATCCTTGATAATATCTGGTCTACTCTGTGTGAAATTAATATACTTCCTCCAGCTTTCTTTTGATAAATTACAGTGTTATGACATTTCTCCATTCTTTTCCTTTAATTTAATTACCTGAATCTTTATATTTAAAGTGTTTCTTACAGACAGAAAACAGTTGGTTTTCACTTTGTTTTTACTCACTCTGAAAATCTGTTTTTTAATTGGTGTACTCAGACCATTCAAGTTTAAAGTGATTATTGACAGTTAGATTGATATCTACTATCTTTTTAACTGTTTTTCATTCATTTTATTTGCTTCTTTTTCTTATTTTGCTTCCTTCTGTGGTTTTGAGTATTTTATATTATTGGATTTAATATCCCTTCTTAGCATATAATTTATACTTTAAAAAATGTTTAATAGTTTTCTTAGATATTACACTATATGTTTTTAACTAGTCTTAGTCTACCTTCAAATAATATTCCACTGCTTCATGTGTAGTGCAGCCGCTGAGCAATTTTTCTCCTTTCCCTTTGCCATTGCTATCATTTATCTCGCTTAGTCATCCAATACATCATTACTATAATTTGGGATTAAAAATTGGTTTTTAGATCAATTAAGAGTAAGAAAAATAATTTTTTACCTTTATGTATTCCTTGTCCAGTGCGCCTCCTGTCTCTATGTAGTTTCAAGTTTTTGACCTAAATACTTTCTTTTCTCTCTGAAAAACCTTTTTCAACATTTCTTTTTGTTTTTTGTTTGTTTGTTTGTTTTGAGATGGAGTCTCTCTCTCTGTCACCCAGGCTGGGATGCAGTGGCGCAATCTCAGCTCACTGCAAGCTCTGCCTCCCAGGTTCACGCCATTCTCCTGCTTCAGCCTCCCAAGTAGCTGGGACTATAGGTGCCCGCCACCACCCCCTGCTAATTTTTGTATTTTTAGTAGAGACAAGGCTTCACCATGTTAGCCAGGATGGTCTTGATCTCCTGACCTCGTAATCCGCCTGCCTTGGCCTCCCAAAGTACTGGGATTACAGGTGTGAGCCACCACGCCCGGCCTCTCAACATTTCTTACATGACATATCTGGTTGTGATGAGTCCTTTGTTTTTTCTTTTTCTTAGAAACCCTTTATATTTCTCATTCATTTTTGAAAATAATTTATCTGGATATATAATTCTAGGTTTGTGGTTTTGTTTCCTTCAATCCTTTAAATGTATCATTCTTGTTGCTTTCATGTTTTCTGACAGAACTTATGTGCTAATTCTAATACTTGTTCATCTGTAGTTAAAGTGGATTTTTCCCCTTCTATTCTGCCTGATATTCTCAGAAATTCCTGGATCTGTGATTTTTGTGTCTGTCACTAACATTGTAAAGTTTTCAGCTATTATTACTTCAAATATATTTTCTGCCTTCTTCTCTTTCTGTCTTCTCCTTCTGGTATCCCATTTATGCATATGTTACACCTTTGATATTGTCCCATGGTTCTTACATTGTTACATGACTATTTCTTTTTCTCCTCCTCCTCCTTCTTCTTCTTCCTCTTCTTCTGTTCCTATTCCTCCTCCTTCTCCTCCTCCTCCTTCTTGTTTCTCCTCCTTCTTTCTTCTTCTTCTTCCTTATTCTTCTTTCCTCTTCTTCTTTCTTCTCCTTTTGTATTACTATTTGGGAAGCTTCTATTGACATCATTCAAGTTTAGTGATTCTTTCCTTAATATATTAGCCAGAGTTCTTTAGAGAAACAGAACCAATATAAGAGAAAAAGAGAAAACAGGAGGGAGAGAAGAAAATGGCTTATTTTAAGAAGTTGGCTCACCATGTTTCTGGATGCTGGCAAGTCTGAAATTTGCAGGGCAGGAGAGCAGGCTAGAAACTAAGGCAAGATTTATATATTACAGTCTTGAGGCAGTATCTTTTCTTCTTCAGGAAACTTGTCTGCTCCTAAGGCTTTCACCTGAGTGGATGAGGCCTATCCACATTATGAAAGGTTATCTGCTTTACTTAAAGTCTGCTCATTGCAAATGTTAACCACATCTGAAAAACACCTTCACAGTAATATCTAAAGCAGTGTTTGTCAAAGCAACTGGGCACTATGGCCTAACCAAGTTGACACATTAAAATAAAGCATTGTCATTCACTCCTAGTCAACTTGGCATACATACACACCTCCTTAAACCATACTTTTTTTTCCTCTTAATCCATAATTAATATCCAAATAAAGACAACAAATACTTTATTCCTGAGGAGTCTGGGTCATTAATAGTCCTGCCTAGATTGGGTTGCAGTAGTTTTCCATTGGCCTTAATCACAGGGCATGGTAGTACTAAGAGGATCTCCTAAATTCAAGACATACTCTTTCTTACCTCCATTGTGGTAAGGAAGTGCAATTTCCCATTGGAAGTCAGGATCAATTATCCCAGCCAACACAGGAACTCCCTTCTTGGCCTATTAATTAGAGGCAAAAGGAGTTCCAAATGGCTGGGTGGTAATCTTAACTTCCAATTCAATGAAATTATTGTTTTTCTTAATGGAATTCTTCCTCCTTTTGCAACTAAGACCTCTAGGCCAGCAGAGCATAAGGATGAAGAGACAATAAGAAAATTTTTTTCTGGGGAATCACTAGGAGTAAAAGTGAGACTTCTATTTTCACCTCTTGGTTCCTGGGCTTATTAATCATGCCTATGAAAGAAATGGCATCATATGTTGGACCCTTACTCAGCCCTCTTGGAAAGCCTTGTTCTAGTTCTGCAAGATATTGTCATCCAGCTGGCCCTGTAATTGTATTCTCAAAAGGCCATTTCACAATTTTAACAGCCAGCTGTTTCAGGATGATGCGGAGCATGGTAAGACCAGCGAACTCCATGGGCATGGGCCCATTGCTGCACTTCTTTAGCTGTGAAGTGAGTTTCTTTATCAGAAGCAATGTTCTGTGGAATACCATCACAGTAGAAAAGGCATTCTGTAAGTCCGCAGATGATAGTTCTGGCAGATGCATTGCATGCAGGGAAAGCAAAACAAATCCAGAGTAAGTGTTTATTCCAGTACAAAAAAAATGCTGCCTATTCCATGATGGAAGAGGTCCAATCTAATCACCTGCCACCAGGAAGCTGGTTGATCACCCCAGGGAATAGTACTATACAGTGGCTCTCTTTGGTCTCTGGTGCTGGCAGATTGGGCAGTTAGTGGTGGTCATAGCCAGATCAGTCTTGGTGAGCGGAATTCCATTTCATTTTCTGAGCCCATGCATAACAGCCATCCCTGCCACCACTTTGTTCATGAGCCCATTGGGAGATGACAGGGGTGGCTGGGGAAAGAGGCTGACTGGTTTCGACAGAATGGCTCACCTATCCTCTGGATTATTCAAATCTTCCTTTGCTGAGGCCATCCTCCATTGAACATCATATGAAACACATGTATCTTTATGGGTTTTTTCCCATGCAGAGAGGTCCATCCACATACATATTCTCTAGACCTCCTTGTCACTAATTTTCCAGTCATTCACCTTCCAAATTCCTGACACCATCCAGCCAAACCATTGACCATATCCCATAAATCAGCATATAATTGCACATCTAGCCATTTCTCCTTCCAAGCAAAGTCCACACCCAGGCACACTGCCCAAAGTTCTTCCCACTGGGGGGATTTTCCTTTACCATTGTCCTTCAGGGATGTGTCATAGAGGGGCTGTAATGCTGCAGCTGCCCACTTTTTGTTGGCACTGGAGCAAAACCATCTGTAAACCAGGCCTGAGTCATCTCTTCCTCTGTCAGCTAATCATAGGGAGCTCCCCATGAGGCCATAGCTGCAGGATGGGAGAGCAAAGGCTGTCGGGACCATGGGCATTGGGGCCACTTTGTCATGTCATTTACTTGTGACTTTAAGGTTTGCTTAGGCCCAGTCACATATGCACCACTTTCATTTCCTGAAGGAGTGATGCTGTGCATGGGCAACTTTATGATTCTGTGCGTATCTTAGTCTGAGCTGCCACAACAAAACACCATCGACTGGGTAACTTACAAGTAACAGGAATTTATTTTTCACAGTCTGGACACTGGGAAGCATAAAATCAAGGCACTGGCAGATTTAATGTCTGGTGATGACCTGCTTCCTGACTCACAGATGGAGGCTTCTAGCTGGGTCCTCACATCATGGGAGGGGCAAGGCAGCTCTCAGGGGTCTCTTTTATAAAGACACTAATTCTGTTCATGAGGGAATGTATAACCTGATCAGCTCCGCAAGGCCCCCCCTCCTAATAGCACCCTTAGAATGGGGGGCTAGAATTGTATATGAATTTAGGGGTATCATAAGCATTCAGTCCATTGCAATGGGTCAGAAAATACCCAATTCATGATGCCGTGATTGGACTTCTCTTTAGAAATCACTGAAGTAGGGCGGTTCCAAGATGGCCAAATAGGAACAGCTCCAGTCTACAGCTCCCAGCGTGAGTGATGCAGAAGACAGGTGATTTCTGCATTTCCAACTGAGGTACCAGGTTCATCTCACTGGGGATTGTCAGACAGTGGGTGCAGGACAGTGGGTGCAGTGCACCGATCGTGAGCTGAAGCAGGGCGTGGCATCGCCTCGCCCGGGAAGCACAGGGGGTCAGGGAATTCCCTTTCCTAGCCAAGGGAAGGGGTGACAAATGGCACCTGGAAAATCGGGTCACTCCCACCCTAATACTGCACTTTTCTGATGGTCTTAGCAAACGGCACACCAGCAGATTATATCCCGCACCTGGCTCGGAGGGTCCTACGCCCAAGGAGCCTCGCTCATTGCTAGCACAGCAGTCTGAGATTGAACTGTAATGCAGCAGCCAGCCTGGGGGAGGGGCGCCTGCCATTGCTGAGGCTTGAGTAGGTAAACAAAGCAGCCGGGAAGCTCGAACTGGGTGGAGCCCACCGCAGCTCAAGGAGGCCTGCCTGCCTCTGTAGATTCCACCTCTGGGGGCAGGGCATAGCTGAACAAAAGGCAGCAGAAACCTCTGCAGACTTAAATGTCCCTGTCTGACAGCTTGGAAGAGAGTACTGGTTCTCCCAGCACAGAGCTTGAGATCTGAGAACGGACAGACTGCCTCCTCAAGTGGGTCTGTGACCCATGAGTAGCCTAACTGGGAGGCACCCCCCAGTAGGGACAGACTGACACCTCACACGGCCAGGTGCCCGCTGAGACAAAACTTCCAGAGGAACGATCAGGCAGCAACATTTGCTATTCACCAATATTCGCTGTTCTGCAGCCTCTGCTGCTGATACCCAGGCAAACAGGGTCTGGAGTGGACCTCCAGCAAACTCCAACAGACATGTAGCTGAGGCTCCTGACTGTTAGAAGGAAAACTAACAAACAGAAAGGACATCCACACCAAAACCCCTTCTGTACGTCACCATCATCAAAGACCAAAGGTAGATAAAACCACAACGATGGGGAAAAAATAGAGCAGAAAAACTGAAAATTCTAAAAATCAGAGCACCTCTCCTCCTCCAAAGGAACGCAGCTCCTCACCAGCAACGGAACAAAGCTGGACGGAGAATGACTTTGACGAGTTGAGACAAGAAGGCTTCAAACGATCAAACTTCTCTGAGCTAAAGGAGGAAGTTCAAACCTAATGCAAAGAAGTTAAAAAACCTTGAAAAAAGATTAGACGAATGGCTAACCAGAATAACCAATGCAGAGAAGTCCTTAAAGGACCTGACGGAGCTGAAAACCATGGCATGAGAACTACGTGACGAATGCACAAGCTTCAGTAGCCGATTCGATCAACTGGAAGAAAGGGTATCAGTGATGGAAGATCAAATGAAATGAAGCAAGAAGAGAAGTTTAGAGAAAAAAGAATAAAAACAAATGAACAAAGCCTCCAAGAAATATGGGACTATGTGAAAAGACCAAATCTACTTCTGATTGGTGTACCTGAAAGTGATGCGGAGAATGGAACCAAGTTGGAAAACACTCTGCAGGATATTATGCAGGAGAATTTCCCCAACCTAGCAAGTCAGGCCAACCTTCAAATCCAGGAAATACAGAGAATGCCACAAAGATACATCTCGAGAAGAGCAACTCCAAGACACATAATTGTTAGATTCACCAAAGTTGAAATGAAGGAAAAAATGTTAAGGGCAGCCAGAGAGAAAGGTCAGGTTACCCACAAAGGGAAGCCCATCAGACTAACAGCTGATCTCTCGGCAGAAACTCTACAAGCCAGAAGAGAGTGGGGGCCAATATTCAACATTCTTAAAGAAAAGAATTTTCAACCCAGAATTTCATATCCAGTCAAACTAAGCTTCATAAGTGAAGTAGAAATAAAATACTTTACAAACAAGCAAATTCTGAGAGATTTTGTCACCACCAGGCCAGCCCTACAAGAGCTCCTGAAGGAAACACTAAACATGGAAAGGAATAACCAGTACCAGCCACTGCAAAAACATGCCAAATTGTAAAGATCATCGATGCTAGGAAGAAACTGCATCAACTAACGAGCAAAATAACCAGCTAAAATCGTAATGACAGGATCAAATTCACACATAACAATATTAATCTTAAATGTAAATGGGCTAAATGCTCCAATTAAAAGACACAGAGTGGCAAATTGGATAAAGAGTCAAGACCCATCAGTGTGCTGTATTCAGGAAACCCATGTCATGTGCAGAGAAACACATAGGCTCAAAATAAAGGGATGGAGTAAGATCTACCAAGCAAATGGAAAATAAAAAAAGGCAGGGGTTGCAATCCTAGTCTCTGATAAAACAGACTTTAAACCAACAAAGATCAAAAGAGATAAAGAAGGCCATTACATAATGGTAAAGGGATCAATTCAACAAAAAGAGCTAACTATCTTAAATATATATGTGCCCAATACAGGAGCACTCAGATTCATAAAGCAAGTCCTTAGAGACCTACAAAGAGACTTAGACTCCCACACAATAATAATGGGAGACTTTAACATCCCACTGTCAACATTAGACAGATCAATGAGACAGAAAGTTAACAAGGATATCCAGGAATTGAACTCAGCTCTGCACCAAACGGACATAATAGACATCTACAGAACTCTCCACCCCAAATCAACAGAATATACATTCTTCTCAGCAACACACCGCATTTATTCCAAAATTGACCACATAGTTGGAAGTAAAGCACTCCTCAGCAAATGTAAAAGAACTGAAATTACAACAAACTGTCTCTCAGACCGCAGTGCAATCAAACTAGAACTCAGGATTAAGAAACTCACTCAAAACCTCTCAACTACATGGAAACTGAACAACCTGCTCCTGAATGACTACTGGGTACATAATGAAATGAAGGCAGAAATAAAGATGTTCTTTGAAACCAATGAGAACAAAGACACAACATATCAGAATCTCTGGGATACATTTAAAGCAGTGTGTAGAGGGAAATTTATAGCACTAAATGCCCACAAGAGAAAGCAGGAAAGATCTAAAATTGACACCCTAACATCACAATTAAAAGAACTAGAGAAGCAAGAGCCAACACATTCAAAAGCTAGCAGAAGGCAAGAAATAATTAAGATCAGAGCAGAACTGAAAGAGATAGAGACACGAAAAACCCTTCAAAAAATCAATGAATCCAGGAGCTGGTTTTTTGAAAAGATCAACAAAATTGATGGACCACTAGCAAGACTAATAAAGAAGAAAAGAGAGAAGAATCAAATAGATGCAATAAAAAATGATAAAGGGGATATCACCACCGATCCCACAGAAATACAAACTACCATCAGAGAATACTACAAACACCTCTACGCAAATAAACTAGAAAATCTAGAAGAAATGGATAAATTCCTCGACACATACACCCTCCCAAGACTAAACCAGGAAGAAGTTGAATCTCTGAATAGACCAATAACAGGCTCTGAAATTGAGGCAATAATGAATAGCTTACCAACCAAAAAAAAGTCCAGGACCAGACAGATACACAGCCGAATTCTACCAGAGGTACAAGGAGAAGCTGGTACAATTCCTTCTGAAACTATTCCAATCAATAGAAAAAGAGGGAAACCTCCCTAACTCATTTTATGAGGCCAGTATCATGCTGATACCAAAGCCTGGCAGAGACACAACAAAAAAAGAGAATTTTAGACCAATATCCCTGATGAACATCGATGCAAAAATCCTCAACAAAATACTATACAACAAAAAAAGAGAATTTTAGACCAATAACCCTGATGAACATCGATGCAAAAATCCTCAGTAAAATACTGGCAAACCGAATCCAGCAGCACATCAAAAAGCTTATCCACCATGATCTAGTGGGCTTCATCCCTGGGATGCAAGGCTGGTTCAACACATGCAAATCAATAAATGTAATCCAGCATATAAACAGAACCAATGATAAAAACCACATGATTACCTCAATAGATGCAGAAAAGGCCTTGTGCAAAATTCAACAGCCCTTCATGCTAAAAACTCTCAATAAATTAGGTATTCATGGGACGTATCTCAAAATAATAAGAGCTATTTATGACAGACCCACAGCCAATATCATACTGAATGGGCAAAAACTGGAAGTGTTCCCTTTGAAAACTGGCACAAGACAGGGATGCCCTGTCTCACCACTCCTATTCAACATAGTGTTGGAAGTTCTGGCCAGGGCAATCAGGCAGGAGAAGGAAATAAAGGGTATTCGATTAGGAAAAGAGGAAGTCAAATTGTCCCTGTTTGCAGATGACATGATTCTATATCCAGAAAACCCCATCATCTCAGCCCAAAATCTCCTTAAGCTGATAAGCAACTTCAGCAAAGTCTCAGGATACAAAATCAATGTGCAAAAATCACAAGCATTCTTATACACCAATAACAGACAGAGAGCCAAACCATGAGTGAACTCCCATTCACTATTGCTTCAAAGAGAATAAAATACCTAGGAATTCAACTCACAAGGGACGTGAAGGACCTCTTCAAGGAGAACTACAAACCACTGCTCAACAAAATAAAAGAGGATACAAACAAATGGAAGAACATTCCATGCTCATGGATAGGAAGAATCAATATCGTGAAAATGGCCATACTGCCCAAGGTAATTTACATATTCAATGCCATCCCCATCAAGCTACCAATGACTTTCTTCACAGAATTGGAAAAAACTACTTTAAAGTTCATATGGAACCAAAAAAGAGCCTGCATTGCCAAGTCAATCCTAAGCCAAAAGAACAAAGCTGGAGGCATCACACTACCTGACTTCAAACTATACTATAAAACTACAGTAACCAAAACAGCATGGCACTGGTACCTAACAGAGTTATAGACCAATGGAACAGAACAGAGCCCTCAGAAATAATGCCACACATCTACAACTATCTGATCTTTGACAAACCTGACAAAAACAAGAAATGGAGAAAGGATTCCCTATTTAACAAATGGTGCTGGGAAAACTGACTAGCCATATATAGAAAGCTGAAACTGGATCCCTTCCTTAAACATGATACAAAAATTAATTCAAGATGGATTAAAGACTTAAATGTTAGACCCAAAACCATAAAAATCTTAGAAGAAAACCTAAGCAATACCATTCAGGACACAGGCATGTGCAAGGACTTCCTGTCTAAAACACCAAAAGCAATGGCAACAAAAGCCAAAATTGACAAATGCGATCTAAAGAGCTTCTGCACAGCAAAAGAAACTACCATCAGAGTGAGTAAGCAACCTACAGAATGGGAGAAAAATTTTGCAATCTACTCCTCTGACAAAGGGCTAATATCCAGAATCTACAAATAACTCAAACAAGTTTACAAGAAAAAAGCAACCCCATCAACAAGTGGGCGAAGGATATGAACAGACACTTCTCAAAAGAAGACATTTATACAGCCAAAAGACACATGAAAAAATGCTCATCATCACTGGCCATCAGAGAAATGCAAATCAAAACCACAATGAGATACCATCTCACACCAGTTAGAATGGTGATCATTAAAAAGTCAGGAAACAACAGTTGCTGGAGAGGATGTGGAGAAATAGGAACACTTTTACACTGTTGGTGGGACTGTTTACTGGTTCAACCATTGTGGAAGACAGTGTGGTAATTCCTCAGGGATCTAGAACTAGAAATACCATTTGACCCAGCCATCCCATTACTGGGTATATACCCAAAGGATTATAAACCATGCTGCTATAAAGACACATGCACATGTATGTTTATTGTGGCACTATTCACAATAGCAAAGACCTGGAAGCAACCCAAATGTCCAACAATGATAGACTGTATTAAGAAAATGTGCCACATATACACCATGGAATACTATGCAGCCATAAAAAATGATGAGTTCATGTCCTTTGTAGGGACATGGATGAAGCTGTAAACCATCATTCTCAGCAAACTTTTGCAAGGACAAAAAACCAAACATCACATGTTCTCACTCATAGGTGGGAACTGAACAATGAGAACACATGGACACAGGAAGGGGGACATCACACATGGGGGCCTGTTGTGGGGTGGGGGGAGGGGGAAGGGATAGCATTAGGAGATATACCTAATGAAAATGATGAATTAATGGGTGCAGCACACCAACATGGCACATGTATACATATGTAACAGACCTGCACGTTGTGCACATGTGCCCTAGAACTTAAAGTATAATTAAAAAAAAAAGAAAGGAATCACTGAAGTAAGAAGAGTGTGGCATGAATAAGACTGAAAAAGAGATGAATAACATAGACTACAAACATGGCATTGAAAATGGTGAGAAACGACATTTTTCAGGATACATGTTTTAGATAAACTTGGTAGAATTTGCTGATGAATTTTGTATATGGGGTGAGGAAAATAAAAGATTCAAAGATGATTCCTAAACTTTTGGCTTAAGAAAATGGTGAATGTGATACAATATATTGGCATGAGATGCGTGTCGGGGGTGAGTGGCTAAGGTGACTTTGAAGTCAACTTTTTTTTGGCCAAAAAGGTTGAAATTTTTATTAAACATCCAGATGGGGATACCATATCAAATAGTCAACTAGCACTTGCGTGAGAGGGCCAGGCTGGAGATAGAGATTTAGAAGTTAATTTCAATTGGAATTTCATGGGACTGGAATAAGAGTATAAACAGAGAAGGAAAAATGTTGGGATAGTTGCTCAGGGAGGAAGTAAAAGCCAATATGGGCAGATTCCAGAATGAACTATGAGGAAATTAACTTCTCTCTCCTGAGCAAGGAAAATCCAATGGAAGTTTCAAAGCAAGAAAGTGATGTAAGGTTTTTATGTAGTATAATCAATTGTATATTGGTAAATGTTTAACAATCAGCTCTCAGAAAAACAAGGGGAGAGAGAAAAAGAGACACACACACACATAGTCTTACATGTACATTACATGGTATATCCACTATACATGCAATAGATGTGAAAGTTAGCTCAAGATAATATTAAAATGTAATCATTAGAAAGTGATGAGGTTTGAGTGTGTTTTGCCTTTTTAAAAATTATTTATTATTTATATAACTTAAGTTTTGATAGTGTGTGTGTTGAACAATTGGCTCCCCAAATTCCTGCCTATTTAGCATCTGGCTCTCGTAAGTCAGGGTTAACCAGCTCCCACACCACCACCATATTCTATGAAGCATAGTATGTGTTGCTTTTATAAGAGAAATAAGGATTTCTCATTTGTGGATTGAACAGACTCTTCTAAAACAAAGTTCAAGTTTCACAAGAAAATTTCTCTCTTACTACTAAATAAAATCAGAAAGCTGTCATTTATTCAAAAGCAGTTTCCCCAGAGTTTTCAAAGTTTTGGCCCCTTAGGCAACTACCAAGTTCCTAATAGAAAGGGGACATAAGTCAACTCCTGTTCTTGTTGTGAAGCCAGTGGGTATCATGTTCACCCACTCACTTCTGCTTTCTGAGGTAGGAGCGGGAGACAGGAAGATCAGTGTTGGCTAGAACACGCCAGCAGGAGACCCTCTCTTGAGATGGGACATCCTCCTCTCAGAGCTCCAGTCAGTGCTAGAAAGCCCTCAGAGGCCAAAAACCCCTTTCTCCAGATGGGAATACCAAGGCTCACGCTGGGAAAGGGATTGCCTTAAAATCACACATCAAATCAGTGGGTGAATCAAGAACAGAATTCATACCTGGGCTCTTTGCATGTTCTGATGCTCATTCTGGCCAGTACAGCAAGCATTTCCCATGATGAAGACAGACCAGACTGGGAGCTGGGGAGGTGAGCAGGGTGAGCCAAGATTCCAAACACTCTGTCTGGATGTATTCATTCAATCAATATTTACTAATCAGCTTCTATCTAAAGCATAGTCCCACCGTTAAGGAGCTAAAGTCCTGGAGACTTTAAAGGCCTTTCTTGTTACCAAATTTCAGGAGCTAATAACATCTTCCAGTGTATCTTCTTTGGCCTGGTGCACTTTTAGGAAAGATTGGATGATTCTGTTTCAAAACTCTCCATAGCTGCCATGATGATTAATACTGAAAAGCAAATATTTAGGCCGGGCATTACATGGAGGAAATAATCTCCCCAAATGCCACAGGCAAGCTTTCTCAGCAGTGAGTAAACCTCCAACAACCATTGTCCCGGGGGCTGTGATGCAGAGAGAGGGACCTTGATAATTCTTTTGTGTTTTTCACATCATCCTTCTAAGGAGACTTTCTAAAATATTCGCAGACATTTATGGTGTACACACTGCACACCAAATCCCATTAAGCAATTCCACAGGCTGTTAGGGGTTGAATTGTGTCCCCCCAAGAAGTCACAGGTTGGAGTCCAACCCCTGGCACCTCAGAATGTGACTGTATTTGGACACAGGGTCTTTAAAGAAGTAACTAGGGTAAAATCAGGTCATTAGTGTTGGCACGCACCCAATATGAATGGTACCCTTATTAAGAGGAAATTAGGACACAGACATGTGCAGAGGGGAGAAAATATGATGACATAGCAAGGAGATGGCTATCTACAGCCAGAGGCTTCAGAGGGAACCAACTCTGCCATCACCTTGATCTCTGACTTCCAGCCTCCCAAACTATGGGAGAATAAGTTCCTGTTGTTGAAGACACCCAGTTTGGGGTACTTTTTCAGCAGCCCTAGCAGGCTGATGAATGGGCCATCTCATTTAATCCACCCTGTGACTCTGCGAGGAAGGTAGTGCATCCCCCACCTTGATAGAAGGCTGTTCAGACTCAGGTGTGGACTCTTAGGGCAGACAGCCAGGCCGTAATGATGTGGCAACCTCTCTAATAGTTTAGGCAGTTTGGCTTTCTGGGTATTCTATTTGCTTGTGGGGAACAATCGAAGGAGTTCAAGCAGCTTCCAAAGCTCAATTTGGATCACAAATAGCTGATTTATGTAATTAGCCCATGCGCAATTACATGGAACTCCATCAAGTGGCTTTTTTATGAACCAGATTGGCACCACCTGATTCCTATAAACATAAATAGATCAAGTTGTTAAGTAACAAGTAATTAAAGGGAACACATGATATTCTCTCTGGGCAATGCAGACTACCCACGTTTAATCTGGTTTCTGTATTGCTCAGCTGAATCAGAAGGAGGTGGAGTGAGGCTTTCAAAATGATGTGCTCAAGCAGCTTAGGAGGAATTCCAGGGGATATATGAACGGCTCTGTGGTCCTAGCTCAAATGCAGATAAGGCAGAGAATATTCAGAGCACATTGGCAGCCATCGTTTTACTCTCCTGGAGTCCATCGTTCTTAAATTACACTTTTTGTAACAAACATTTGTAGCAAACATTATGAAAGAGGTAGACAACTTTTTATATATAAAGAGCACATACAAATTATTAAGAAAACATTAAGACCCAAATACTTTAGTTGTCAAGAGACATGGAGAGTCAAGTCCCAAAGGAGATACAAATGACTAGTGAGTATATAATAAAAATGAAATTTCACTAGTAAGCAAAGAAATATAAAATAAAGAGACGGGTTTTTGTTACCTATGCTTCCAGCAATAATTTAAAAGTTAATATTGCATTTGCTTTTACCCTTCTTGAAACCCCAGTGAATGACCCTATAAATGCACAGAAAAGAATAAACTCACAGCAGCAAAGCAAGGAAAGGGGTCTCCAAGCTTACGGATGACTTAAGACAGACAGACCTACGTGGAAGGGCACAAGTGGACAGATGGACAGAGCCAAGGAAGACACAGTGAACACCCTTCCAGAAACTGCCCTGAGCTCCCGAGCTCAAGGTCAGTGGCAACAGTGGAGGCCAGGAGTGGGGTTCATTTGAGAGCTGTCTGTGGAGCAAGTGGAGCCCCCAGCAACTCCTCAACACCTGTGTAAAGAGAGGCACCTATGAGAGCTACTTACCCCATGGCAAAAAACCTGAGGGCTCTTCCTTGGAAAAAATGGACCTTCCTTCCTGGGAGTTCCAAGGCTTGCATGGTGGATGTAGCACCAGATAAGCCCTACCCCTCCTGGGCTCCCACCAGGCGATCCTACAAGGAACCTATCTGCACCCACAATGATTGAAATGGACCCACGTATTCAGAATTTTTAATAGACTGTGAGAATGTCAAGGATTAAAGAGAAGTTTCTAGAAGTTTTCATAGAAAAAAGCAGCTCAGCTGCAAAGGAATGAGAGCCAAAGGGGCATCAGGATGCTCCCTAGTAATTCTAGATTCTAAATAAGGTTAAACCTAGAACTCTGCCCCCAAACCATCAATCAAGTATGAGGGCCCACTGAAGTATTTTAAGGCAAGCAGGAGCTTCAAAAATGAAGTCATTCCTGCACCCTTTCTTAGGAAGTTACTTGAAAATGAGGGAAGCAATAAATGTGGGATTTTGATTGCCCTTGGGTATACCCCTAGGTCCAGAGAGGAGTGGGACCCACTGAAGGCAGTGCTGATTCACGGGGAGGGGGAGGTGAGGGAAGGGTGCTCAGTGGGTAGAAGTGGTTTGGACAAAACACATTACTCTCTTTCAGAATGGAATAGGAAAACACTCTTTAGGGGGAAGAAAAGCTCTGCTAAAATGTTATGTACTAGAAAGAACATACAAGGCAAATTGCAGTGTGGCCAGATTTTGCACAATGGATGGAGTGTAAGAAAAGAGAGTCCATTTGACCACGGACCTCCTCAACTTTACTTTAACCAACTTGCCGTCTGGATTTGTTAACCTCTGCCTCTCCAGCTGGTTTGGAATTTGAGACTGCAGGCTTCTTGGAGTGGGTGGATTTTTGTTTCACTCTCTCTCCTCTTACTCCCCCTTGCTCTCTCCTTCTGTGAACACCTGCTCTAGGGTGTCTCCACCAGCCCCTGCTGGGATCTTGTAGATCTGGCCTGCAGCCAGTCTCTTCAGGGCCCTGGTGACAATGTAACTCCCAGCTGGCAGGTGGTAGCTGAGCCCCAGCCCACAGCCTCTGGGTGTCTGGCTTAGTCCCCTCCTTGCCCAGAGCACATTCACAGTGCATGCCCGATGGGAGCCCTGTGACCCACGGAGCTGGCACCACTAGATTTTCATTGTGTTCCTTTCTTGTCACCAAATACATGCATCTTACCCTGAGGTTTGCTGTATCTTATACTCCCTCTTTCACTTTATATTTTTTCTGTCATGGGAACAAAGAGGGTTTTACAGATGAATTTGCTTTGCCATGTTGATGGTAAGTTCTTTGTTTATTGCTTTTTAAATTTCATGATAAGTTAGAAATAATGCATGGAGCAGTCAGCTGCAGTTACAGAAAAGGCTGTGATGCTATCAAGTCAGCACCACAGTTCTGAGAAATCTCCATCTTTTTCCAGGAATTTTCATGAATATTCAATCCCTTGGTTAAAGAAACCCATAAAGACAGCAGCCCCAGACCCCATGGTACGACTGTCTCTTGAGCACGCCCGCACTCCCATTTCTGGAGTGTGTACTTTTTGCTTTGCAATAAATCTCTGTACTTTCACTACTTTATAACTCATCCTTGAATTCCTTCTCGCAATGTTGTCAAGAGCCTGGACACCAGCTGGGGTGAGGTCCTCCTGGCATTTGGGGACCTCTTCCAGCTCACTGGTATCACTCAGTCCAAGCGAAAGGAGCCATCAAGTGGGAAGCCAGGAGTTTCTCCAAAGGAATCATCTCTCCAGAGGTAGATGAGATGGGAAAGTTGAGGGTGGGGTTGGAAGTGGGGCCTGCAGCAGACTGGGAGTAATTCCAAATCTGGGGAGTCATTAGCTGCATGTGGTTTAGTGTTGGCTGACTGGGAATGAGAGGCTTCCTGGGAATGAGAGGCTTCCTGGGAGGTTAAGGCATTGGCCAGTAATGATCTGAGGAGAACTTGATAAAATCCTCTTATGGCATCCAATGGGGAAGAACATGTCCAAGCCAAGGGCCAGGGGCAAGGGAAGGGGAGCAGTGCCTGCTGGCTCAGTCACAGCCCCAACCCCCGCTGCGAGGGTCCTGGGATGGGCCATTGCCTCTCTGGCCTGAGCAAGTGCCTCCTCTGTGAGACACGGTTTCCCATGACTGCAGTGAGTTTCAAGGTGAGGAACAGCATGGGCTTTACAATCTGAAAAGCAGCTCTCTCTACCACAACAGGACAAATCCCCCCACCTGCATACCCAAGCCGTCTCTTCGCAAGATTGCCCTGGAAGTGCCTGAGGACAAATGTGAACACCTGCCCTAGCCCCACAGCCCCTGAGAGCTCCTCATGGCATTGGGTTTTCCTGGAGAGAGAGGCCTGAGATACTGCACATGGGGCTGAGCAAAGGGAATCGTCTTCCTCTTGGAGTGGAGGGAGGGCAACCACAGGAGGAGCAAAGCGGGAGGAACCTGGAGCCCGTGGGCCGGGCAGAAGGTGAGGCCAGCAGCAGGACCTGACCACCAGGGTGACACAATGTTGAAGAAGCCTCCCATCCCCAGTGCCTGGCCAGCCCCTCTGTGAAAGCTTGTTTATATCTCCAGGGGTAAAAGATTGTTTGAGGAAATCCATTAGCTTCGGCAATTCAAAGAGGGTGAGTTTTATATCTAGGTCAATATGACAAGTGCAATGACAGCCTGGACCGACAGCCCAGGAGGTGGAGAAGCCTGGAGAAAGCCCTTCTCAGAGCCCCTCCCTGGTGCCTGCTGTGGGCTCCACTGTCCCTGACACCCACCCTCTCCTGGCCAGTGAGTCTGTGGGCCAAGGCACTCAGCTTGAGCACTGAACCCAGAATTCCTACTCACCACCAGAGCCAGCCCCACGGCCTGCAGCACCCCCGTGGCCCATCCTCTAGGGGGCTGGCCATGTGTGGCTGTGTCCAGCCGAGGTCCAAAGGGCACATGAGCTGTGTGACCACACCCCTGCAGGTCAGACCTTTCAGGGGCCTCCTGAGCCCATGCATCAGGGAAAGGAGCCAGTTCTCCCCTGTGTTGCTGTGCTACTCTTCTAAATCTAAACCAGGACTTCAGGTCATTGGGCAGGTTTCTTTGCGAAGGTGAGAAGAGGGTGTGTTTTATTTAAATGCTTGCTGGGTTGACTTACAGCTTGATTTTTATCTCAGACATTTGTATGCAGCCTGTGTTTTCACCGTGCCCCCTGCACTGCGTGCTCAGGCCAGGCCTGACCTGGGAGAAGGCTGGGGCTTCCATAGGCCATAGAATTAGCAAAGTTTGTCACATGAAAAACAAATCCAGACTTGGTGAGAACAAACTCAAGGGTTAGGCAAGTCGTTTTTTCTTGTACAGAGAGGACTAAATAAGGCTAGAAGGAGCTGGTTTGGGAAAATGGGCTGGGGGTGGCAAGTTTGGACATAGATCAGAGAAGGTTTGACCTGAGGTCACATGTGCTCAGGAGGCCCCCGAGCGGTTCAAATTAAGGAGGAGCTGAGGTGCAGGGGCCTGAAAGACAGAAACTGAACCAACATTGGGTTAAAAATTATTTTGTTCTGACTGATCAGTGGGCACGAGCAACTCAGCAAAGCATTTATGCAGCAAAGATGGAAATGTGGAGGGTCTGGCTCTGGCCCAGTCCTAGGTGAACAAGGGGCACCTCCAGTCTCATCTAAGGCACATAAGGAAGGGACTTTTTTTTTAGTGGTGATAAAAGTCGGATGAGGGAGTAGGGGGATGGGGGAGGGGGGTGGGAGGGGTTGGTGGAGCAATTCTTTATCTATCACTGCTTTCCAGGACCACAGGCTCAGGTACATTCAACACTGCCAGGTTGGATACAAGGATAACAGGATGTTTTGTGTGCCACAGGAGCCCCTCTGACATTAAGTTACACAGGTATGTAACTTTCTGTCATTCACTTTGAATGTTGAATTGTCATTTTGAATTTAAGAAATACCTGCTCGGATCATGTCTTAAATTTTAATTAAAGAATTTCTCCTCAACGAAGTACATCCCTGTGGGTGGCTGTGTTGTAAGCTTCTAGCAGCCTGCACAGTACCAGAGGCCAGGGAGAGCTTGGGCCCTACATCATCGTGCTGGGCAAAAGCCTCCCAGTCTGTTGCAGGCTTCTCTCAATGCAGTGCACATGTGAGATAAATACAATCCGTGGCTTCATCAAACAATAGTTGTGTGTGGTTTATTTCTGGTGTCTCTCACTCCTTTTAAAATCCCCTGCCTCTAAAATTGTGGGCCTCCATCTCTTAGATAAATAGGTCTATACATCACAGAACATAATTTCAACTTAAGAATTAAAACATTAGGCCCAAAAGTCACCACACCAATGCCCTGTCCACACTGGGTCTTCTCTGGCAAAGGCTGTATATCCCTGGGGCAGACACAGGGCTGAGCCGGCTCACCCTTCACAACCGCCCCAGGTCAGAGTGGGTCCATTCTCTGCTCTTGGCCAAGGGGGAAGCTACCTCCCTGCAGGTGGCTACAGTGACCACAATGCCCAGCTCACAGCCCACAGCTTGTGGCCTTGTGGGGGCCATGCCACAGGCTCCGACTGCCGGGGTCTCCCCTTGTCCCTGAGCTGCAGCTCCATCTGCAGGAAACCCCAGCAGGACAGCTGGCAATGGGGAGGTTCTCCAGAGGATGAGAGGGCATCAGAGGATCAGGAGGAGTTCCATGCTCAAAGTCCATGTCTGCTCACCAGAACCCTTCCTATACATCTTTTTGTGTGAGCAGAATTGCAGATCACAAGCATGCAGCAGCAGCTTGGGACCCTTGTTGCTGGATGTGCAGGTGGCACCGTGGGTTCTGCTGATTCTCCCTGCAGGGTGGATGTGCAGGGGCAGCCCTCTGCTCAAGCCCTCCCAGAGAGAATGTGGTCTGAGTCCAGGAGGATCCTGATGCTCCCCGCCATGGCCATTACACTGAGCTGAGCCGGGAGCTATCTGACTTCCCTCTCTGAAGCCTCAATGGCTGCCCTGCCATCTCACATTGGATAGTGAGCCATGTATCTTTATTTCCAAAATTTCACTCAGATTTATTTTCTTTTTGATCACAGGACAAACTCATAATTCTCATCCGTATCATCTTGGAAAATACTTTGCCTCCATCCCTCCTCACCCCCTCTCTTGCCTCCTACCACCAGAACTAAGAGATTCCTCTGGTGCATGGCAAAGCCCATGGCCTCTCCCTCCTGGATGTGGTCCAGTGAGTCTGCAGAGTCTGTTTTGTCTGTGAGCTGGTGCACTCTGCTAGCATCCTCACCCTTCACCGGTCAGCTAGTTAGGAGCTCGGCAGAGAGGCCTCATGAGATCCACCAAATCAGGAAATAATCATTGTGCAGTCTTGAGATGCTCTACAGGCGGGCAGCCAGAGGGCCTTGAGTAAGGTCTCTTCCCCTTCTGGGGAGCCCTAGGCCCCTGTCAAATGCAGGGACTAGTCAATGTCAGAACATCTCACAGAAGACTTATGAAAGTCAAATGTCTGTTAATGCTACAGTTCAAGAGCTAAGATTTGACTTTTGCACCATTGAATTACTCCATTCAGCTTCTTTTAGAGCAATGATGATGACAGTTAATGAGTCTGAATTTTCAAAATATGAATTTTGTATTCTTATCTTTCTTCTCTGTTTCCTGCAAGAAGACAAGACAGAATATTTATTGCCAATAAAATATGGTAATAAAACCCTGGCCATGTGCACAATATTGATTATTGATCAATTGTCTAATTCTATTGTATACCATGAGGTTTATCATTGTCTATATTCTATCAGTTCGATGACTGAGGCAATTTTCTTTTTATTTCTGTGATGAGATTATTATTATTCAGAATTACAACACAGAAATCAGAATGTTTATTTTGACTAAGATGCAATTTCTTCTTTCAGAAATCATTTAGAATGTTTCATAATGCATTTTAAATTTTAATTTGAAAAGTAATTTCCATGCCAGCAACTAGCCTGCAGAGACACCCAAATTGGCTATTGGCATAAAAAGAAAAAAAAAGAGATATCTTTGTAAGTTAGAAAAATGTGAATGATAAAATGGTCATTCTTTTTTCAGAAAGTAGCACATGTAATTTTTTAAACAAAAATAATTATACTTATGTGATGAATCTTGAAATATTTGAGAAAAAATATAAAGGAAATAAGTTACCTCTAATCCTACCAGCCAAAGATCACCATTTTTAATATATTGGTATATTTCTTTTCAGCCTTTCTTCTGTGAAATAAACATTTATTACTATTGGTTCAATATTGCTACCAGGAATGTGTCATTGTCTGGCAACCTCCCCCCAGAGTTGAAAATTTAGGTTGTTTTAAATATTCTGTTAAAAGGTAATCTGTTAGTCTTCTGGTGGGTATACAGTGATATCACATTGTGGTTTTTATCTGCATCTCCCAAATCTCTAATAAAATGGACATATGGCATATGTCTATAGGTCATCTTGTTCAATTTTAAAATGTCTTCTCAAGTCTTTTGCTGTTTTTCTATTGTGCTGTCTTCTTATTATTGAGTAGTAGGACTTCTTCCTGTATATAGGATATAACTCTTTTGTCAACTATATCTATTCCCCTTATTTGTGATATTTATGTTTTGTAAAGTCACTGTGAACACTGAATTAGAAAATATTAAACTATTGCTCTTAAGAAACATACAGAGTTCACTTCCTGAGAGCCTCTGATCACAACACTTTCATCAACCAAAATGGTATTTGTATTATATGGGTTCACTTGCCGGTGTCCTCATAAAACAAGACAATCTTATCAGCTTTTAAAACCTGATTTTCCATACAACCTTTTTCTTAGTATAATACTTAGCAGGTATCTAAAAAACCTTCCACAGCCTCCCAATCTGCAGAATCTGCCTCACCTGCAAGTTTATTTTTCATACTGTATTGCCTTTGAAATGTGTGAGTCAGCCAGCACTAGCTGAGAAGGATGAACATTTCCTCTCCCTGAGTAACATGACCATAAATTTCTTTGGCTTTCAGCCTCACAGCAATGCAGTCCACTGTACTTTTTAAAAAATCGGTTGTCATTTCATGAATCTACAAATTTAGCTGATTTTCCATCTTTTCCCTAGCTTAATCACACACTCTAGATGTTACTTTAGCACTTTGAAGAACAGCCTCACATACAGATTGGTCAATTTCCTTTTCCTTTTTCTGGATGTGGCTTATTGTACTGTTGATTCCTTGACACTGAACGCACAGCCACCAGCACTATAACTCATGCCTAAACAAAGCATATCTAACAAACTTATTTCCTCCTTAAGGCACATCACAGCCTTTCTGCTCCTAGGGACACTAGACAACAGTTCAGCACTACACTTGGGAGGCATTTTAAACAGTAAAATCACCAACAGAAAGCACAAAAATGCAAAAAAAAAAAAAAAAAAGAAAAAGAAAAAAGGTGGCACTAAATAGATCATGCTAAAGACACTCGTTATTAGCATGAGAGCTGATATAAGAAGGCAGAGTGTCACCTTGTTAGACCTCAGCTGGGAACACGCATATTAGACGACTCAAATTTTACACTAATCTGCACGTCTGCAAATGACAACAGAAGAGCCATGCGTATTGATATTGATGTTATAGATACATTTCAGCACATAGGTGAATTCACAAATAACAGAATTCATAATTAGTAAGAATAGGCTATATTTGTATTGTGAATATCTTTGAAATTGCCTTTGCATAGATTATGACAGTGAAAGAAATCTAACATGGCTGACTCCACCTTGCTTCTTGCCTCATAGTCTAGCTGTCCTCACTCATTCCTGGGTGTAGGACATGCTAATCAGGCAAGGAATGTAGTTTGTAGTTTAACTTTGAAGCAAGGGTATTATTAGTCCTCCCTAAAACTGGTCCCCTCCTTGTTCGGGGGCTGAAACCACCTTTATAAGATGCATGAAAGTCCACAAGATTAGGAGCAGAGGGACCTGAATTCTCCTAAAGTGTAGGCATAGTTTCTATAAACTGCTGCTGCTCTAGAGTCATGTGGCCAGAGGTCACAAGATTTGTGACTTCTCTAATTGCTCCTACAGATGACATCACTATTGTAGAACCTAAGGTTGGCCTTTTGGGATGTTTTTCAGATTTTTGCATTCTGGCAACTGACTGACCCCCACCTAAACCTGAGACTCATGACAATAAGTCCTGTGGCCCCCACCCAGAGCTAGACTCAGTGCATGAGAGCCATTTTCTAAGAGTTTGACTACTTTAGATACCTCATATAAGTGAAATCATACAGTACTTGTATTTGTCTTTTTGTGACTGGCTGACTTCACTTGGCATAATGCTCTCAAGTTTCATCCATGTTGTAGTATGTATCAGAATTTCCTTCCTTTTAAAGGCTGAATAATATTTTATTGCATGAGTATGCCACATTTTCTTTATTCATCTGTAAATGGACATTTAGGTTGCTTCCACCTCTTAGCTATTGTGATTAACACTGCAATGAACTTGAATGTGCAGATATCTATTCACGATCCTATTGGCAATTCTTTTGACTATTATTTTAGTTATTGATTCTATTATAAATGGGATTGTTTTATTACTTTTCTTTATGTATCATTCATTATTATGTACAGAATCACAGATGATTTTTGTGTGTTGGTTTTGTATCCTGCAACTTTACTGAATTCATTTATTAGTTCTAACAAGTTATTTTTGTGGAATTTTTAGGGTTTTTACATATAAGATTATATCATCTGTGAACAGAGAAAATTTAACTTCTTTCTTCCTTATTTGGAAGCCTTTCATGTTCTTTTCTTGTCGAATTGTTCTGGCCAGGACCCTCAGTACTATGTTGAATAGAAGTGGTGAGAGTGGGCATATACTTGCCTCATTCTTAATCTTAAAGGAAAGACTTTCAATTTTTCACTGTTGAGTATGATGTTTGCTGCGGGCTTTTAATATATGGCCTTTATTATGTTGAGGTAATTTCCTTCTATTCCATGTTTGTTGAAGTTTTTTTGTTATCATTAAAGAGTGTTGAATCTTGTCAAATGCTTTTTCTGCATCGATTGAGTTGAGCTTGTGGGGTTTTTTAATTCATTCTGTTAACGTAGTATATTGAATTGATTGGTTTTTACATTTAGAATCACTTTTAATTTCCACTTGGTCATAGAGTATAATTCTTTTAATATAGTATTGAATTCATATTCTTGGTGTTTTGTTTATGTTTTTGAATTAATATTAATGAGGGATATTTGTCTATAGTGTTAAGCAGAATTCACTCCTAGGGAAGGACTCTAAAACCACCTTGCCACTTTCTGCTTAGGTTCCTAAGATCTGGAAGGAGGTTGTGCACAAACCGTGTTGCCATAGAACAAGTCTGCTAAGATATACACACAACAAGTCATGCAAAGCAATCTTATTACTTATAGGATAGCAGCAAGAACCAACAGAAGCCAAGGACCCATGGCCAAGAATGGCTCAGGAAAACTGCCCAGGGTGAATAGAATATTGTCTGTGCACACCCCACTTTCTAGGACCTGAAAACAGTCTGGGCTTTTATACCTCAGGGACAAGTAAGATCACTGAGCAAAAGCTTTGCAGAACCTCCTGTCAGGGATGAAGACAAAGCCCAGGCTGTTCTGGACAGTTTTTCCCCATCTCAGGGTGCTATGCCCTCAGCACACCCTAGAGTTATCTGAAGAACTACAAGTAGGAGAGCTGGATGGGCCAAGGACACTCAAGGGACCCATCCTGTACCTAATTTTCTTTTTTTCTAGGAACTTTGTCTAATTTTGGTCTTAGGGTAATGCTAGAATCACAAAATAAGTTAGGAAGTGTTTCTTCCTCTTCAATTTTGTGTAACAGTTTGAGAAGGATTGGTGTTAATTCTTTAAATGTTTGGCAGAATTCTCCAGTGAAGTCATCTGGTCCTGGGCTTTTCTTTTTTGGGAAGTTTTTGATTCCTGATTTAATCTCCTTACTAGTTATAGATCTGTTCATATTTTTTATCTCTTCATAATTTAGTCTTGGTAGGTTGTATTGTAGGCAGCCAAGGCCCTTGGCCCTCAAAAGGTTGGCTGAAATATCAACTCACAAAAACCTGATTAGTTGGAGAAAAGGCATTCAAATTTATTTAATGTGTATGCACAGGAGTCCTCAGAATGAAGACTCAATCCCTCAATTCGGTACAGGAGTTGATATACCATCTTGAGGCTACAGAAAGAATGAGGCCTCAGAGCTTGGTCCAAAACAGGTTGAGATGGTAAGTCAGGTTTTAGTAGTCAGAGAGGTGATGGAAGGGAGAAAGGAAGAGCCTTAGCTAGCAAAGATGGTCTTGTTATGTGGATGAAACCTCACAGGTAGAAGCCCTCAGACAAAATAGATGCTAAATGTTCCTTTCAGATCTTTAAGGTACCAGGCTCTCGGTGAATCTTTCCCAGATCCAGACAAGGAAAGGGCTGGCAGCATTAAGGCACATTCTCCACAGATCTCCAGATGCAACTCTCTGCCACAAAAGACAGCCTTGCAGGGCCACTTCTGTTTGCTGGCCCCATGGCAACCATCTCAAAATATGTTAAAGAAATATATTTTGGGGTAAAATATTTTTATTTCTTTCAGTCTGTGTCTGGAAATTTATCCATTTCTTCTAGATTATCCAATCTACTGGCATAGAACTGCCCATAGCAGTCTCTAATGATCCTTTTTATTTCTGTAGCATCAGTTGCAATATCCCTTCATTTATAATTTTGAGTCTTCTTTTTTCTTAATCTAAAGTTTGCAATTTTGTTGACCTTTTCAGAAAACCAACTCTTAGTTTTATTTTTCTGTTTTTTATTCTGTTTTATTTGTTTTTGCTCTTATAATTATTGTTTTCTGCTTTCCCCTAACTGTGGGTTTAGTTTGTTCTTTTTCTAGTTCCTTGAGCTATGAAGTTAGGTTGTTGATTCGATATTTTATTACTTTCTTAATGTAGATGTTTATCACTATAAACTTTCCTCTCGGTATTGCTTTTTATGCATCTCATACTTTTTGGTGTTCAGTGTTTTCATTTTCTTTTGTCTCAAGACATTTTTTAGCTTCCCTCTTGACTTCTTGACCCATTGGTGTTCAGAGTGTGTGGTATAATTTCTAAATATTTTTAAATTTTCTAGTTTCCCTTGAGCTATTGGTTTCTAGCTTCATTCCATTGTGATCAGAAGAGAAAGTTGGTATCATGTCAATCTTCTTAAATTTGTTAAGACTTGTTTTGTGGCCTAACATGTGATCCATCCTGGAGCATGTTCCATGTTGCACTTGAAAAGAATGTGTATTATGTCGTTGTTGGTTGGAGTGTTGTGTATTGGATGTGATGTCAGAAGTGAAGTATTCTGGGAGTATTGAGAGTATGTTAAGAGTGAAGTAGGAGACCATTAGTTTTCACATTATTCAAGTAGATAAGCATTTGACCTTCAGCCCAGCAATCCACTTCCAGGACTTTAGGCTAAAAATATACTTCCAACAACATGAACATACATACACAAAGATCATTCATTGCAATTGCAAATATTGGAAACTATTTAATGCCCATACATATAGGAAATTGGTTGAATAAACTATGGAATATACATAAAATGGAGTAACACACAGGTATAAAAAAGAATGAAAAAGAGCTCTATGAAAGAATATGGACTGAGAGTCAAGAGATAGGATTAAATGAAAAAAATGTTGTGTTAAAGTAGTATATGTCATCTACTTTTTGTCAGAAGGGGAGATTTAAAAATACATATATCTCCTTATCTTTTAAAAAACAGGAAGAATAAACTAGAAAAGAAAAACAAAAGCAGAGTAGGGGAAGGAATGAGATGTCTGAGGCCGAGATATTTCTCTGAGTGTGCCTTTTTACATCATTTTGACTTTTGGAAGCATAATAAGGTTCTATACATTCAAAAAACTAAGAGAAATCAACAAGAAGGGAAAGTTGTAAGAAACTAAAACCAGAAGCAAGTGGAAACCAATGAACCCTGCAGTATTTCAAATAAGCACCAAAACTTACAGCGGATTAGGGACAGATGACAACTAATTCTAGAAACTTCTGAAAGCAGCATTGCACTATAGAGCCACACTGTTGGAAGGGACATGGAAGGGAGTGTGATTGCCCAAGGGGTTCTTCTTGCCAGCAGCCCAGAAAAGCCAATACACTGACAACAGCAGGAGTTACAGTAGAGAAAGAGTTTAATAATCACAAGGCAAGCCAAGAGAGGAGACATGAGATATTTCTCAAATTTGCCTCCCTGAAAATTCAGAAGCTATGGGTTTTAAGGTATTTTGATGGGCAGGGGGCTAGGGAACTGAAACAATTGATTGACTGAGAATGAAATCACAGAGGTGTTGAAACTGTCTTCGTGCAGCTGAGTCAGTTCCCAGGAAGGAGTCACAAGACCAGTTGAGTCAGTTCCTTGGTGTGGGTCACAGGTCCAGGTGGTGTCTCTCAGTCTGCCAAATGCTAAATCTGAAAAATATCTCAGTGACCAGTTATTTAGGTTTCATGATAGTGATGTCCTCTATAGGGGCAGTTGCAGAAGTTACAAATCTTGCAACCTCCAGTTATGTGACTCTGGGACAGTAAGCACTATAGAAAAGCAAGCTAAGCAAGTAATGGCATGCTGTTGTTTCACTGTGCCTATTCTTCAGCAAAGTTCAAGCCCCTACCCTAATTCTAAGCTTGTGGCCTTTTATTAGCTTTTCAAAGGGAAGTTTTGATCCCCAAAAAAGGAAGAGGTTAGTTTTGGGAAGAGAATATTATCACTCTTGCTTTAAAGTTAAACTATAAATTCCTCCCATATTTAGCTTGGCCTACATGAAAAAGATGAATAGAGGCAGTTAGCTGGCAAGGTTAGAAGGAGGATAGAGTCACCTGTGTTAGATTTCTCTCACTGTTACAATTTTGCAAAGGCAGTTTCAGGAGCATGGCAATCAGATGCTAATCTTTTTTTGGTCTGTTTGATTTTTCTAGTGGCATGGGCAAAGAAACTCTGAAATTATTATTATTAGTAGTAGTAGTAGTAGTAGTATTTTGAGACAGAGTCTTGCTCTGTTGCCCAGGCTGGAGTGCAGTGGCGCAATCTCAGCTCACTGCAAACTCCACCTCCAAGGCTCAAGTGATTCTTGTGCCTCAGCCTCCCGAGTAGTGGGATTACAGGCATGCACAACCAGGCCCAGCTAATTTTTGTATTTTAACAAAGACAGGGTTTCACCATGTTGTCAAGACTGGTCTTGAACTCCTGGCCTCAAGCGATCCACTCGCCTCAGCCTCCCAAAGTGCTGGGATTACAGGCATGAGCCACCATGCCTGGCTTGAAATCATTTTAGATTATAGTAGGATTGGGCAATTCAGCCAATGTGTTGATATTGCTGGGAGTCAGGTTCTTGTTGTGGAGGAGGATGAAAGGTAACAAACATGGAATGCCAGAAGGCAAGAGCTGGAATTGGAAGCATCAAGGTAAATTCATGATTCCTGAATTACATACACGTAAGAATGAACACATGGATGTATGTGGGCATACTGATGTGTGTATGGAGGTCTGTGTGGAAGTGTATTTGTGTATCTCTATAACCTATTATATGTCTATAACCTATCTATTATCTATTTATAACCTATCTATAATCTCTAATCTATCAATCGTCTGTCCATAATCTATCATTTATCCATCTATTTAGCTATGATCTATTTATCTATTGATATATTTCCTGAGAGGGTAAAGAAACAAAAATAGCCCAAGATCTTGGTCACTATTACCATTGCCAAAAAATTTTAGGGCTCCTTGGAAAAATGGTTGACTCCAGGCTGTGGCAGAGTGGGTACAAAATGAGCCAAGGGCATCTTGTTGCAACAACACATAAGGAAGTGCTCAAAAAAAAAAATGATGCAGGAATATCTCAAGGGCACAAGGGCCTGCTTTAAGGTGCTCCAACAGGCCAAATCTAGGACAATTTGAGTGCCAAAATAATTGAATAGAATGATGAATTATAAACCATTGGAAGAAATAGAAATTCATGAGTCCACACCAATAACAGACAGATAAATAAGTGGGAATGAAGGGAGGGCTCTTGTCACAGTAGAATTCTGAGGACCAAATGGTAAATGTGGAAAGCATCTTTAGTTGAGAAATCATCATTTTTCAACCATCGTAGTAAACACTGGTCCATGCAACAATCTTTAATGGAAGATATACAACTTACTTAAGTGCTTTATTCTGGCCAGGAATAAATAATGCATAACCTGAATCTTCTCATGAAGAAATATCAGATAAACCCAAAATGAGGACCATTCTAATACAAGGATAAAAGTTGAGAGTGTACATTATTTTAAATGTCCATGTTATAAAAGTTAAAAAAAAAAGCCCAAAAAAGGGTCTATGTTAAAGGAGACTGTAAAGATATGACATATGCAATACTGATCCCAGGCAAGAATTATGCGATTAAACTGGAGGAGGATAAAAAACTCGACTAAAAATATTATTGGGGCTACTGATAAAATTGAACAATGGATAGTATGTTAAATTTACTGACGTTGATAACTAAGCATTTGGCATTCTACTATAAAAAAGTTGATAACTAAACATTTGGCATTCTACTTCCCTCTCTTCTCTCCCATTTGTTTATTTAGTTATCTATTTATTATCGGCGTGGACTCATGATTGTTCGTTCTTTCTTAGAACATGGGCTAATGGACTTTTATATGTTTAAGTGCTTTCAATCACTACCATCATTCTCCTTTTGTGGGAAAATTGCCACAACTTTCACTTGTGAGAGTCCCTTGCAGGTTGGCTTTTGTGTCCCTTAATCTTTAATTATTTGTAATAGTTTCAGTGTTTAACTTTTTCTTACTTTCTGGCACATACACACACACACACACACACACACATACTCCAGGCAAACATATCCCTTCCTGGCTCTCGTTGGAGAGAGGTACTGGATGCCACTTCTGGGCTCCCCATGTATGTAGGGAGGTAACATTGCTGTAAGGCCATTTCAGTAGTCAGAGCAGGACAAGATAACTTTTCATAAAAGCACAAATTTATGTTGATATTTCCAGTTCAGATTTAACATGACAGCATACCTTCCTAAAAATTATTTTTATTCTAGTAATTGTACTTCCTTTTTTATTATACTTTAAAAATCTCAATTCTTAAAAAGTAGGTGATTTATATGAAATGTAAGGAAAGAAAAATGATAATAAAGATACCAATATCATTATGAACAAACTACTACAGAATGCAGCTTTCAGATATCTTGTGAGACTCCTTTTGTCTTTAGAATGAGCCCCTCTAAGAATGTGTAGTCAAATCAGTTTGTTCTGAGATCACTCATGATTTCTCTGTCTGTGTGACAGTAGAAGGACTTCTCTGGTAAGCCATATGATCAGATTATTTCAGTTTGCTTTCAGTTTAAATGTCCTGACATTCTATTAGCCGACAGATCTAGGTTCCTAGAAGATGGTGACTGTCAGCTACCAGCCTATTCTTGATGATACTCAGTTACTGGAGAAGAAGGGAGGGCCTCTGTTTGATCATTTCGAGACAATAGAAAGATGTGAGCAAAGTTTTATTTTACCACCATCTGGTCATCTCGAGGACTTCATGCCTAATTTTAAGTGTAGAACTTCTCTGTTCTTGTTGGACAAGCCAATTCTGTTTCCATCATTTATTATTTAATAGTATTAAAACCCCACAATCCTCCACATACTTAACTAAATTCTAAATCTACTGTCACGATTGAAAGTTTTCAAATGGTCTTGCTTTCTTTCCAAGCTGCAAGCTCTTTCTTCCTTCTTATAAAATGCAGCACTCCTTTAGCAACCTAATTGTCATGCTCTGTACTATAATGAGGTTTCAGAGAATCCTTCCTCTTCTCCCCTTTCCTCTCCTTCAAATACTTACCACCTTGGATAATAGCAAAGTCCTTGGCTTCAACCTCGATTCCTCTCTCTTGTCTCTTGTCTGTCAGCTGTTAAATAAATTTATGGGAGGCTACTGTTTTGGACTAATGGCCTGCACTGGCCCCAGTAAACCAGAGCAAATCAGAATGGAGTCACTTGTGCTAAGTGCCACATAATCAAACTAAACCTTGAAGCAGGCCAGCTTTCCAAAAAAACAGGAGATTCATAGCAACCAATCAGAAGGGGACGTGTACCTTAGCCACATGATAAGGAAGTCCCTTCTGATTTAACCCTGTAAGGAAAGTAACTTCGATGACCAATCCTTTTTTCATTCCGTTTCTGCTTTCTTCAGCCCTTTCTGCCTATAAAGATATATAGAGATATAGATATAGATATAGATACACATATATATAATTTTTTGTTTCTTAGACACAGAGTTTTGCTTTGTCACGCAGGCTGAAGTGCAATGGCACTATTATAGCTCACTGCAGCATTGACTTCTTGGGCTCAAGTGAAGCCTCCTGCCTCAGACACCCAAAGTGCTGGAACTACAGACATGAGACACCACGCCCTGCCTTCATTATATTTTATAGAATGAGGTGTTGCCCGATTCTGGAATTGCAAATAAAAGCCAATTAGATCTTTAACCTAACTTTGTTGTAATTTTGTTTTTTGACAAAACAAATATTATAGATAATACTGGCCACATAACTTACGGGGCCCCATGCAAAATAAAAATGTGGGATCCCTTGAGGGTAAATTATGAAGAATTTCAAGATGGAGATGGCAGCACATTAAACCCAGGATTTGCCTTCAAAATAGATCCAGAACCTGACTCCACACCACACTTACCGCCTCTCCTGGGAGCAGGGGAGAATTTATCTGTGGTCATCCATCCCACACTGGTCAAGGGTCACCCCATGGGATGTTTACCCCCTCGAACAAGTACGAGCACCACTGGGTTCCAGTCAGGGTCCCACTGGGTTATTTGCTGTATCTGTAGCCAGAGTAAAGGGTTGGTTCAAAGCACGTGAGACAGACACAAGAGGTATTCAGTATAGCTTTAGAAAAATATAGCATCTAACTCTATATTTTTACCCACTGTTTATCATCTTTTTCCAGTACACTGTAAACATGAGAGTGGAGACTTCTGCCTGTTTTGCTTGCTGCTATGTCTCTCCAATGCCCAGAACAGTGCTTGATACACACTTAGTGCTCATCAAATGTTTGTTGAATGAATGGATGAATTATTCCATCAACTAACTGCAGTATTGGTGTGACTTCAGAAACCACATTGGGTTTTTTTAGTTGTTTGTTTTATATTTATTTTATTTTATTTTTTATTTTTGTGGGTATATAGTAGCTGTATATATTTATGGGATACGTGAGATGTTTAGATACAGGTATGCAATGTGAAATAAGCACATCGTGGTGAATGGGGATGGATATCTCCTCAAGCATTTATCCTTTGAGTTATAAACAATCCAGTTACACTCTTTAAGCTATTTTGAACTGTACAATTCTGTTATAACTGACCATGTTCTACCTGTTGTGCTGTCAAATAGTAGGTCTTATTTATTCTTTCTATTTTTTTTTGTACCCATTAGTCATCCCCATCTCTCCCCTGCACCTCCCCACTGCCCTTCCCAGCCCCTGGTAACCATCCTTCTACTCTCTATGTCCATGAGTTCAATTGTTTTGTTTTCATTTTTTGGTCCCACAAATAAGTTCTGATTTTTTTGATTTTTTGGTTTTTGATGTAGTCTGATTGTTTTGATTTTTAGGTCCCATAAATAAGTGAGAACATGTGATGTTTGTCTTTCTGTGCCTGGCTTATTTCACTTAATGACCTCCAGTTCCATCCACATCTTTGCAAATGAAAAGATCTCATTCTTTTTACGGCTGAATAGTACTCCATTGTGTAAATGTATCACACTCTTTGTCCATTCATCTGTTAATGGACACTTAGGTTGCTTCCAAATCTTGGCTATTGTAAACAGTGCTGCAACAAACATAGGAGTGTTTGTGCAATATATGGAGTATATACTTCCATATACTGATTTCTTTTCTTTTGGGTATATACTCAGCAGTGGGATTGCTGGATCATATGGTAGCTCAATTTTTAGTTTTCTGAGAAACCTCCAAACTGTTCTTCATAGTGATTGTACTAATTTACATTCCCACCAACAGTGTACAAAGGTTCCCTTTTCTCTACATCCTCGCCAGCATTTGTTATCACCTGTCTTTTGGATAAAAGCCATTTTAACTGGGGTGAGATGATATCTCATTGTAGTCTTGATCTGCATTTCTCTGATGATCAATGATGTTAAGCACCTTTTCATATGCCTGTTGGACATTTGTATGTCTTCTTTTGAGAAATGTCTATTCAAATCTTTTGCCCATTGATTTGATTGGGTTATTAGATATTTTTTCTATAAAGTTATTTGAGATCCTTATTTATCCCAGTTATTAATTCCTTGTCAAATGGATAGTTTGCAAATATTTTCTCCCTTTCTTTTGTGTCTTGACTTTGTCGATTGTATCCTTTGCTGTGCAGAAGCTTTTTAACTTGATGTGATCCCATTTGTCCATTTTTGCTTTGGTTGCCTGTGTCCGTGGGATATTGCTCAAGAAATTCTTGATCAGACCAATGTCCTAGAGATTTGATCAGACCAATGTCCTGGAGATTTTCCCCAATGTTTCATTGTAGTAGTTTTATTTCACAGTTTGAGGTCTTAGATTTAAGTCTTTAGTCCATTTTGATTTGATTTTTGTACATGGAGAGAGACAGGGGATCTAGTTTCATTCTCCTGCATATGAATATCCAGCTTTCTCAGCACCATTTATTGAAGAGGCTGTCTTTTCCCAGTGTATGTTCTTGGCACTTTTGTCCAAAATGGGTTCACTGTAGGTGTGTAGATTTATTTCTGAGTTCTCTATTTTGTTTTATTGGTCTATGTGTCTGCTTTTATGCCAGTACCATGCTGTTTTGTTCACTATAGTTCTGTAGTATAATTTGAAGTCAGATAATGTGATTCCTCCAGTTTTGTTCTTTTTGCTTAGGATAGCATTGGTTGTTCTGGTCTCTTGTGGTTTCATGTAAATTTTACGATTTTTTTTCTATTTCTGTGAAGAATGCCATTGGAATTTGATAAGGGTTGCATTAAATCTGTAGATTGCTTTGGGTAGTATGGCCATTTTAATAATATTGATTCTTCCAGTCCATGAACACGGAACATTTTTCCATTCTTGGGTTGTCCTCTTCAATTTCATTCATTTGTGTTTTATAGTTTTCATTATAGAGATCTTTCACTTCTTTAGTTAATTCCTAGGTATTTAATTTTATATGTGGCTATTGTAAATGGGATTACTTTTTAAAATTTCTTTTTCACATTGTTCATTGTTGGCATATCGAAATGCTACTGATTTTTATGTTGATTTTATATCCTGAAACTTTACTGAATTTGTTTATCAGTTCTAGTAGTTTTTTGTGAAGTCTTTGGGTTTTCAAAATATAATCCATGTCATCTGAAAACAAGGATAATTTGACTTCTTCCTTTCAAATTTGGATGCCCTTTATTTCTTTCTCTTGTCTGATTGCTCTAGCTAGGACTTCCAGTACTACACTGGATGAAAATGGCACAGTGGACATCCTTGTCGTGTTCCAGATATTACAGAAAAGCCTTTCAGTTTGTCCACATTCAGTATGATATTAGTTGTGGGTCTATCGTATATGGCTTTTATTATGTTGAGGTATGTTCTTTCTATCTCCAGTTTTTTGAGGGTTTTTATCATGAAGGGACATTGAATTTTATCAAATGCTTTTTCAGCTTGAATTGAAATGATGATATGTTTTTGTTTTTGTTTTTGTTTTTTTTAATCAAGGAACCACATTGTTTAAGGGGCATCTAGCAGGTTGGGCTCCCTTCTTGATTCTTGAACTGAGGAGAACTATAGTTCACCAATCTAGCCTAGAGTTAGAAACTGAATGTCTTATTTTTATGGGTCACTAGGAAAGATACAAGAGATGGGGACAACACAGACAGAGAGAAACTCAGGTTGTGATCCCAGCCTCAAATGAAAAGAGCTTTCTGAATGTACCCTGTTTGGGAACAGAGCAAGGATCCTCATGTGGCTAAGAGGAGGCACAGAGGAGGAAAGCAAGAAGAGCTACCTCACTACCTGCACGCAGCCTCTTTCTGAAGATTCCCTGAGCTGCTTTCAGATTCTGTCACAAATTGTTGTGGCTCTGAATTTAAAATAAGACTTGGTAATTTACAAAGGCCCACATTGCAGGAAGAAAGAGGGTGGTGCCATGATAGTTCCTAAAATTACGAGCACAGTTGATATAAAAGAACAGCATAAGATAACTTGCAAGAGTTGCTTTTTAGAGTCCTTGATGCTCAGATACCAGGAGAAGGCTCATAGTATCAGCAGGTGGAGGGAGGTGGAGTCTGAAGTTTGCAGTCCGAAGTTAGCAAAGACTCCAAAGCCCTTTTGAGTGAGTTGCCAATTATATAAATTTGAAAGGAGTCACATGGTGTACATCTAATAAAATGTTGAGTTTCTATAATTTCCTTGAGACTTAAATTTTTTTCACCACCTCCACTTTTCTTTTCCGCCTAAATCTCACCCACCCACCCATAACACACAGAAGACCATATGTAGGTTAATATTTGCTACTATGAAAAACAGAAATGAAAAAAAGAAGCTGTTTCTTAGTGATTTAGTGCTTTCCACTCCAACAACAGCATGGCACATGGTATGTTTTGGTGGAAGGGTCCTGCCTGTCAAGCCATTAGCCATGCATCTGTTGCCCTCAAAGGAGCAGATTGATTTAGACACTGTTACAGGGCAGTGGCCAGTGCCTCTCGGAATGCACCGTGTTTCTGGGCTCATGGCACTGGCCTCTACCATCAGAAATTCCTGGAGTGTGCTGTGAGCCGAGATCTCCATGAAGGATGCAACTAAAAGGGGTTTCACTGACAAATAATCTCCTACAGTCAATAATAACCTACAGTCTAAACATTTCACCTGTTTAAATTACAAATTCACTTCCCAACTTCTCATTTTAAATCTGAACACATAAAAGAAAAAACCATCAATTGATATTTGGCTAAAAAGTTCAAAATTCTTACATATCTGCATTCTGCAATCCAGTATTTCCTTGCTACCTATTTCAAGGAAGTTATTCGAAATGCAAGCCAATCTGTATGCATGTAAATACTCCCGCCTCGGCCTCCCAAAGTACACAGTGGTGGTTTCAGTTATATAAATTATATAACCATAAAATTTATATGCTAAGCCAAGAAACGTTTTAGGATAAAGGGAAGGTGTAAAACTAATTGCAATTATGTAGTTTCATATATATATATGTATTTTGTAACTGACAAATTTCTTTTTAACATGGTACACTTATAAAAGAGGTCTAATTGCAAAATATTGTAAAAGTTGTTTTTTCTAAAAAAATAGAATATTCATCTATATTACAGTCAAAGAAAAGCTTTCCTGTAATTCCCAATTTTAAACAAGAGTTTTATCTAAAGATTTTTTTAAAATACAGCATGAGGGAACATCTGGCATGTCTGTATACTTGAATGCATTCCATAGCCAATGCATTTCTAATGTACTGTCACATCAACAGCTACATGGACTTGCAGCCTTGTGAACGAGCCACCTTGGAAAGAGACGTGGCGGTCCTAGGGGAACCTCCAGCTGACTGCTGCCCTGGCTGACATTTAACTGCAATCTCATTAAAGACCCCTAGCCAGGAATGTCAAAAGGCCTTCCAAGCCAATTCCAAATTCTTGACCCCCAGAAACTGTGAGAGATAATCAATGTTAATTGTTTTAAGCCACTCCATTTTGGGTGATTTGTTACTCAGCAATAGACAACACAACCAACTTGCCGTTTGTTTTCTGCTGCCCCACTTCTTAATTTGTTCGCTGGTTCATCTTTCCTGTCTTTCTTGAAGTATTAATTGTTATTTTCTCATTTTTCTCATCTATTGACATTCTAGCTGTATCTCTGTAGTCTGTTTTAGGGGTTACTCAACTGACAACACTAAACACCCACGACTGACAAAATGTACCTTGACTAAACAGTATTCTGCCACATGTATAATGCAACATTATACATGATACATGTGACATTATACATACAACATTTGCTTCTCCATCAGCACTTGGTCTCTATATTGATGATGAGCAGTGAGTGATGATGAGTTTTTATTATTGCTCCCAGTATATCATATGTCTGTTTTCTCTGGCTATTTTAAATATTTTTTTCCCTTTGTCTCTAGTTTTCAGCAGTTTTTATTTGGTTTGCCTTGATGTTATTTTTTTGGGGGGTGGAGGACTTGGGGTGATGAATGTATCTATACAATTTGGGATTCCTAAATTAGTGGGTTAATGAGCTTGATCTTCCCACGAATATATGCATATTTTATTAAACACGTGTACACTCCATCTTTTCCTCCTCTTCTACCTCTGGACACCATGTATATGTATGTTAGACCGCTAGGTACAGTTAAACACGTCGTTGAAGTGTCATTCATTTTTTGCTGTCTTCCTTATCTTTATCCCTGTGCTTCAGTTTGGAAGGTTTCCGTTGTTCTTTCTTTAAAATCACTGATTCTTTCTTCTGTTACATCCAATCTCCTGTTAAGCCCATCCAGTGAATTTTCTACTTCAGATATTGTACTTTTCACCTCTGAGATTTTCATTAGGTTCTTTTTATAGCTTTCAAATCTCTCCTGAAATTTCCTTCCCCCTCCATTTATTATATTCAGTTATTCCTGTGGACTGTATAAGCGGTTTACCACAAACATTTCAAAATCATTGATGCTGAGCCCAGCATCTGGGTCTTTGTGAGTCTATTTCTAATGACTAATTTTTCTTGACTGTGAGTCATAGTTTCTTCACTTATTTACTAAATACATTCCTGTGCCATGATTTATTAATTTAGTAAGAACATTGGTTTTTCTATGACCTGTACTCCACTAAAATGTGTGTTCATATTTACCACAAAAAATTGTATCTTCAATATCAATTTTTAAATTAAATTTACAATAGCATTCACAATTATTTCAGATGTTTTATTTTCTATGGCATAAACTTCTAAAAGCTTTGTGTTGATTCCATGAATTAGATTTAAAAATTAAATACTTTTTATTAATTAATTTTCTATTTAAGGTACCTAATGACCCCAACAAAACCGACATGATGTGACTGATTTTGCAGTTCTTTGTCTGAAATTGGAGGCCACATAATAACAAATATGGCTTGGCTTTTCATACATTCAAAAAATCTAGAACTGAAGAAAAAATTGATTTAGAACAGCAGCCATTTGATCTGAAAAGTCATGCTTCTTAAAGTGATGTCTTCATGCAGCGTCTGTCATTGTGTCACTCTGTCATTAATTTTTCACCTTTGAGCACCATGTTCTTAAAATAACTGCTAACTTTTAAAGCAAAAGCTGATGATTTCTCAGCAATTTTTTTTTCTTTTGGAGACTGGTGGCCTTTTGCCTTCATGTCTCTGAGGTATGCCATGCTGCTCGTCCTTCAGATTTAATCATGTGTTCAAGCTGGCACTCCACTCACTGCACATGCGTCTCACACACTGTTAGACAAGCCCATGGCAGCCACTGGAAGTGCAAAGTGGTGTTCTACCCATCTCATCCCAGCATATTTTTATGTAACTATTTGTCATAAGACTTAATTAAAAGCTGAAAACCCAGGATAAATATATGGGAGTCCAGGACACTAGGATCATCATGAGGCAACTGGGACATATAGTCACTATGTATACATACACCTTGCAAAATTATTGTGAAGATGTGGCTGGTGAACTTTTGCTCATGCTCCAGGATTCCATCCCTGCACCACTTGCTGGTATCTGCCTTTTCATCCCCCCTGAAGGTTCAACCTTTGAGCTACTGCTGTGCTCAGGCCCCAAAGTTGTGGGTCTGGGCATTCTTTACTGTGCCACATTTTCAGTGGCGCTGACTATATGGAGATGACACCTCATACAGATTTCTTCATGTTTGTGGGGGGAGTTTCAGTGCTTACACACGAGAAAAGGGGACTGTTCTTTGATTTTCAAGGTGTATACCATTTGATCGCATCTCTCTCTTCTGTCAATACAGATTGTGCCCACAAAACTCAAGTTGTTCCATAATTTATTATGTTCACTGTTGTGCATGATAGAGCGCTACAGCTTGTCATTTGGCATTAGTTCTTAAAGGGTTGGTGTGGCCCACATATGTAAATCATGCACCGCACATGCATGCACACTCTGAATAGGCTGTGATCTCTGCGGTGGCAGATGTCACCTTGCTCAGTGGGAACCTCCATCTCTAAGAGGTTTTTAAAGTAGATATACATCTTTGATGGGGACATTAATACTTCATGAGCTTGGAAATACTGCTTGAGGGAAGAGTTTTCATCAGTTTCCAGTACCCATTAAAATTCATGTGCAAATTATTCTGGGGAATTTTTAGTTCCTAGTCCATCAGTAACTAGTGAGACAGCTGGATCACATGTGCCACGGAGGGAAAGCCCTTGCATACCCAATTCAGTGTAATATGTTCTACCACTTTAAGTTTTGGGGGGGTAGTTGTTAATTGTTATGAAGTTGGTAAAATTTGGAACAAACGTGCTTCAGGAAACACAAGTATAAGTAATAAATGACTCCTTAGCTTTAGGAAGGTTAAGGCTGAGGCTTTTAGGAGGTGTTAAAGCCTGGTTTTGACAGCTGAGTTTTGCCATAAGAGGCTGCTGTTGACAACCTGCTTTAGGAATTCACATCATCCTAATACACTGCACAAATTCCAGTCCTGCCTAAGCTGTGCTTGCCAGAATAGAAATGTCAAAATTGTATATGCCTATTACTGGAGCAATAATTCAAATCCACCTAAACTCACCAAATATTTATTGAGCATTTACTCTGTGACAGACCTCGCATTCACAGCTGGGGAATCACAAGGGTCAGATATGGTTCTGACCCTGAAGGAGCCCACAGTCTTGTAGGATCCACTGAAGAAAAAAAAATGACAGTAGAGTGATGGAGAGTATATGTGAGCAGAACAGGGGGAAAAAAAAAGGTAGGAATGGCAGAAGGAAGGGAAGCTTCTAGAGAGTGGCCAGGCTGCACCATGATCTGCAGAATGAAGAGAAGGTCTAGAAGCCCACCAGGCGGTGGTTGGGGGAAACAGTGTTTGCAAAATCAGCTATATCTTCACCCTTTTTGTGAATTAGGTAGGCCCCAGGTAAGTAAGGGAATAGATGGGGGTGCCCACACACTATTCCATTCAAGGAAAGGTAAGACATGGGAAAGAGGACAGAGAAGTGGTCATTCAGGGTCATTCTCAGGCCGTTCTAAGGCACTTGGGCTTCATCCTGAAAGGAGGAAGGTGGATGCTTGGATGGAATTACACTGGACAGTGCAGGCTCTTCCTGCAGGTAAGGAAGTGGAGGACAAAAAGGCAAGCACCAGGGCAATGGCAGTCGACTGCCAGGAAGAGTTCCAGCCAGGGAGGAGGGAGAGGAAGGAGGAGGGGGAGGTGGGAGCCTCCTCATGTTGCTCTCCTGGTCCCTCCTCCGCTCTCCTGGTCCTTCCTCCTCTCTCCTCTGCTTTTCTGGTTCCTCTTTTGCTCTTCTCCATCTGTCCAGCCCCTGCCAAGCTGGCTGCATGGCCATTTGGGGAGGCATCCGTGGAGCCCACTCCTTCCTGGCCTGGCCTCCACATGGCAGTATCCAAAACTTGGAAATAGGCAAGCAGTATACAGGTGTTGCTCCATTCATGATGGTTCGACTTTATGACAGGGCAAAACAGTTCAGTAGAAAGCAGGACCATAGGGCTGGGTGTGGTGGCTCACGCCTGTAATACCAGCACTTTGGGAGGCAGAGGCAGGTGGATCACCTGAGGTCAGCAGTTCAAGACTAGCCTAGCCAACATGGGGAAACCCCGTCTCTACTAAAAATACAAAAAATTAGCTGGATGTGGTGGCAGGTGCCTGGAATCCCAGCCACTCAAGGCTGGCAGGAGAATCAGTTGAACCCAAGAGGTGGAGGTTGCAGTGAGCTGAGATCGCACCATTGCACTCCAGCCTCAGTGACAGGGCAAGGCTCTGTCAAAAGAAAGAAAGAAGGAAGGAAGGAAGGAAGGAAGGAAGAAGGGAGGGAGGGAGGGAGAGAGAGAGAGAGAGAAAGGAAGGAAGGAAGGAAGGAAGGAAGGAAGGAAGGAAGGAAGGAAGGAAGGAAGGAAGGAAGGAAGGAAAGAAGGAAAGAAAGAAGGAAAGAAAGAAAAGAAAAGAAAGAAAGAAAGAAAGAAAGAAAGAAAGAAAGAAAGAAAGAAAGAAAGAAAGAGAAAGGAGGGAAAGAAGGAAGGAAGGTAGGAAGGAAAAAGAAAAGAAAAGAACCATAATCGCTTCAGGCTGGACAGTCATGAGGGTAAGCAGCAGACACTCTAAAGGGTACTGTGTTGCCGGATGGTTTTGTCCAACTGCAGGCTAAGGTAAGTATTCCGGGCGTGTTTAAGGTAAGCTAGGCTAAGCTGTGATTGGTAGCTTAGGTACATTAAATGTATTTTAACTGAGGATATTTTCAGTTTATGATGGGATTATCAGGATGTGGTCCCATCATGAGCTGAGCAGCAACTGTTACGGGTGTTTTCTCACTTCCTGCTGGGCCAGCCCTCCACTCCTGGTGATTTCGCATTTTCTAGACCTGTGTCCTTTGTCCAACTTTCTATTTTCTATTGTTCTGGATAGTTTACAATTCTGTGAGGGTAGAGGTTACATTGCAGAAAACTGGGAATAGGGCAGATGGTTCTTGTCCAGCAGCAGGTAAATCATATCCACGGGGTAGAAAAGCTAACTCCGGAGGGTGGAATTTGTTGCTTTATATCTCTTAATGCCTCAGCTTGTTTGCATCTTTTAGGAAATTCATTTCAGTATTTGTTTGACTGAAAAGCTCTAAAATGTCCTCCTCAAATTCTCTTTTGAATCAGGATTAACATCTCATTAGTTCTTTCATCATTTAAAGACTGAAAATTTTGGACTCAGTTTCATTTGATATTTGTATGAGAGTCATGGGTTTGATTTTGTTTTGAAATTAAAGTTATACACTGTCTTCTTGAAGCCAAAGAGGAGAATCGGAATTCCTTGTCATCATACATAGCCAAGTATTTAGCGATTGCCACCTCTGTTCAGTGGTCTCCCTCTCCCCACCATCCCCAAGCGTGGTAGCCTCAGCTGTGACTCAGCTGGGAACTGGTTCCTCAATCAGCAGGAGTTAAAACACATCCTGTGATCTGACATTGCCTAGCAACTTTGTAAGCTCTGTCCTGGAGGATTTCAGGGAAAGGTAGCCCTTTCCTTTTCCTAATGTGTCCAGGCCTGAACAGGTGCCCCTCTCCCTCTTCTCCCACTCCCTCTCATCCTTCTCCCCTCCCTCGTTGTAAACAACACTATAGGAGACTTTCATTTATCTCCCTGTGCACATGTGTGAGGCTTTCTCTGGGAAAGTATCAAAGTTTGAAATTTTTAGATCCATATGTGGACATTGCCATTATTTTATATTGCCAACTCGCTATGCAAAGTAGCATACTCCTGTATTAGTCGGCTCAGACTGTGTAACAAATACCATGGACTGGGTAGCTTCAATGATAGACGTTTTATTTCTCATAGTCCTGGAGGCCAGAAGTCCAAGATCAAGGTGTCGGCAGGTTTGGTTTCTCCCGAGTCCTCTCTTCTTTGTGTGTTGATAGCCGCCTTCTCCCTGTGTCCGCACGTGGTCTTCCCTCTGTGTGTGTCTGTATCCTAATCTCCTTTTCTTACGTGGGCACCAGTCATATTGGATTAGGGCCCACCCTAATGACCTCATTTTAACTTAATTACCTTCTTAAAGACCTGTCTCCAAATACAGTCACATCCTGAGGTCCTGGGGGTTAGGACTTCAACATAGGAATTTTGTGGTGTGCACACTTTGACCCATAACACTCCTCCATCCTAAGTTCCTATTTTTCAACATCTTTGCCAACACATAATTTTGTCAGACTTTGTAATTTTTGCAAATCAAGTGAATAAAATAAATAAAACCTAGATTATTCTGGGTTTAATTGGCATGTTGTTAAGATATAAGAAAAAAATACTCAGTTTTTCCTGTTACTCTCACAACAATCAACACAGAACGCTTCACCTCTCTGGTCACCAAAATATGTGTGGGGATTTCTCCTTACCGGCAACCAATCAATTCTGCAGCAGACACCAGCTGAGTGTCCTCTAATTTAATTCTGGCACTGTCTACCTAGAGATAGCATCAGCTCCCGCAGGCTGAGGGCTCAGTCCCACAAAACTACCCCCACTTCAAATGCCAGTCACAAGTCTAGACTTCCATAACTTCTGACCCACCGGCTATAAATCAGACTTCCACTGTCCCCCCTCGGGTTCGATTAATTTGCTAGAGCGGCTCACAGAACTCAGGAAAACACATACGTACATTTACAAGTTTATTATAAAGAATATTACAAGGCACACAAATAAACAACCAGATGGAAGAGATGCATAGGTGAGAAAAGTGGGGGTGGCGAGGCTTGGTGTTTCCATGCCCTCTCCAGGTGCACCACCCGCCAGAAACCTCCGTGTGTTCTGCTCTTCAGAAGCTCACCCAAACCCAGCTCTTTTGGGTTTGTATAAAAGTTTCCTCATGTAAGCATGTTTGATTAAATTACTGGTCTTTGGTGATCAACTCAACTTTCAGCCTTCCCCAAGGTGAGAGGGTGGGGCCGAAAGTCACAACCATCTAATCCTGCCTTGATCTTTCCAGTGACCAGCCCCATCCTGACGCTACTTAGAGGCTGCCAGCCATCGTTCAACTTGTTAGTGCACAGAAGACACTCTTAACACTCTGGAGATTCCAAGGATTTTGGAGCTGTAATCAGGAAACGGAGAAGGAAGATAAAATACATATTTCCCAGTATATAACATCTAACATTGAACTACTTTTCTGTTTTGCCCATTATTTTATTGGGTGGTTTATATTCCTCTTATTGGCTTATAGAAATTTTTAATATATCTGGATACAAACCATCTGCCAATTGTATATGTAAAAAGAAAATAAAATTTCAGAACCTTCCAAATATGCCAAGGAGAAAACTAGAAACTGAGTCACATGAACCAACTGTTCCATGGTGTGTGATCATTGCTTCCCAACTTTTGTGTTGACATTTTTTACATTAACCATACTCCCTATCCCCACACAAACCTAGACTAAATGCCATGGAGATAGCCACCCCTGTGAGTTCTATGTCTTTACAATAGAATATTCAGCAACTCCCTTAGAGTGGAATCAATGGTAGCCAATCAAATCTTCTTTGTGTATGTTAGCCTTTGTATGAAAAATGCAATTCTGTTTACCACCTTCATTTTTTGCCTACATTAACAGTCTTCATTTTTCCCCATGCTTTGGGCTTGAATGAGCCCTTTTAATTGGATCCTGAGCCTTGTGATTATTGTAAGTTGACGTGTGTTTTGCATTTACGTTCTACTAATCTATAACTGGCCTTTCCACTTGTTAACTGGTGTCTTTTAGTGAGTGTAAGTTTAAAATATTAATATAGCCACATGTATCTTTATGATTTGCTCTGTCTCTGTTGTATAACTAAAAGTCTCCTGCTTAGAAGTATTAAATGTATTCTCTATGTTTCTTTCCCCATGGATTTTAAAGTCTTGCTTTTTATATTTAGATATGTAATCAAAGTACAATTAATTTTTATGTGTGATGTGAATATCCCATTTTCCCCCATAGGAATAACCAATTGCTTCAGCTTTGCTTATTACATAGCTAACCACCTCCTTTCTGATTTGCAGTATCATGTCTTACACACGTTTTCCACTTAAGTTTTATGAGCAAAATCGATTTCCAGTTTCTATTTTCAATTTCTTTTCCACTGGTTGACTTTTTGTCTCTGCATCGATGCTATCTCGTTGTTGTTGCTGCTGTTTACTGAGGCTTTGTAAGTCTTTATATCCAGAACAACTTTGTTCTTTGTCTAAGCAATCTTTTATCTAGTTCACAGGAACCCCCGTGGAGATTCTGATAGCCGTTATTTGGAATACACAGATAATTTGGGGAAGAATTGACATATTTACACTGTTGATTCTTCTTATCCACCAACCTAGAAATTCGCTGCATTCATTTAGGTCTTCCTTGATGCCTTTTGATAAAATTTCTTTTTTCTTCTTTCTCTTTCTTTAATACCAGTCTCACCTTGCACATCATTTTTAAGATTAATTCTTGCGTACTGATAATTTGGAGGTTCTTATAAATGTTGCCTTTTTAATAACATTTTATTTTCTAAATAATTGTTGCTGTAGTATAAAAATACAATTGATTTTCTTTAATTTTAGTTTACAGGCAATCCCCTTGCTAAATCTCTCTTTTTCTTTTCTTCTCGAGATGGAATTTCACTCTTGTCACCCAGGCTGGAATGCAATGGTTCGATCTCGGCTCACTGCAACCTCTGCTTCCTGGGTTCAAGCAAGTCCCCTGCCTCAGCCTCCCGAGTAGCTGGGATTACAGGCACCCGTCACCACACCCAGATAATTTTTGTATTTTTAGTAGAGATGGGGTTTTGCCATGTTAGCCAGGCTGGTCTCGAACTCCTGACCTCAGGTGATCCACCCACCTAGGCCTCCCAAAGTGCTGGGATTACAGGCGTGACCCACCACGCCCAGCCACTAATTCTCTATTTCTAATAATATGTGTGTAGATCCTTTTAAGTTTTCTATTTAAACAAGGATATTGTCTGCAAATTGATAGAGCTTTATGTTTTCTATAACAATTCTTCTGCTTTTATTTTATTTCCTCCTGCCTTATTGAACTAACCAGGACCTTCCATATAAGATTGCGGAGAAGCAGCAAAAGTAGACATTCTTTTCTTATTTCTGTCATTCTGCATTTAGAAAGATGTAAATGATTACACAGATAATTACTACTTTTCAGGTTACAGAAGTTTCCTTCTATTTCTAATTTTAAGAAAATATAATTTTTAACTTATTGATGCTGAATTTTATCAAATGCTGTTTGCCCTTTTTTTAATCCATTGAGTTGATTATATATTTCCCTTTGGTTTCTTAATATGGTGAATTTTATTTGTATATCTTCAAGTGTTAAATCTTATGGTATTCCTGGGTTAAGCTCCATTCATATTATATTATTTTTCAAATCACTGATGGATTCATGTTGCTATTATTTTGCTTAGGATTTTTGCATCTAAGTTTGTGAAGACTGGTCAGTAACGTTTTCTGTCTCATGCTGAATTGAAATCAAGATTTTATTGGCCTTTTAGAAAGATTCAGAGAATATTTTCTATGTTTTTATTCTCTGGAATATTTTTATAATATTGGAATGATTGTTATTTGAAATTTTAGAACTTGCTACTTAAAATCCTCTGTGTCTGATGTCTTCTCAAGGAAAGATTTTAAATTACTGATTCAATTACATTAATACATATAAGGCTACTGAGGTTTTCTATTCTTTTTTTAAGATCATTCTATTTTTTTCTAGATGTTTACTCATTTCAACTAAATTTTCCAATTTATTGGCACACAGTTCTTTATAGTATTTCTCATTTATCCTACTTAAAAAAATTTGTCTATCTATCTTGAAGTAAAGCATATATACATACCAAAAAGCTCAAGAACAATAAGTAACTGCTCGATGAAAATGTGCAAAGCAAAAACATCAATATAGCCAATATTCAAGTCAAGATGGAAACCATTCCTGGCAATAAGAAGATCCTTTCATTCTCCCCCGTCACCCCCTGTTCCTTCCTCCCCAAATATAATGATTATCCTAACTTTTTTTTTGCGAGACGAGGTTTTGCCCTTGTTGCCCAGGCTGGAGTGCAATGGCACGATCTCGGCTCACTGCAACCTCCTCCTCCTGGGTTCAAACGATTCCCCTGCCTCAGCCTCCCAAGTAGCTGGGATTACAGGCATGCGACACCATGCCCAATGATTTCTTTTGTATTTTTAGTAGATAAGGGGTTTCACCATGTTGGCCAGGCTGGTCTCGAACTCTGGGCCTCAGGTGATCCACCCACCTCAGCCTCCCAAAGTGCTGGGATTACAGGTGTGAGCCACCAGGCCCAGCCCCTTAACTTCTAATATAATAGATCAGTTGTACTTGTTTTTGAACTTTATATAAATATTACCATGCAATATGTATTTTTGTATTTATTTTTTCTTTCAATATCATATTTGTGAGATGTATCCTTGTTGATTATAGCAGCAATTTATTTCATTGCTATACAGTACTGCTCTATGTGCAAACACTGCAATTTAATTATCCATTCTAGTATTGATGGACATTTGGGTGGTCTCCAATCTTGCGGGGGGCGGGCATTAGAAATAATGCTTCTGTGAATGTTCCTGTGCATGTCTTTGTGCATGGATTGCTGTGTCATAGGTAGGAGTATATCATATTTGATATTGCTAATCTTTTAAACGATAGGCATTTAGGTTGATGTACAGAGGCATCTAATTTGCTTTTGCTGTTTAACTAATGAGGTTGGGCATATACTCCCATGTTCACCGGCCTTTTTGAATTTCCTGTTTTGAGAAGTGTGTCTTTCTATCGGGTTATATGTCTTTATCTTACTGGTTTTCATGAATTTCCTTTGTCAGTTATGTCTTGCAAATTTCTTTCATTCTGTGACTTGCCTTTAATCGTTTCCCTTGTTGAACAGAGGTTTATAATTTTAATGTAGCCTATTTTATCAATATTTCCTTTTTTTCTTTTTGGTTAGTACTTTTTATTTTCTGTTTAATCTCTCCCTAGATCTAGGCCATGAAGACATTCTCCAGTGATAACTTCTAGAAGCTTTGTTGTTTTACATTTTGTATTTAGACCTATTATTCACCTAAATTATTTTATGCGTGGTATGAGACAGGCATTGATGAATTTTCTCCACATGAATATCAAGTGATCCAACATTATTAATAAAATGTCATCCATTCCTCACTGCATTACTGAGAGCTTCTTGTCAAAAATTAAGAGAACATAAACCTTAGAGAGATTTTTGCTTTGTTTTTTTTTCCAGAAGCCAACACTGAAGCAGGGATTTGAGGACAAGTATATTGGGAATGAGAGACTGAGAATGGGAAAAAGCCAGTAAAGGATGTGGTATTAAACAAGTTACTCTATGAGCAACTGAAACTCGGTCCTGCTGGGAACGTTGGGAGAATGCATAAAACATACACCTCAGAGAGCGATGGAGCAGGGTGCATACCCACCATCTCCTGTCAGCCTTTGGCTGGGGGACACCTGGGAACATTAATCCCCTAAAGTCTCTGGTCTACCCCATGCACAGACAGAGCCGGTCAGGTGGCTGAAGAAAGTCTCTCAGCTGCTGGGAGTTAAGCTAGTGAACAAGGCAGTGATAAGCTGAGAAGGTCCAAGCGAGTACCAACACATCAGCTCTAGTGACTGATGACTCCCATGTTGACAAATCCAACAAGTGCTTGTTACTTTATCCTTGTCTCCCTCAACCTCCTAGCTGAGCTCACTCTAGCCAGCTCAGAGCATCTGCAAGCCTCTGGCTTTCAACCATGGGAGGTGTTGCCCCCACCCCAGGAGACATTTGGCAATGTCTGGAGACATTTTTGGTTGCCAAAGTGGGGAGAGAGTACTACTGGCATTGGTGATTAGATGCTAGGGATGCTGCTAAACACCCTCCATCTCCCTCAAAAGAATTATCCAGCCCAAAATGTCAACAGTGCCTAAGTTGAAAACTCTGGCTCCCGTCTCTCTACTGATCTCTCTACTCCAGTCTCATCCTGTGCAATGCTCCCTCCTATGTCAGTCAGAGCCCAGCTGGGATGAGGGTGAAGCACACAGGACATGGAGGGCACAAAAAATATGAGAAGCTATTAGGCTATTTTGCAATTAAACAATGCCTGCAGGATGCTGTATGTTGCTTGATTTTCGTAAGTCATGCAGTAGTGGTTATGAAAATGTAAAAGTAAACAGAACTATTTTTGAATAATATAATTTTCTATAACAATCTGGAAGGCTTTACTGTGGTAATGCCTAATCTGTTTCACTGCCGTTCTAGGTACTGTTGTTCTTTGGAAACCTCCATTTAAGAAGCACTATCATAACTTTAGAACCTCACGACATTGAAGTGGAAGGGGTCTGTCATGGACTAAATTGTGTCCCCCAAAATTCATATGTTGAAGCCCTAACCCCCAGTCTCACTGTATTTGGAGACTGGGCCCATAAGCAGCTAATTAAAGTTAAATGAGGTCCGAAAGGTGGGACCCTAATCTGATGGGACTGGTACTCTTATAAAAGGAGGAAGATATACAGGATCTCTCTCTCTCTCTCTCTTTCTCTCTCTCCCTCCCTCCCTCCTCACCATGTGATGACACAGTGAAAAAGTGGCCCATCTGAAAGCCAGGAAACAAGCCCTCACCCTCACCAGGAACCAACCATGCTGGGACATGTAGCCTTAAGAACTGTGAGAAAAGAAAATTACATGTTTAAGCCACCTGTCTATAATATTTTATCATGGCAGCCCAAGCAGACTAAGGCAGAGTCTCATGGGTCCTGCAGCCAAACTCTCACAGTTTGCCCATGAAGCAACTGCTCCAGGACACTACTTGACTTTCTCAGGGCTGCATGGTGACTGCTTGGTAAATACATGGTTCATAGTTACTTCCCACTGCTACACACCTGATTCTACCATCCCCATCCCAAGTTGAGTGCTGGTATAGAGAAAGGCCACACAACCCACTGACAAGGACAGTCCAAACCATCACAGTGGGGCAGCAGAGAGGGGTGTAGGGTGGCCTCTAGAGCTTCTCTAAGACCTTGTCAGGATGATGTCTAAGCCATAATTGTCTTTCTTGCAAATCTAACACTGGGTTCTGCAGATCAAGGATCAAGAAAGAATGTGAACGGGCAGAGGTAGTCGGGAGCCTTGGGTATGGTGTGTCCTGCACTGCTCCATGCTCTTGGTTGTCTGTGATGTGAGACGCATGGGGGCAGAGCCAGGAGGGCAGTATGAGACGACCCAGAGGGACACTGGAGCTTCCTGAAGCACAGACAGGATACTCCCTGGCCCAGGCGGCAGCACTGCATCACACCCCCATGGGTAGGTGCCGGTGGCCTCTACTGGTACCTACCCCACGTCTGTCCAGCAGCCACTGAGATGATGACTCTGCGCTGCTTTGCACCTGAGCTGACTCCCTTCTGTCAGCTTTCACGTGGAGGTGTAAAGAAAAATCACATTTTGCCTATCCTAATGCCTAGACCTTAAAAATCCCTTGGCAAATCATAGAAATTCCAATTGTTTGCTTTCAACACAATTGAAAGAAAGCACAAGGGTATTATCAGCTTATAGATCATTAGAAATTCTGTGGGATTTTTGACACAGAAGTTTAAAAGAGTTGAAATAATTAAATAACATTACTTGAAAAACACTTCTCAGTTCCAACTAGTTAATTATGTGAACAGTTTCTCAGGGCTTACTTCCATAATGAAGAAAAATAAACATTTAAAACATAGGTAATATTTAACCATTGATAGATGAACAGATAGGAAAAAAACAGCTCAAACCTGTGTATCTCATTAAGAAATACATATTCGTCCAGGCACGGTGGCTCACGCCTGTAATCCCAACACTTTCGGAGGCCGAAGCAGGTGAATCATGAGGTAAGGAGTTTGAAACCAGCCTGGCCAATATGGTGAAACCCCATCTCTACTAAAAAATACAAAAATTAGCTGGGCTTGGTGGTGCATGCCTGTAATCCCAGCTACTTGGGAGGCTGAGGCAGGAGAATCGCTTGAACCTGGGAAGCAGAGGTTGCAGTGAGCCAAGATCACACCACTGCATTCCAGCCTGGGCAAGAGAGACTCCATCTCAAAAAAAAAAAAAAGGAAGAAATACATTTTCACTAATATTTTAATGTTTTGGGCTTAATAAATATTTAACAAAAGGAATACATTTATGAATGAATGTTGAAAAAAATTGAAAAAATTCAATACCTATTCATGATTTTTTAAAAAATTCTCAGAAAAACAGGCATTGAGGGAAAACCTCTCAACTTGAGAGAGAATCTAAAAAGTTTACAGCTAACATAGTTAACAGTGGAAGACTGGAAGCTTTTCCTCTCAAATGTGGAACAAGGTATACATGTCAGCTCTCTCTACTCTTAGTCATAACAACACTGGACATCCTAGCTCTAAGGCAACAAAATAGAATTAGAAAGCACACCAATCAGAAAGGAAGAAATAAAACTGTCTCTATTTGCAAGTGACATGATCATCTACACAGAAAACACCAAAGAAGCTACACAAAACTTCTACACTAATGAGTTCAGCAAAGCCACAGGATGTAAGATAAACATTCAAAAATCCATTGCTTTTATATACTAACAAAGAACACATAGAAACTAAAATTAATTATGTAATGCCATTTACAATCACGCAAAAATAAAAGAAACACTTAGATGTAATAAAACATGTCTAGTACTAATATGCTAAAAACTACAAAATGCTGATGAAAGAAATAAAAGATCTAAATAAATGGAGGGATATACTGCATTCATGGATTGGAGGACTCTACATAGTAAAGATATCACTTCCCCCCAAATTCATGTACAGTTGTAATGCATTTCCTATCAAAATCCCAGAAAATATTTTTTATTAAACAGACAAGATTATTTTAAAATTTATGTGGAACAGCACAGGCCCTAGAATAGCAAAAACTATTCTGGAAAGAATTAAGTGGGAGGACTCACTCTATCTGATATTAATTCCTACTATATACTATGGTAATCAAGAACATGTGGTATGGGCAGAGGGATAGACAGATCAGTGGAGCAGAAAAGGGAATTTATAAATAGACTCACACAAATATGCGCAACTGATTTTTGACAAAGTTGCAAAAACAATTCAGTGGAGAGGAATAGCCCTTCCAACAAATGATGCAAGAGCAATTGAATAGCCATCAGCAAGAAAAAGACCTCAACTTTAATCTTATACAAAAATTAACTCAAAATATAGCATAGACTTAAACATACAGCTTTCATAGAAAAACAGGAGAAAATTTTAGTAATCTAGCACTAGGCAAAGTGTTGTTAAACCTGACACTAATAGCACTATCCATTAAAAGAGAAAGTGCTAAATTAGACTTAATCGAAATTTAAAACTTTTGCTCTGCAAAACAGCCTCAGAGAATTAAGTGTCAAGCTACAGGCTGCAAGAAAACATACGGAAACCACATTTCTGACAAAGAATTGGTATCTAGTATATCTAAAGAACTCTCAAAACGCAAAAGTAAAAGCCAAATAATCAATTTGAAAGTGTGTAAAAAATATGAACAGACATTTTACCAGAGAGGACATAAATATGTCAAACATGAAAGGATGCCCAATATCTTTAGCTATTAGAAAATCCAAATTAAAATCACTATATGATATCATTACACATTATTACAACAGCCAAAATACACATTAGTAATAACACGAAATTCTGGTGAGGTTATGGAGAAACTAGATCTCTTACACATTGCTGATAGGAATGTAAAGTAGTACAGTCACTCTGGAAAAGGGCCTGGAAATTTCTTGCAAACCTAAACATGCAACTATTACGTTTTGTGTGCTGTTACAGCCCAACAGTTGCACTCCTGGGCAATCTCAGAGCAATGAAAGTTTGTGTGCACACAAAAACCTCTACATAAATGTTCACAGCAACTGTATTTTTAAGCCAAAAACTGGAAACAATTGGGGTGCCCTTAAGTGGGTGAGTCGTTAAATACACAGTTATATTCATGACAGGGAATACCAGCTAGCAGTAACAAGGAATGAACTGCTGAGACTCACAACTTGAATGAATCTCCAGAGAATTATGCAGAGTGATAAAAGCCAATTTCAGAAGGTTGCATATTGTATGATTCCATTTATATAACACTCTTAAAATGACAAAATCATCAAATGGAGAACAAATTAATAGTTTATCAAAATGGAGAACAAATTAGTAGTTTATCAAAACAGAGAACAAATTAGTTGTTGCCAAGAGTTAAAGGAGTGAAAGAGCAAGTTGGTTGTGAAAATATTAATAAAAGGGGAACCTGAGAGGTACTCGTGTTGATTAAAATGTTCTGTATCTTGTCCATATCAATGTCAATATCCTGGCTGTGCTACTGTACTTAATTTTGTAAAATGTTACTTTTGGGGGAAACTGTTAAAGGGGCACAAAGGAACTCTTTGTATTAATACAATGGTACGTGAACATCAAATTACCTCAAAATTATAAGTTTAATAAAATAAATATCAAAAAATTATTTGACCATATATGTCTGGGGTTTTTTTCTGGACATTCTACCTATTCCATTGATCTATTTTAATGCCAATACCACACCCAGGCTCCTCCTGGCATCCCCATCCCTGTGCCATGGCCTGGAAACTGTTGAAGGGCTGTGAACTCGGGCAGTCAGGGGCTTATCTCTCTTATTTTCTGCCTCTCAGAGATCACTGTCTTACATTACTTGATGTCTAATATAAGACAATGGCTTGAAAATCAGTGTTGCATACATTTTATCTGGTTTTTTGTTGTTGTTGTTGTTGTTGTTTTGGTGTGGGGGTGTTGTTTGTATAGGAGAGTAGGCTGGTCTTTGTTACTCCATCTTTACCAGACACGGGTCTTTTCCATACATTTCCAAATGGATAAATGGTGCATATCTAAATGCTACTGTATTCCTATTTCATCAGATATGTTTGAAAGTGATGTCACAGTTTTACTTTAAAATGTTAATATTTACATTACTCCAAAAATTACATTCTTTGCAATATTTAACCTTATGATGAATGTTTTTATATGTCAACCTAAAAAAAATTCTATCAATATTATTCTGAGAGTACATAAACAAAACAGTGTGAAGTCCATTGTTTTAATTACTCAAGTGGTGTGTCAGTTTGCAACTAGTGACATTTAGAAATATAATGGTCACGTAGGGGCTGCTGGAGGTCTTAGGACCTGCTGGACTTGAGGTCCCATTTAAAGTCCATATTGTATGTCATAACAGGACCTGCCTTGTCCCAATTCCTTCCTCTTAGTCCAGGCTGTGTCTTGAATTTCATGAAAAGGAAGTCTGCACCTAGGGTCACCAGCAATACTGCAGTAGGTGTCCATTTTCCCCTTTGCTTTTCCTGTATGCCGTTGGTGATGGAATGCTGATGTTTGCAGAGCGAACATTGGGGATTCGTGCAAGTTCACATATCTTGGTCTTGGTCCTGATGTACTTAGCTGCACACTCATGATGGATGAGTGTAAGCTTAGATCATGTTCAGAATAGTTGCTGCCGCAAGGCACAGTGAGATGACATGTCCAGTGTCACCGTTATCAGCAGTAGATCCAGAATTGGAGTCTGAGGCATCTGATTCAGCATCTCCTGTCTCTTCTCCACACCAGAGTCTTTAACCTAAGTGGGACAAACAACCCCATGACCCACCTACCCCATTATTCCTACTTTCATGTAAAGACAGAACTTGAGTAAAAATTGTCACTGCATAAATTAAATTTTGCCGATAAGTTATTTATTATTTATGTTGTATCAATAAAAGATGATTCATAGTTGATCTGTGCATAAGTCTTTAGTCTACTTATTGAAAAATAAACCAAAATGAAGTTGATACAACAATGCACCACTATATACTGTAAGTTAACCAAACAAATGTAAACAAATTAAGTCAATAATCATGTAGCAATATTTTTAGTAATTTAAATTTTAAAAATAAGAATATCAAAGATGCGCATGGTGGCAGACTCCTATAGTCCCACCTATTCAGAGGCCAAGCAGTGGAGTCGCTTGAGCCCAGGAGTTCAAGTCCAGCCTGGCAACATAGTGAGACCCTATCTCAAAAAAAAAAAAAATCATGAAATTCATGACCAACATAAACTGGCAGTTATTATAAAGCATTATTTCCTCAACTTTTAGTAATTTCAACCATGCGTGTGCACAGAAGGAAGCGTGCATCTATTTAGGAGAGTTCCTATAAGTGCCCACTAAAAGAATGAAAATTTATAGAATTTCACGTGATTTTTTTTCTGTGAGAACCAAAGAAAGACCTAGAAAGTAGGGGATTAAAGAGGAGTTTGAATTTTGACTCTGGTGGTGTGGTGGATTAAGTACCCCAAATGACCTTTCTGACCGAATCAACTAAAATACTAGATAAAATATAAAAATGAAAAATAAAAATTAAAACAACAATAGCATAAGTTGGGCAGGGCTGATACGCAATAAAACATTCTAAAGTCCTTGAATTATTAGGGTGAAGGTAATTAATGTTGCACTGTAAAATTAAGTATACATGTTAATATACCTGGCATAGCCACTTAAATAAGAGGGACAGAACACACAACTGCCAACCTGGTGGTAGGAAATAAATGGAACCAGAAAAAAAAAACAAAAGAAAATCAATGAAAATGATGGCATGAAAGAAGGAAATAGAAAACAGAACAGACCAAAAAAAAAAAAACTTAAGATGATAAAATTATGTACAAATATATAAGAAATCAAAATAAATGTAACTATATAAACTTCAGTTACAAGACAGAAATGTCAGACTGTGTCTTTTTAAAACAAGCCTAACAATTTTTCACTTTATAAAAAGACACAACAAAAACTTCAGGACACAGAGACAGTTAAAACCTAAGGACAGAAAAAATGTATATTAGACAAATACTAACCAGAAGATAGCTGATGCAGTTATTTGAATATCAGACACATTAGTTTTTGAGAAAAGGTTCAATTTAGCAGTAAGATATAACATCTCTAAGCTTGTAAGTGCCTGATAAAAGTCTCGAATTGTACACAGCAAAAATTGTCGGGAAACTAAGAACATTTGACAAATGCACTATCAAAATGGAGGATTTAAACCACTTTTTTCATTAATAGGTAGATCAAGCAGGCTAAAAACTCAGCAGAAATGTAGATCTGAACAACAAAGTTAACAATCTGGATCTAATAAACATTTATAGAACATTGCACTTAGCAATTATGCAGTACGCATTCTTGTTAAGCACTTGCTAACTTCAATAAATTTCAAATGGTAAAACCCATTCTCTGACCACAATTCAATTAAGTTAGAAATCAATAGCAAAAAGAAAATGAGAAAAGCATCACACATTTGGAAATAAAACCTCATACAATATCTGAATTTATGGACAAAAAAGGAAATAATGAGAACAAGATCATATTTAAAACTGAGGGAGGATGAGAATGACATTTATCATAATTTGTGGGTTGCAGTTAAAATATGACTGACGTGGAAATTTATAACTTCTGTGCTGACTTAGTAAAGTTGAAAGTGCACATATCCCCAAACAAGGTCCTTGTCATCCTAGCTCTAGATGCCAGACACAGAAACTCTTGCACATGCGCTGCACCAGAAATTATCTTTAAGAAGGTTGTAGAGGCCAGTTCTCTCCTAGAAAAGTGTGATAGGTAAAAGTGGTTGTGGTATTTACAGTGATGAGAGACAATATTTAACAACTTGCATGGTATAAGTTATTAATACATAAATCTAAGTAAAAATTCCCTTTTTTAGATAGAACAATATTATATTACATAGTGCTTACCAAGCAATGTAAATTAGACTGCAAACTTTTTATCAACTCTAACAATTTCTAATTGAAAAAGAAATTTTAATTGTGGTAAAATACAGATAGCAAAAGTCACCATCTTAACCCTTCTCAAGGGCACAGTTCAGTGTCATATTATTGTGCAACCGTCACCACCATCCATTTCCAGAATTATTTACATCTTGCAAAACTGAAGCTGTGCCCATTAAACACTAACTCCCTAGTCTCTCCTACACCCAGCCCCTGACAAACACCATTCTACTTTCTGTTTCTGTAGGTTTCACTACACTAATTACCTTACATGAGTGGAATCATACTGCATTTGTCCTTTCATGTCTGGCTTCTTTCACTTAGCATAATTTCCTTGAGATTCTTCCATGTGCTTTCAGTTCTTCTGGGCATATGCCCAGTAGTGGAATTACTGGATCTTGTGGTAATTTTATTTTCAATTTTTTAAGGAATTGCCATATTGTTTTCCACAGCAACTGCACCATTTTACCTTCCCACCAATAGTGCGCAAGAGTTCCCAATTCTCCACAGCCTCACCAACACTTGTTATTTTCCTCCTGTGGTTTTTGTTTGTTTGTTTTAATAGTAGCCATCCTAATCGGTGTGAGGTAATATCTCTCTGTGGTTTCTAATTTTTTAAATAAATTATTTGCTCAATATTTTGTCTGCTGAAGCTGTTACAAGCAAAATGGTGCCATGATTTAACTTGGAAATTTTTCCAGCTCTTTCACTAATTTCCCCATTAAGTTGGTAGCCATTAGGTGACTTGTAGTTATAAATAGTAGAAATTTTCTCTTACCATCAATGAAATTACTTATGGTTCTGAATAATTTCTCTGTTTCTGTGGCATAATAACTATAAAAATGACATTATACTTAGTAAAATAAGCCTGGCACAGGAAGATAAATAGTGCATGATCTCACTTTTATGTGAAATATTAAAAAAAAAAAAAACTCATAGAAACAGAGAGTGAAATGATGGTTGCCACAGGCTGGGGCAGCAGGGAGCCAGTTGGGGAGATGTTAGTTCAAGGGTGCAAAGTTTCAGTTCGACAGGAGGAATAAACTCAGAAATCTATTGCACATCATGGTGACTACAGTTAATGTAACGTATTGTCTACCTGAAAATCAGTAAGAGAGTAGAAAATATTCTCATCATGAAAATAGTAAATATGTGAGGTGATGGATATGCTAACTAGCTTGATTCAATCATTCCACAATATATACGTATGTAAAAAACATCACGTTTTACATCATAAATATATACAATTCTGTCATTCATCAATTTAAAACAATTAAATATAATTTTTTAAAATTCCAGTCCTTATAGAACTGCCTGTGATTTTTGTATATCAGTTTGTCTTTTATCAGCTAAGTCTTCAATATCATTGTTGAAATAGTATATCTAATTAGCTGATTTTTGTTAGTTTTTGTTAACTTTCAAACGCAAGCTTGACAAGTCTTAGAATTCATTAAATTAAATATCTTAAATGTGTATTGTATTTTTTTTCCTTTTCTCATCAAACAAAACCTGTATTTACCTATAATTTATTAGGTATTTGAAAATGTTATTTTGGATTTGACTTTTTTTTTGTTTCAACTGGTATTCTAAATACCAGTGGTGACTGGGGCCCAGCTGGCTCCAAGTTGGCCTGATTCTGGGACCAATAGCCCTGTCTTCACACATGGGTGACTGACCTGCAGCAAGACCAAATGCACGGTTGCTATAGGCACAGGTGTGGAGGGCTGGAAGAGACACAATGTCCCTAAAAGAAGCAAGTTGCACAATAATCAATACGGTATGAGTCCATCCAGGGAAGGTCAAAAGCAGGCAAAACTATACAACATGCTGCTCAGGGACTCAAATACAGGGATTCAAAAACTATAAAGCAAAGAAAGGAAAAAAGATTAAGACAAAATTCAGGAAGCTAGTTAGCTCCATAGGGGAAGACAGTGATGTGACTGGGGAGACCTAGAAGGGGTATAAGGGCATATCTCACATTATAGAATCTTTTGTAAAATAAGATAATCTCTGCAGGTCACCATGCAGCGTGCCATGTCCATACTCGAATGTTCACTGCCCTCCCTGTTTTATAGCAGGGCCCCGACACTGACTCATTTATTATCTAGATAGGACATTTTCACTCCTCCTGACTACATCCTACAAAAGGAGGGATTAACTAAGTTATTTGGAATTATCATGATTGGCTTAGCTGGCATTACCAATGTAGGGTAATTAAAGGCCAACAGGGAATAATAATGAATGAGAAATGTTAAAATTTTCTGAAGCCATAGGATTGCTTCACCAATAACATTGGATTATTATTTTTAATTTTTTGGAGCTGTTTCTGTTGCTATAGAAATAAACAATAAGGCATGTGATTGTGCCCTTTGGAAGAAGTCTTGCCAGCAGCCTCATTCTGAAGACAGCATCTCATCTCTGGAAGACAGCATTTCTGTGGGCATCAAGGGTCTGGAGGAGGCATTTTTCTCTTTCCAGGGCAGCACCAGTCACCTCACTATGGTTTCCAGAGCCGGTAGCTGGTGCCCACTTTATGAATGCGATCTGGACCCTAGTCCCACCTCCTTCTTGTCCTGTGCAACCTTGGGCAGCATGCTCACCCTCCAGGAACCTCAGGTCCTGTCTGTGAAGTGCCCGTCACTGTGTCAGTGCAGCCTGAAGGAGAGGGCAGCCACAGAGTCTAGGGTCTGATGGGCTTTCCCCAGCCCCTGGTGAGTCCCACAGCCTCTCCCTTCCACTACCTGCTGAGTCTACAGCCCAGCCTTGTGGGCCATGCCCTGTCCAAGGTCCCAGCTGGGCCTCACAGCCATGTGACCTGCCTGGCTCCAGGTCACCCTGACCCCACATTTGTTCCAAAAACCAGTGCAAGTACCTGCCCACTTCCACATCAAACAAACTAACCGCCACTACCTAGGCTGCATTTTGCACGTATTCCCTTGTTCTGTCAGGTGGTAGAAAGGAGGGGTACCCAGATTCGGGGGACTCACCCCCAGTGGCCAGGGCTCTGGATTCCCCTTCTCCTGATGTTCCACGACAGCTCACAGACTCCCACCATCCTGGCCATAATCGGCCTTCCCTGTGGTAATTCTGGGACCATAGCAATGGAGTGTGAGTTTGGGGGCTCCAATTTTCTCTGTGAAATCTGAAAGGACACAAGTGAGATCCTGATCCTGAGCTATGGGAACACTTAGAACCTTCTTGGTCCCAATGGGAGGCAGCCAATTGTCCAAAGACACAGAGATCTCACAAGAAGAAGGAATCAGGGCAAAGGTCCTAAGGGCAATGCCAGGGAATTGGGAGGAGAAAGTCTCTACTCCACCCTCCTCCACACAGTCCTTGGCCACCTTTCTCAGGCTGGGCTGTTCTGGACATGAAAGGAAGGCTTTGAAGAGAGTGGGCCACGCAGTGTTACTGAGTGCCTTCATGGGGCTGGGGGATCCTCCCCTTCTGATGCAGCATCCTCCTAGCACAGACCCTCTATAGCTGGGTAATAGACACGGGTCCCTGGGACTGCCCACTGGGAGAAGCAGGTGCCGTATGGTGTCCATTATGGCAAGGGTAGCAGTTGCATCCTGAGCCTCACCCTGGCAGTGCCTGCTGCAGGGTCCTAGCATGGTGTCAGCTCTGGGGCAGCTCAGCACTGGGAAGGGGCAGTGGTCCTGGCCCTACAGGCTCTAAGCCTTTTGCCAGCCACCCCTAGCTCAACTTGAGATGGCTGTTACCATCCTGCATTAAATACCTTTTCTGTTTAAATGGGTAGAATTGGTTTCTCAAGTCCCCAGCATACACCATGTCCAAATGTATTTGCTTGTTAATCATGATGCTGGTGTCCATCAATAGATCAATAACTTCTTTGATATTTCACAAGCTAAAGTTGTCCAGCTTTCCAGGGGATGCCAGGAAGATAATGATAACACAGTTGCACACGATATCTGTGAAGTGCCTGTTTCATGTGGACACCAGCCTGTCCTGGGATATGGCAATGCCATGCACAAGGTCCGTGGGGCAGCAGGGGCTGCAAGCACAAGGGCACACAGCTGGCCCTTGAGTGGCATCAGATCCTTTGTGTGCACCTTGTATATGTCGCCCAGGACTTCAGGACCCTTAGTGTTTGCAGGGAACCTTCTAGATGCCAGGGAGGTGATTATTGCTAGAAACGGAGAAGCCAGTAAACATGGCAGGAGGAAGTGAACAGTGAACCTGGGCTTTAGTGTCTTCTTAGCTCCCAGGAACACTTTGGAGAGCCCTGAATCAGTAGCCAGTGTTTCATGTTAGTTCTGCATCCAAATTCCTCATAACCATCTTCCTAGCTGATTGTGCAATGTTAGCATTTGTCTCTGAACCCGACCCCATGGTGGGTTCAGAGCACAGAGTTACAGGCACAGAGCTGAGCAAGGCACAGGCTGTGTTAGGCTATTCTTGTGTTGCTATAAAGAAGTGCCTGAGGCCGGGCGTGGTGGCTCACGCCTGTAATCCCAGCACTTTGGGAGGCCAAGGGGGTGGATCACGAGGTCAGGAAATCGAGACCATCCTGGCTAACACAGTGAAACCCCGTCTCTACTAAAAATACAAAAAATTAGCCAGTGTGGTGGCGGGTGCCAGTAGTCTCAGCTACTCAGGAGGCTGAGGCAGGAGAATGGCATGAACCCGGGAGGCGGAGCTTGCAGTGAGCTGAGATCGCGTCACTGCACTCCAAACTGGGCGACAGAGCGAGACTCCATTTCAAAAAAAAAAAAAGAAGTGCCTGAGGATGGGTAATTTAGAAAGAAAAGAGGTTTAATTGGCTCATGGTTCTGCAGGCTGCACAGGAAGCATGATGCCAGCATCTGCTGAGTTTCTGAAGAGCCCTCAGGAAGCTTCCAAGCATGGCCAGTAGAGTCAGGAAGGCCCCCTGGAGGTAGTGATGTTTGATCCAGATGTTGTCAGATCCACATCTAGTCAGATGAGCAAACAGGGCATAGGGCATTCCAGGCAGAGTCAGCCACATGAACAAAATCAAGGAGATGTGGAAAAAAACACACAGTGATTTCCAGAAACTTCCATTTTTATGTGGTTGGAACCAAGGCACCAGAGGTGCTTGGGTGGATCTTTTTGGGCCCCATATGTGACAATGTTCATGAGGACATATTTGAAGGCTCCACTGGAACATACAAGACAACAGTTTTGCTTATAGAACAGCTGGATTTGTGTCCTGGTTTTGTCACTCACTAGCTTAATAATCTCAAGCACCCATTGGTTTTCTAAGTCTCATTTTCCTCCTTTGGATGGAGATGTAATTACCCCTCCCTTCCCAGCTCCCAAGGCTGTTGTGAAGATTGGGTAAGATCGTGCATGTTTTTGTGTTGGGGAAGCATCCCACTACAGAAAGACACAAATGGCACATTTAACTGGATCTTGCTGCACGTGAAGACATCTACACTCACATATACATACACACACTCACCTAGGCACATGTACATGCTAAGCCACATGTTCCATACATGTGCACAGGTGACCAGGCAGACACACACCACAAGCACACACATGCACTGCAGAGTATGATTGAGCATTAAAAGTCATTATTTGCAATGAGAACTAACAAAGAAATGTATTAAAATGTTAGGTGGAAAGTGTAGGCTTCAAATTGTATCAAAAATGTGATAAAAATTATGTAAAAATATGTGTTGTGGAATGAATTGTGTCCTCTCAAAAATATGCAGAGTCTTAACTCCGGTACCTGTGAATGTGACATTATTTGGAAATGGGATCTTTGCAGATGCAGTCAAATTAAGATGAGGTCATGATGGATTAGAGTAGGCCTAGTCTAATGACTTATGAGAAGAGAGAGATTTGGAGACATGCAGAGGTGTGGACACATATAGGGAGAAGGCCCTGTGATGAAGGAGGCAGAGATTGGAGAGACACATCTACAAACCAAGGAACACCAAAGACAGCTGGCAACTGCCAGACCCTGGAAGAGGTGAGGAAGGAACCACCCCTGGAGCCTCCAGAGGGAGCATGGCCCTGCCAACACCATGATTTTGGACTTCCCAGCCCCTACAACAGGAAATAAGAGTCTGTTACTTTAAGCCACACAGTTTGTGGTCAATTGTTAGGGCAGCCCCAGGAAACTCATACAATATAGAAAGAAAAAGCAGTCTGCCACCTGTGGTCCCAGCTGCTGGGGAGGCTGAGGTGGGAAGATCGCCTGAGCCCAGGAGCTCGAGGCTCCAGGGAGCTTGGATGGTGCCAAATAAGGAGTTAGACAAAGGAATTAACCAAGTAATAGCTCCTGTTCTTTCATCTCTGAACCTCTATAATCATAATTATCTGAAATATCAATATTCAGCTTCTTCTACTATTTACATTTTTCAAACCCAAGCCAGATGGAACTGGCCATGCTCTGAGTGCTTCTATCTTCCCAGAAAGGTCCTGTGAGGCCTGTCCGGATGTGACAGTCTTGAGTTGGAAGGAATTTTGTTGTGTTCGGAGCTCTCAGGTAGTCCTAGTTAGCCAGCTTCCTGGGGGCGATGTTTCCTCTTTGGTCCAATGCACGTCAAATATGAGGCTTAGATACTGTCTGATGCTCAAGCAGTTTATTCTGGCATCGCTCTTACAAGATGGATATTGGGAGCAGGCTGATGCCTGGGCTAGATTCAGTCAGGGGTCAGATGACCAATTGACTGAGAGGGTCTCTGTCTGCAGACCATTCTCTGAGTTTGGGGTATTCTCCACCTCACACCTTTTTTTTAAGAGGTGGGGTCATGCTATGTTTCCCAGGCTAGAGTGCAATAGCACAACCATGGCTCACTGCAGCCAAGTTCCTGGGCTCAAGAGATCCTCCTGCCTAAGCCTCCCAAGTAGCTGGCACTACAGGTGTGTGCCACTATGCCTGGCTTCTTCCATCCCCCCCTTTTTTCTCTGGGGGGATGGAGTCTCACTCTGTCGGCCCAGGCTGGAGTGCAGTGGCATGATCTCAGCTCACCGCAACCTCTGCCTCCCAGGTTCAAGTGATTCTCCTGCCTCAGCCTCCCAAGTAGCTGGGACTACAGGTGTGTGCCACCACATCTGGCTAATTTTTTGTAGTTTTAGTAGGGACGAGGTTTCACCATTTTAGCCAGGATGGTCTCAATCTCCAGATCTCATGATGCACCCACCTTGGCCTCCCAAAGTGCTGGGATTACAGGCATGAGCCACCATGCCTGGCCTCTTCCCCCTTTCTTAAGCCTGTATTCAGTCTGGGTCCATTACCAAGTATTTCTTTCATAAAGGCAGCTTAAGCTATTTCTGTAAGGGTAAGATTTGTTTCAAGGTTTATGAAAGCTTCATCTGTGCTGAGGTGGCCTTATCTCCTAGAAATCCTGGGGCCAGGGTTGGAAATCCCCAAGCCAAGTTGCCTCATACTGCTAAGAAACACATAGTGTCAGCCCCGCAAGATGTTTCAGTGGGCCTTATGGCTATTGTTAATCTTACAGCCACAATATCTCTTATAGTATCCTACAAATCCACCAAAGATCTTTACAAATAAAAGCATAGACCTTCCTGTAGCATAGAAGGTCTAGGAAGGTCTAGGAAGCACAGACCTTCCTAGTCTAGTTAGGGAAAGTGCAGGAGGTAGCTGAGTGTGGTGGAAGAAAACGCTGTCTGACAGTCCCAACTGAATGCTCCCAGCCCAGTCTATACTGCCGGCAGGTGACTTAGGCCTAAGTCACCTGGTACCAAACCAGCTCCTACCTGGTCCTGCTGGGGTGCCCCTGTACCTTGCCCACATGTCCCCAAGTCCCTCCAGGACCAGTGCTGTTCCACAGAGAGGTCTGTCTGTAGTCACAAGAAACTTACCAGTCCTCTTCCCATTGTCTGACTCTCTTGGCAATTTCACCTAATGAAAATTATACCAAAGGAGATGAGAATAAATAAAGCAGGGTGGCCAATTACAAACCCAAGCCATGGATACTAAATCAAAGGCAAACTGAGAAATTTCTTTGCATTTAGTGAGCCTTAAAATTTTTGTGATGGTTAATGGAATTCTGCTGAGTTGAAGGCACTGTCTTTGATGCTTAGACCTCATGAAAATTCATTTGTGTGCTCAATGACATTAGAAAATACACTGATCTTTTTATGGGGTGTGCTTTATACAGATCCATAGCTGGTCAGACACAACGTCCCTGTTCCTACAGACTTGTAACAAACCACGCATGGTGATGATTCTTTTAAAACGTCTTACCTAAGAGTGAAATGACTGCCTTTTCGTTATATTTTCAATTTATTTCTGCCTCTTCCTTTTATGGTTTCTTTTGTTCAAAAATCAGCATTGCCTACAGAATAGAAAGATGCAAACACTGGCATTGTGAAGCACTAGGTTCCAGTAGCAGGCAAGTCTGAGCTCCCATTATATCACCTATGAAAAGTGGCAAGAAATAACCGTGTATTTGAGGGAGTTTTGTAAGCCTCGCGGGAGGAAATGCCTGTACAGCGCCATGTCCATGCATCTGCCTGAGGTTCTCCTGCCCTTTTTCCCTTGTCATTTTTGTCATTTTTAAACAGGAGATGGTCACCCTCATCTCCTTTCACCCCAGACAAAAGAGACGATGCAGGAAGAGGAGGACCAGATAGGAGCAAATTGGAAAACAGTAAAGGCTGAAAGAGGAGAGCACCAGGCACAGTGGCGCGGCCAGTGCGCAGCTCTGGGGACTCCCTCAGGCTGCATGGAGCATGGCGGGCCTGGTGCAGAGGAGGCTCCCAGGAGAGGCAAAGGGGTGTTGTTTTGATAAGGGCAGGAGTTTGGGGGCAGTTGCCTGGAGGGAACTGGAGGGGGAAGGGGGATTCAGCAGAGGCTGGACCGGCTCCCGCTTGCTAGCTACGCGCAGGAGGCTGTATCTCAGTTACTTGGAAGATGGAAGGATTGGCGAAGAGGCTGGAGGAACGCTGGGCTGCGTGCACCAGCCATCTGGAGCAGTAGCTATTCTGGGCCTGAAGCTGAAGAGACGGGGAGCAGGGTGTCCCCAGAGCCATGGAAGAGAGGGTGCTAGCAAGTGGAGGAGGTTGGAGGGAAGGAGCAGAGGGGCGGAAGGCGGAGGCTCCCGGGGCTTGGAAGCAGATGGGTACTGCGGAAAGGTAACCAGTGTTTGTTGGTTTCTGCGGAGGTAGCCTGGTGCAGCCAAGTCCTACCGAGGCCCCGCATGGTCACAGCATCCCCACCAGGCAAGAGCAGGGCCTGTGGAGCCTCTCCTGCAACTCCACAGCGATGAGAGTGCTCCCTCTACCTTTGGGACGCGGAAGGGCTGGGGGAGGGGTTCTGCCTTTTCAATTTATAGGAAACACATTAAATGCCCCTACCGTGGCAGCCCTTTGAGGAGAGAGTCGGCCATGTGCTGTCCACGTGCTCAGCGCTGACACTGACCCAGGAGAAAACAAGACCAGGGAGTGCCATCGGCGGCGCCCCTGCTGAAGAAGTCCCTGATGGTGCCGCAGCTCTGGCCCATCTCAAACTCCACCCTTGTGCGACCAGAGAGCAGAGCCTGCTACTCGTCCTTCCTATCCCATCTCATTGCCTTCTAATCACCACAAAATAAAAAAGCAAATAAAATGAAGTTGAGCCTTCTCAGAAATAGCAGATTAGAAGATGCTGTTAAAATAAAAGCTTTAAATACATGAGGAAAACAAGCTTAAAGATTCATAGTGAGTGATGAAAGTGGTTTAAATTCCATTTTTATTAAAAACAAAATACAAAGAAATGCAGCTTTCTGCATGAAATGTCACAGACACTCACTTTCAAATCTTCATTTAAGTCGTCTCTTCCCGAAATACCCTGTTCATACTGCTACCTGCATTGCAGTATTATGTTTCTGGAAGAGCAAATTCCATAAAGATACGCAGTCTTTCTGAATTAGCATAGAGATTTAATGCAATTGCACTCCAATGGAATTCATTTGAACTAAAAAATATGCTCCTAAAATTCATCTGAAAGACTAAATAATGAGATTGCTGAGAAACTTTTAAAAATGAAAAGTAATAAGAGAGCTCGTCCTTTACAATAACTTTAAATGATTAGTTAAAAAACAGAAAAGACCTTTTTTTAAAAAAAAAAAAAAATAGCATTTAAAGACTCTCAGTTATGTCCAGAAGGGTGCTGCAAACCTCTGCCTCAGGAAGCAGGTGTGCATCTGGACTCCCTCCTCTGCGTCTGCCTGGTTGTAAGTCCTGCCTCTTTAGCCCCCAATGGCGGATGTCCTCTGAGTGGTCATGGATGCCGGAGTGTCCAGATGTGCCCCATAGACAAGATACAGCTGCTGTTTCCCTTGATTTCAATGCAAATGCACCCTTGTATTCACACTGCTCCCTACTGTGCCTATTTTAAGGTGGGAGGTTCTGTCCTTATGGACAGAATGGAGAGGTTTCTGCCTAACTTTTGAGTTCCAGAAAATTCCTTTGAGTTTAGTTATTCTGAAAACAGGTGATTTGGAAACAAAGCCCTATCCTCACTTGCCCTGCCAAGTAGGATAGTCTTTCCATGGTTGGACAGAGCTTTAGGGAACAGGTACTGAGCTGTAATTCTGATTTCCAATCTAAGGGGGGGTTAGTGTTAACATTAATTGTGTCCAGACAGTACCCTAGTCATTTTGTCACTGTTACGGTGACTGTGTGAAACGTACATACATGTTGAGTGGTGTTGGATGTTTGGGCTCTGGGCCTTGCAGGATTTGCCACAGGGCATCAGGGGGCAAGGGTTAAGTATGGGGTCCAGAATGTGCCATTGCCTTGAGGAAGGAGTATTCACCTCAACACTTGGGAATCCTGCTTTACAAGAGACCTGTCCTTTCTCACCCATCTATTCATTTACCCAATCATTCACATCAGTGTGGACTCAAGGTTATAAATATTATACTTTGGATTAAAGCACATTATTTATTTTGTTGCACAAGTTGTTGCAGCATTGGCCATTGGGAGCTCTTTTGGAGTCTAGAGTACTAGCCACTACACCGTGGAACCTCACCATTGGGAGTTATTTTAGTTGGCCCCTGTGTCCCTTTGACATGCCTCCGTTGTTTTTCTTTGTTTCATTTTGCTTTTTGAAGCATTTCCTTGCTTTTTCAATGCAAGACACTGCAGGAGAATCTTGTATGTTCCCTGCCCCAGCCCTGGTGTCATCCATTCCTTTAAGGATCCCTGATTGCTTTTCCTGAAGAGTGATATCAGAAACCAAGAAGTGGGCACTGGGTGTGCTTGTTGATAAAGAGGTATCATTGGTTCTAGACCTTCCTAGGAGACAGAGCTAGGAATCATGTGTGTGTAATCCATGAACACACATGTACACAATGCATCCATCCATATCTTTCTTAGGCTAAACAAGAGTTCATAATTATGTCTTCAATTTTTGTGCAGTACCACTTGGCTTATTCTAACCATCTCCCCCAGCTTTTCAGGGACATCTAACTCTGTAAGAAGTCTGCTCCCACCATCTACCATCCATTGACTTAATTCTTCAGGTCTGGTGCCCATGTGTAGTGGCTTTAGAACTGTTAACCCATGTCACCTTCTGAGAAACAACTGCACCAATTAAAATGCCATCCTTATATACAGTTCCTTTTGACTTTAGCCTTACAAACTTCTCTCATTTCCAAAGTTTCTTAGATAGCACCTTTGCCCCACTCCCTTCAGTGAAGTTGTTTCAAACATTTGTAATCTAGCCAAATGATTATGTCATATTCTGCACTTCCTCCTGGGGAAAATACACCTGAGCTGTGATCCAATATTAGAAGCCCACTGCTGTTACTAAAGTCCTGCCTCCAAATATCCATAAAGCTGGTAAAAGGACCCTGGACTACTGCTATTGAAAAATCTCCTATTTTTTGCCAACAGAAACAGCTGAAACAAAAGAAAGAGGACCCCTGAATTTCTTTTGTACCTTGCATGAATGCATCTAATTGGTGGAAACTAATTTGCACTTGGAACAGGTGCAAAGCAATTTAAAAGTTTAATTTTTGCTTCCCAGACTCTGTAATAGAAGAAGACATACCTGGCAAGAATTGGAATGACTGTGGGTGTCAATTCACCATCTCCACCACAGGTAACCAATGTGTAGTGGGAACTCCAGGCAGGAGGCAATTGTAACAATCCAGGTGAGAAATGATGGTGGCTTGGAATAGGATGACGACAGCAGGTGCAGAGATAGTGAACAAATTCAAGAATTAAGTTGTACGTTGTAATCCCAGCACTTTGGAAGGAGGATCACTTGAGCCCAGGAGTTCGAGGTTATAGTGATCTATGATTGCACCACTGCACTCCAGCTTGGATGACAGAGCAAGACTCTGTCTCTAAAACATAAAATTAAAATTTAAAAAACTCCCCAGTTGGCAGGTGTTGCAACTCTTGAGTCTAAGATTTTATCACTTTAGACACTTGTTCTATTGCCCAAGTCATGACCATGTGCCTGGAGCATGCACCTCATTCCCAGCTCAATTGTGCTTTGGCTCCCACAAGACCAACAAGAAATCTCATATATATCTCGGTGATTCCTATTTCAAAGATGAAAAATGTCTTGTGCAACTGAGTAAGGATCCTTGGAGTCTGCCTCTGGAAGTTTCATACCTTCCCATGCTTGCCTTTGCTTCCTTCCTCCCACAGTATCCTTTAACTTCATTTACAATACATGGAGCCTGCTAAGTCCTTTCAATGATCTAACTCCATGAAATTGCAGCACCTGCAGTTAAGTTTCAGTTGGGGCCACTGAATCTCTCATACAGGTGTTTTTTCTTTCTTTTTTTAAACCTTTGATTCAAGGAGGGAATTGGGTAAGAGCAGAATTCAAATCCCTTTCTTCCCAGAAGGATCTCTTCCATACAAATTTGTTTCTGTGTTTTGGGGGAAGGGGCCATCTAGTCTTATCTTTTAGCAACTAAGGCCCCAATTCCAAAGGAAATGTTGGAGGATGAGGTGATAATTCACCCCCAGCAGGGTCTGAATCTCAAGCCCTTACACAGCAGAAGGTCCTGCTTCTCCATGTGATCAGTGGGGTCCCACAGGCAGTGGGATATTTAGGCAGATTACATTTAGGAGGAACAAGGAGAACTTATATCTGCTGATAAAATGATCTCTGAAGCTGGCATTTGTTGTGGCAAGTTGGCTATAAAGGGACCAGGAATCTGGTCTCTTCCATGTCCCACTGCTGATCTGGCTCAGGCTAGGTATAAAAGATGATGCCAGGTTTTAGTGTCTGCAGCTGGTTACGGAGTTCAATTTCAGGCTGCCATTTACTGAGACAAGAATGGCTGTGAGGGGGTAGGGGGCATAGGAAGGAGGTGTGGAGACAGCTAAAATTCAGAGATTAAGTGTGAACACTTACATGTGCAGTGTGTCTCAGGGTTCCAAGTGGAGATGGAAGAGTGGAGTCTGAAGTTGGGAAGGAGTTCAGGTAAGTGGTATAGATGAGTGTCATCATTGCAGCTGATAGTGTTCAAAGCCATTGGATAGTATGAGATCACCTGGAAGGTGAATATGGAAAGAAAAGAGAAGAGGCCTGAGGACTGGGTTCTGGGGACCTCCACCTTTTTGAGGTTAGTAAGTTAAGAAGAATCTAAGACATTGATAATGACAGTGTTACAAGTCCACCAGCTTTGTATGCCCACTGCCCAGTAACAAACCAATACACCGAGACAGCAGGATTTGCAGCAGAGGAAGAATTTAATGGTCATAGAGCAGCCAAGCAAGGAGATAGGAGGGACTCTCAAATCCATCTCCTGGGCTGGGGACAGTGGCTCACACCTATAATCCCAGCACTTTGGGAGGCCAAGGCAGGTGGATCACCTGAGGTCAGGAGTTCAAGACCAGCCTGGCCAACATGGTGAAACCCTGTCTCTACTAAAATACAAAAATTAGCCAGGTGTGGTAGCACACACCTGTAGTCCCAGCTCCTTGGGAGGCTGAAGTAGGAGAATCGCCTGAATCCAGGAGGTGGAAGTTGCAGTGAGCCAAGAAAGCACGACTGCACTCCAGCCTGGGTGACAGAGTGACTCCATCTCAAAAAAGAAAACAAAAAAAAAGAGAAATCCATGTCTTGGAGGAGTTCTGGGCTGGGTGTTTTAAGAGGGCAAGGGGCTAGAAGATTGGAGTCATTGTTGGTCAGGGTATGGGGAATAAAATCATCAGGATGTGGAAACTGCGTTGTTTGGTGAGTCATCTCCTTGTGGGCTCCTTCAGACCACTGGTGTCAGTAGTTTCACTATTATGCAAGACCTTGAAAGAATATCTCCTTGAAAGAAAACTTCACATTTCACAGTGCTTAAGTTGTTATGTATAGGGCAGTTAAGGTGAACTCTAATCTCGTGAGAGGGTCCTCATGATTCTGGGGCAATGGGCACTGAACAACCATGAGGAAGCAGGTCAGAAAGCAGGCTGACCTATGGATTAATGCTGAATGTGCTGCAAGCTTGGTTTATTTTTATTTCTTCCCCTCTTTCTTCCCTGATTAATCTTGTAAAGTTTATTGGGATGGTTTCAGTAGTGCAGAGGGCAGTGATGGTGGTTCAGTAGGTTGTGTGCTTCTGAACTTCATGGTCCTGGAAATGGGACTGAGACAAATTGATTCATAATCTAACAACTTTATTACTCTTTCATTATGTCCCACAGCATGTGAAGAACCCTCCAAATTGAGTTACATAGGAGTCTTTCTCATAGCTCTCTGATCATAATTTTTTCCATACTTGAATGAATTTTTAAATACATGCAATAAAAAGCATGGCTTGCTACCAGACACTGGGAGATCAGCAGACACTGGGAGATCAGAATTATGTTTTTGAGTCTGCTAACATAGACTCTTGGGGTGATCCGTTAGCTTTAATTTTGTCTCCAGACACCAGACACCTCTTCCTCCACCCTGCAATACACAGCTAATTCTTTAAATTACATCTGTTAAGCTGAGATGATTATCCAACTGGTTAAAATGATAAGGAGTTATCCTAATGAAAGTAAATATCCTGCCAACAATAATTTCTTTCTTTGAATGCAGTGCTTGGTTTTCCCCTACTTGGATTTCACAGTGAGGATTGGCCTGTTTGGAAATCCAACATGGCAAGAGAGAAAATTATTTTGGGTCAAGTGGTATCTACCCTGTGCATGGCTGTGTCCAATTGGGAATCATTTCCAGTAACACAGCCATGCTAACTTCCATAACTGGAAAAGGGGCACAGGAAAGCACAGATGTTGTACAGATGCTGTGTAACAGAGGTCTCACAGACTTGAAAATAAGTGTCTAAAGAAACCAGCCCACAACAGTGTAGCGCTTTGGAATGTGTCTCCTGAAATAAACAAGCCATTAAAAAAATAAAATTATAATTACAGAATCTGTGCTGGCCAGAGAGGTATCTTGAGAAATTAAATTTTGAGTGAGTCCTGAGCTACATCACGATGCTTCTGTAGACTCGGGGATGGTAAGTGTGAGAAGAAAACTCTGATTTTAGGCAGCTCTCTCTCTCACTTTCCTGCCAGCTCCTTTAGTGGGAACCCCATGTCCTCCCGGGTCTGAAATGCCAGAGGTGTGGCTGGTTCCACACTCCATTGCCACTGGCCGCAGAAGCAGCCTGGCCATTTTCCTCCATGTGCTCTCCAGCGCGTCCACATAGACCAAGCCAGGGTCTCCTACCTTGTTCAACATACTCTTCTCTATTGTTGCAATCCAGGTTCTATTTGGCCTGCTCAGCAACTTCCTCTATGGGGGGACCACACATAAGCCTATGGTTCATGGAATTTTCTGCTGTTAAGCCACACCTATTCTTGCCCATGACCATGTGACGCTCAGGGCCCTGGTCCTCAGCAGTGAGATCAGGGTATCAGGACCAGGAGTAAATCTGGGCTTGCCCCAGGGTCTGGCTTCGCATGTCTACTGCCACCCCAGGTTACACAGATGGCTTATCTATAGAGTGAAGTGCTTGGGGTTGATAGCCCCTAAGTCTCCCTCCTGCCTTGATCTGCCCAGCTGGAGGCCATGCTCAGGACCCAGGGTTGAATGATTTGGTGGCCCCCCTCCACCATCCTCCTGCACTGAGCTCCATATGATGACCACTTGGGGATCTTGCCATTTCCTGAATGTGTCTTGTTCTTAAGTCCTGCCACCTTGGCTTCTGCTGTTCTTGCTGCCAGCATTGCTATTCCACTCACCTTTGTTCTGATGAAATTTTACTCTTCTGCAGAGCCTGGAGTCCCCAGCAGAGTCATGCTTTATCCCTTCCACGGGTCCCATTGTCATGGGATTCTTGGGGTGTTGCTTCGCCAGCCAGAAACCTCTGTGGCCGGCAGCACCTTCTGCCTGAGTATTGCTCACACCTGCTGTGCCTGTTCCTCCCACTCAGCCCAGCAGGCTGCACTCGGCTGGAGCTACTGGCCTGGATCGCACACCTGCCAAGGGTGAGCCAGGCAGAGTGGTGAGGGGTGTGTGGGCAAGCAAGTGCTGGGTCAAGCCACAGGCATGCCGGCTGCTGTAGGAGGGCAAGCAGCTCCAAGAGCCAGCACAGGTACTGGCTCCACGTAAGGCTGTGGCAGGACCAGATGTACTGCACACAGCTTCTGCTGCAGGCACCCCTATCTGGATGAGGGGAACGCAGTGGTACCTGGAAGCTTGGAGCCACCAGGAACCACAGAGCCCCAAAGAGGATGTCACAGCCCTGGCTCAGGGAGGCCCTAGGTCTAGGCTCCCTGAAAGGCCGCAGCTCTTCTCTCCTTCTTATCACCTGAATGTGCTGAGGTGGCAGAGTGAGGGAGGGGGGTATTCAGTCCTGTTTGTGTTACAGCTCTTTCAGTCCTGCCATTTGGTGGGTCCCAAGTTCTTGGCCCGGATCCAGGAAGAATGAGGTACACAGACAACTGGAAGGTGAGCAAGGCAGAAAGGAGCTTCATTGAGCAACATAACGGCTCTCAGGACACCCAAAGTAGGTAACCTTTCCGCAGGCAGGTCATCCCAATGTCTGTAGCCCTCAGCAAAGAGGAAAACCAGAGATAGGTAGCTCCTATCCACAAGCAGGTCATCCCAACATCTCTGTGTATCTGGCTGGTTGGGGTCGGGGGGTGGTGGGGGAGGTTTATGGGCCTCAGAAGGGAGGAAGTGTGTGCTGATCAGTCTATGGGTGGCCATGGGCGGACCTGGAAAAAGCACCGTAAGTTCTCACTCTGGGCCACAGACTCCATGGGGAACTAACATCCCAGCTCCCATGCTTCAGGCCATCCCTGGCCTGAAGGTGGGGCTTCACCGGAAACCCACTCTTTTCTTTTTTTTTTCTTTTTTTTTTTTTTTTGAGAAGGAGTTTCGCTCTGTCGCCCAGGCTAGAGTGCAGTGGCGCGAGAGATTCACGCCATTCTCCTGCCTCAGCCCCCTGAGTAGCTGGGACTACAGGTGCCCGCCACCACACCCAGCTAATTTTTTGTATTTTTAGTAGAGACGGGGCTCACCATGTTAACCAGGATGGTGTCGATCTCCTGACCTTGTGATCCGCCCGCCTCGGCCTCCCAAAGTGCTGGGATTACAGGCGTGGGCCACCGCGCCCGGCCGAAACCCACTCCTTTCTACCCAGGAGCCTGTCTGACTCCTACCGCCATCAATCCTGTCGTCCATGGTACCCAGGCTGTTCGTTCTGAGGGGCACCTACAGGCCGGTGAGGAGCCTCCTTCAGTTCCTCTCGGCCTTTCTCCCATGCTTGTCAGCGCCCAAAGTCTGGAGGAGGCCAAGGCAGCAGGGGGCTGGCGTCTCAGCACCACCCCAAGTACGCGTACACCTGGCAGGATCACAACAGTGCCCAGGCTCGGCCTCAACTTCGCTCCAAAATCAGAGCGGGAACCGGGAGTGAGGAGAGGCCAGGCAGTGGGAGCAGGTACTTCTGAGCCTGCAGGGGGAGGGGGTGCTTCCTGGGCCCCCCAAGAGTACAGGGATGCCCAGGTCCCCAGCCTGGGCTGGGTAGCTGCAGTTGCTCCCGGGAGGGCGGGGCTCCCAACCCGCCAACTTGGAAGGAGGCGGGGCTCCGACCTGTTCCTGGCTCCCCCCGGCTCCATGGAGCACACAGCCCTGGCCGCACCTTCCCCACTGCAGCCAGCATCTTCGCAGTGGCTGCTCCAGACGGGCCACCGCTGCCGTCATCACTGTGCCCTCCATTACTCATTCATGGGACTGCTTCCTCTACATGCTTAACCACATGGGGACAAGTTTTTTGTCATGTTTTCCTCCCTGCTTCCAGCATAAGGCTTGGTGTTCATCTCATGAACTTGAGATGAGTGAATGAAGGCACGAATAAAAAATAAATACTAACAATTGACTAGTTGGCACTGTTTATCTTGTCCAGGAAAGCCCAACCACTGTGAAGGTATCAGAGGTTCAGAGGCCCTTCTTCCTGTCATGACCCCAACTTTGGCCTCCTCACCTTTAAAATAGGGATAATAATCCCTGCCTTGCCAGGTGCCTTAGGGATGAGTGGTAACGTGAACATCACCTGGTTCTTGGCAGGTTACTCCAACCTCAGAAGAAACAGTAAAGGAAAGGGAGTTGCTATCATAATCTTGTGGGGCTGAGATTGTGAGAGTCACCCATGGCCTCAGAGCAGCAAGAAGGCTTACCGACCCACAGAAACCCCCAGAGACTTGCTTCTAAGACCAACACTGGGCTCTATTTTAGTAGCAGGAATCTGAAGGTACTGTTTAAATTGCTGGAGAGCAGAAGTCACAGATCCCCTGGAATTGTTCATCTAAAGCTATTTTTCACAGGAAGAGATGAGAGTCTTCCTCGAAGCTACTTTTAAGCAGTTCCACGGACAGCTTCCTGGACTTCTGAATTCCTGCAAACCCATTCATCTAGATGTATCTTGACTTGTCCTTTCATGAGACCTTCCCTGAGCAACCACTGTATGAGCTCTGAGGAGCCACAGGACTCAGCCTTGTGGGTGGGGGTAGGCTTTCCACCTGTCAGAGGCCTCTGGGGGCTCTGCCTGCTGCCACTATGTGTACAGAAGGTAGGGTCCCTCCTCCTTAGCACTGATTGTTACAAGGAAAGGAAAAACCCCTGCCTCAGAGAAAGGGTTCTCCTTGAGTTTGTGTTGGAATGATACAAAAACTATGAAGGGATGACATGAATAGGGTGGGGCTCAGAGGCAATACCAAGGTGTAGAAGCCAAGATTGAGACTGGTACATGCACTAGAATGAGATGATGACAAAAGACTCTGCCCTCCTTTCTGTAAAGGTAGCACATCTCAAAAAGAAACCTTAGCATTTCACAATGCTGAAGTTGTGATCTATAGGGTACTTAAGGTGAACTTAACTTGTGACAGGGTCTGTATGATTCCAGGGCAATAGGCACTGAACATCTATGAGGAAGCATAGATGTTCCCAATCCCATTGGCATGTCGACTGTTATCTCAGAAGATTAATTTCTGTCGATCCATTTCAATAACTGTAGACTGAGCACATGCTCTGGGGCAGCCACTGTGTTGAGCATTCAGGGATGCAAGATGCATAAGACACACCCTGTTCTAATGAAAAACTCTGGATTCCAGGCTTAGCCTGAGGGCTACAACTGTGCCCACTACAGTAGCCCCAAAGCCAAGCCTCTGGCAGCTGTTGACCAGGTCCATGACCTAACCCTGGCCAATCAGATAACTTGAAAATGGAGGCCAGGCACAGTGGCTCATGCCTGTAATCCCAGCACTTTGGGAGGCCAAGGCAGGCAGATCACTTGAGGTCAGGAGTTTGAGACCAGCCTGGCCAACATGGTGAAACCCTACTAAACTCTACTAAAAATCCAAAAAAATTAGCTGGGCTTGGTGCCAGGTGCCTGTAGTCCCAGCTACTCGGGAGGCCTAGGCAGGACCCGGGAGGTAGAGGTTGTGCCGAACCAAGATGCCAAGATCACACCACTGCACTCCAGCCTGAGTGACAAAATGAAACTCTGTCTCAAGAAAGAAAGGAAAGAAAGAAAGAAAGAAAGAAAGAGAAAAGGAAGGAAGGAAGGAAGGAAGGAAGGAAGGAAGGAAGGAAGGAAGGAAGGAAGGAAGGAAAAGAAAGAAGAAAGAAAAAGAAAGAAAGAAAAGAAAGAAAGAAAGAAAAGAGAGAAGGAAGGAAAGAAAGAAAGAAAAGAGAGAGAGAAGGAAGGAAAGAAAGAAAGAGCAAGCTGGGAAAAAGGAGATTTTGATGTGTTGGTGGCAGTGTTGTTTTGCCTGTGGTTCAGGTTCCTGCCCTCCCTTTGCTTCTGTTTATTTCCCAATCTGCCAAATATCCTTTCAATGAATCCTTGTCTGATTGAATCAGAGTCAGTTTCTGTTCCTTGCAACTAGGGCCTCATCTCATTTAGGACCCTAACTCATACAACATATTCTCAATTAACCCCAGTTTTCCCTAAAGCTTTGGTAAGAGCCACAGTTGTTCTGGGGAAAATTGGGAAAGTATGCACACACTTCAGATGAAGTGGCAGAGGAGAGGACTGTGTCCCCTTGTTAAGGGAGCATTCATCCACAGTCTCCAGAGATGGCAGATAGACCCTAAAGAGTGGTCATATTATAGAATCTTTAGACATGGAGCAAGAAGAGGAAGCCATGGTGGGCCATGACTCCCGTGGGATACTTCTTTGTCCTGGTGAATGGTCTAATGCCTAAGTATTGGATCCAAGACCAGGTATCTCTCCCACAGGAAACTTGTTTATGCTGGCAGGCTTGTGGCTCTTGTCTTACCTGTGTCCAGTTAATTACTACCAAGATAGCCACTCTCCAGGAAAGCCTTGACCAGAGAAGAAGTTATATTTGGGCAATTCATCAAAACACACAAAATAACAGAAGCAGTTTATTACTTACAAATCTAGAGAGAAAAGGGCAGGACACATCACCAGGACTGATGGGAAGAAGACAGTCATCCAGGAAACACACACTCAACCTCTGGGTGAGGAGCAAGAGAGAGGGACTTGTGGGCAGAGGCTTTGGGGTCCAGGACATTACCAAGGCAGGTTTCCCAAGGTGAGTCCTAATTGAGTTTAGAGAAAGCAAGCACCAGCTCCATGGAGTCACACTGCGACTGAGAGGTGGTCATTGTGACATATCTGCACAGTCCATACGCGGTGTGGGAGTCATCAGGGTGAGTCAAGTAGGTTGTATCCAGCTGTCCCACAGGGAGGTGGTCACCAGGAGGTGGTTACATACGGCAGAGGTCTGGATTGATCACCTTGAGAAACTGGGAGGAGGTAGAGAAATGGAAAATATGTCAAGAGTTACTTTTTGCCAAAAAGAAGTCCAACTTATATTCAAAATGAATGCCGGGGCAACATATAGGAAGTCACTACAATAAGACGGCTGACATGACTATAGAAATATCAGACAAAATAGGCCTTAAGGTGAAATAATTGACTAGGCATGGTGGCTCATACCTGTAATTCCAGCACTTTGGGAGGCTGAGGTGGGTGGATCACTTAAGCCCAGGAGTTCAAGACCAGCCTGAGCAACATGGTGAGAACCCTCTCTACAAAAAGTACAAAAATTAGCCAGGCACGGTAGCAGGCACCTGTAGACCTAGCTACTTGGAATGCTGTGTGGGAGAATCGCTTGAGCCCAGGAGGCAAATGTTGCAGTGAGCCAAGATTGTGCCACTGCACTCCAGCCTGGGTGACAGAGTGAGACCCTGTCTAAAAAAAAAAGATGAAACTTTTTATGAGAAATAAAGGGTCATTTTACAATGGTGAAAGAGTGAATTCATCAGGAAGGTATAATAATTATAAACATATATGCATTTAACAGAACCCCAAAATATGAAAAAGTAAACCCCAACGGAACTCAAGGGAAAAAATAAATAATTCAACAATAATATTTAGAGACTTCAATACCTCACTCTCAATAATGGACAGGACAACTAGACAGAAAACCAAGGATACAGGAGATTGGTGCAACCCTGTCAAGGAACTTCTTCTCAAGCACACACAGAGCAGTCTGCAGAAAACACCATGTGGTAGGCCATAAAACAACTTGGGAGCAATTGCAGAACCATCTGCTGCTTCACACCAGTGAGGTAAATAAGCAAATGAACAACAACAACAAGACTATGGAGGCCCCAGTATGTAGAAAGGTCTACAACTTCCCTTCCACACTGCTGCTTGGAGTTTCTAAACTCAGGGAAGACTTAGGTCCTCCTATTAAGGGCTTGCAACTACTTAAATCAGATCCACCCAGAATAGTCTACCTTTTGATTAACTAATGTCAGCTGACTTTAATTACATCTGCAAAATTCCTTCACAGCAGCAGCCGGATTAGTGTTCAATTGAATAATTGGGAGAAGGTGTACAAATGGCTGCTTCCTCTCTTACCTCCTCCAGCTTTCACAAGGGAATATCCCTTATAGTCCACCCTAATCAGAAAGATACTAGAAAGGAACTGGGGAATGTAATATAACAGATGAAAACATTACATTAATAATTCAAGATATTCCCACAAGAAAAGCCCAGGCCCAGATGGCCTCATTGTTGAATTCAACCAAACATTTAGAAAATAAATAATACCAATTCTTTACAAACTTTTCCAGGAAGTAGAGGAGGAGAAAGTAGCTCCCAGCTCATTCTATGAGGCCAATCTGTGAGACATCATAAGAAAAGACAACTGTGGGAGTTCAGTCAGGCTGGTAGGAAAAAATTTAAGATGAAGTTAAAGGATATAAATACAAACCCTCTTGGAAGGCCTGGAGGTTTACATAAAGTGTTTGGCTGAAGGCAGCAAATCCACTTAATAGCTTAGGGCATAGATACATAGGAATGTAGAGGAGTTTATCTAAAGAGCTTGTTTACTCATGTGGTCCTAAAACTAACCTTTGATCACTCACCGGCAAGATAGCTCTCCCAGGGTGGGGGCGACCAGATTAATTATCCACAGGTGTGTTGACTCAAAGCCTTTGTCATTAAATCTGTGCTAAATAAATGCCCACAGGGCCAGCTAGTCAGGGCATTGGCTGCTGACTCTTTACAGCATCTTCCTTGGTGACTGTGAGTGACTCAGACTCCTAGCTGCTTTCTCACTGAATAGCGGTGTCTGGGTACATTATTCATCTGTCGTGCAACCTGGGGTCTGCAGGACAGACCCCCCACAGACAATTATAAACTAACATTCCTCATTAATATGGACACAAAAGTCCTCAACAAAATGTTAACAAACCAAATCCAGAAACATATAAAAAGGATTATATTCATCATTGGGTGGGCTTTGCTTCAGGAATTCAAAGTTGGTTTAATAATTAAAAATCAATTAATACAGAAAATAAATAGAATAAAGCGGGGGAACCCATGATGCAGAGAAAGCATCTGACAAAATGCAACACCCACCTAAAATACAAACTTTAGACAAACTAGCAATGGAAGGGAACTTCCTCAGCTTGATCAAGGACATTTATGAAAAGTCCATCGCTACCTAGATGATGGGTTGATAGGTGCAGCAAACCACCATGGCTCATGTATACCTATGTAACAAACCTGCACATTCTGCACATGTATCCCAGAACTTAAAGTAAAATTTAAAAAAAAAAATCCTTCACTAATACCATGCTTACAAATCAAGGAGCAAATGTTTTCTCCCTAACATCAGGAAATGGCAACAACATCCAATCACACCACTTTTATTCAACATTGTATAGGAAGTTCTAGCCAGTGCATTAAGGCAAGAAGAAGGAATAAAAAGCATCCAAATTGAAAAAGAAAAAAGAAAAACTGTCTTTATGCACAGATGACATGGTCCCATATGTGTAAATCCTAAGTAATCCACACCCCACAAAGAAATCCCTATAAGACCTAATGAACAAGTTCAGCAAGGTTGCGTGATACAAGATTGCTATATAAAATTCAATTGCATTTTTATATACTAGCAATAAAGAATATAAATGAAATTAAATTTCTATTCACAAAATCATCAAAAACATTAAATACTTAGGGATAAAAATGTAAAAGAAAGTATAAGACTGTAAATATTTCTGAGAGAAATTAAGGAAGATCAAAATAAAAGAGGAAATGCTCTATGTTCATGGATTAAAAGGCACAATATCATTAAGATGGCAATTCTTCCCAAATTGATCTATAGATTTAACATAAACCCTATAAAACCCCAAGAGGCTTTTCTGTAGAATGAACAACTTAATTCCCCAAAACAGCAAATCAGTCTTGAAAAAAAAAAAAAAAAGAACAAAGAGGACTATGCTTCCCGATTTCAAAACCTACTATAAATCTAAATCATCAGTACAGTGGTGCTTGTATAAGGATAAGTGTGCCAACCAATGAAACAGAACAATAGGGTCCAGATAATCTACAGAACAGAATAAAATAATGAGCCTTTATAGTTATGGTCAGCTAACATTCAACAAAGTTGTCAGAGCAATTCAGTGGAGAAAGGAATTTGCAACAAATGATACTGGAGAAATTGAATATCCACATGCAAAAAGATAAAAATCTAAACTCCTACTTAACGTCATACGAATAAAGTAACTCAAAATGTATCATAGACTTAAGTATAAGAGCTAAGCCCGTAAAACTTTTGACACAAAACAGGAAAATCTTCATGACCTTGGGTTAGGCAGAGAGGACTTAGATATGTCACAAGCATGATTTATAAAAGAAAATAATGGATCGATTGGACTTCATCAAAATTCAAAACTTTTTATTTCAAAAGACACCATTAAGTAAATGAACCACAGATAATTTTGTTCAGTCTGTGGTTTATTCAAATGGTTTGATAAATTGGAGCAGTTTATTAAACCATTTGAATAAACCACAGGCTGAACAAAATTATTTGTAAATCATCTATCTTATAAAGAACTTCTATTCAGGATATTAAAAGAACGCTTAAAACTTAATAAACACAAAATAAATACTCGGGCTTCAAAACTGCTGCTGCTGCCGCCACCGCCGCCTGGGAACCAGGGCCTGGGGTTGGTGGGGCCCTGCATGGAGCGCCGGTCCCCCGGAACTGCGGACATTGCCAACGCCCACCACGCAGCGCGCTAGCACCCGGGACGGCATGAGCGCCCCCCAGCGGGGGCCCCATCTGTGACTCTGGCAGTTTCTGCTGCAGCTGCTGAGCCAGGCAGTGGCCAGGTTATCTCCTGGACCTCCGGGATGGTGGTGAGTTCAAGCCGGTGGATGCAGAGGGGGCCGCGCAAGAACAAGACTGACACGAATTCCAACCAGCTCAGCAGGGCCTCGCGGAGCTGTTATGACAAGAACATCATCCGCAAAGGGAGCGGCCAGAAGCTCACCCACAAGTTTGCGTCCCCCGCCGAGGTGGCAGGGTGCTCCACTGAGGATTGCCCACCCCAGGCCAAGGTGCCTATCACCTCTGCCATGGCAAATGTGGCCCAGGCTGACGTACACACAGCCCTGGGGACACTGCCTCCTGACAGCCATGCACACCCAAGGGTGCAGGAATGGCAGGCCTGGACGGGGTGGCGCTCCTGATACTGCGCGGGCTCCTCCTCCGCCTTCACCATCCAAGGACATC